>NC_000007.14:98264354-98567385 GCF_000001405.40 Homo sapiens | reverse complement strand
CCTGGGACCTACGAATCTCCCAGAATGTACAGGGATCCTATGGGAATAGACATGCCTTAACGGATTCCTCTGGGAATTTCATGGCCTCCGTTTCCCAATATTCAGGATGATGTGGAAGGAATGCAGTTTGGACTCCACCCTCTTAAAGGACCTCTGTAGTCCTGGCCAGGACAGCAGAAGTGGCAGCTCTCATATTCCTCCCTGATGCTTTGCCTCTTGTCTCTCCCCAAGGCCACTTGTAGAGATGCTTTCTTGCCTGGGGGCAGATGGGTGCACGCTGCTAGTTGTCATGGGAACCAAGGTTAATTAGTCGACCTGGATTTCAACTCTGATGTTGGTAGCGTGTCTCAGCAAAGACTTTTGGAAACAGCTGTCCCTGGTTGCACAATTCCCTCAAATGAAAAGTGCCCATAGTCTCTGCACTGCTTTGCCCTGGACTTCCTTCCCTATGTGTCATCTTGGGATTTTTCTGTAGTGTGGTACAAATCCTCTAGGAGTAGGGAGTAGCTCACCCTTCCACCTAGGGCTAAATCTAATAAACTAAGTGAAATGAAAGCTTCTGCTATTATCTGAGGCAGAAAGTCTATTTGGGGCTAAACTCTCCCCAGACACCGTGTTGTCATTTCTGCCAAAGGAACTGGACTGAAACACAGAAAAGCAAAGCTATTCATAGGGAAACTAGCAAATCCTTAGGCCTCACTCTGGTGTTAGAGGAAGGACAGACAGACAGATGTTCACATGCTGTAATGGACTCAATCACAGAATGTACACAAGAGGAGTAAATGAGAATGCTCTGTCCATTACAACATGCAAAGGAGGCATGAAGTGTCACCGTGATGACTTGAGGACATGACACACATCCCCTTCTTCACCCTGTCATTTACTCATTCATCCATCTATCCATCTACCTATCCATCCATCCATTCATCTATCTCTCCATCTATCCATCCATCCAACCATCCACCCAATGAGCTTTTATCAGGCACCTGTTATGTTTAGATCCCGACTTAGTCCATTTTGTGCTGCTACAACAGAATACCTGAGATTGGGTAATTTATAATGAGCAGAAATTTATTGACTCACACTTCTAGGGGGCTGGGAAGTCCAAGATCAAGGGGTTGGTATCTGGCAAGGGCCTTCTTGCTGTGTCATCTCATGGCAGAGGAGCAAAGAGAGGGCTAGGGAGAGCAAGAGATCAAACTTGCAGCCTCAAAACTTTCATAATCAGCATTAATTCATTAATGAAGGTGGAGACCCCATGACCTAAACACCTCCCATTAGGCCCACCTGCCAACACTGTTGCATTGGAAATAAAGTTTCCAACACATGCTTTTTGGGGGACACATTCACATTATAGCAGCCCTGATAGCAATTAGCATAATGCCAGGTCCATAGCAGGGGGTTAATTACGCTGCTGAACAAAGATACTGCCAAATATTAAAATATTCTGCTTGCCAGAGTCTCATAGATCCTCAAATGTATTCCCTTTCTTTGGCTGGCATTATTAAAGTTGTACAACCAAACTCCCTATTTAGTATTCTTCTGATGCGATATCAGAGAAACTATATGAAATATGACTGATAGGAGCAAACCAGACATCACTAAATCTTTCATTGGAATAATTTCACTTGTTCTACACACTGATCCCCAGTTCATCCCTTGAATTTCGAATGGTCTTTTGGGAACAGCCTTTGAGGTCTGACTGAGGCTGGAGTTAAATAGATCTTGACTCTTTGGACACATAGAGGCCATGAGGTAGGACCCCTGGGTCCCAAGGAACCTCCTCCTGAGTTCCCCATGAGAAAGGCAAGGCCTTCATTACTTGTCTCTGCTTACTATCTTCACTGAAATCACAAGTTTTCAGAGTGGATTTGGATCAGATTTTCTCCTGGGCACTGTGTATGTGTCTCATTGTCTAAAGCCAGAACATGACACAGGGAAAACAGGGAACTGTCTGAACGTCTGAGCAGGGCTTGCCATTCAAGCAGCAACATACTCTGAGTGCTGGTGCCCTGGGTCCTACATCCGCTGTGTTTGTTGGTGCCT
Source organism: Homo sapiens (assembly GCF_000001405.40). Taxonomy (NCBI): domain Eukaryota; kingdom Metazoa; phylum Chordata; class Mammalia; order Primates; family Hominidae; genus Homo; species Homo sapiens. The sequence goes on along the minus strand of NC_000007.14, from coordinate 98,565,339 downwards.
CCAGACCCTCTTCTGAGAACAATCCTCTGCAAACCAGCACTATTGTGTGAGTTAATTGCATTATGTAAAACCACTTGACCCTGTGTCCTGTAGTCCTGCCCACAGAGCAAAAAAGAGGGGAGGAAGGGCTGGTCACATGGAACTGTATTGTGTCCTCCGTGTGCTTTGTAGTGAAGCAGGACAGCTGTATATATTGGAGACAAAGACTGGAGAAAAATTAATTCCCCCAAAGTAGATCTTCCCCCTCTGAGGACAGCAGAAACATCAATTCACTCGATTTCTATGAAGGCAGCCTACCAGGATGTGTTAGTCCATTTGCACTGCTATAAAGGGATATGCAAGGCTGAGTCATTTACAAAGAAAAGAGGTTTATTTTGGCTCACAGTTCTGCAGGCTGTACAACAAGCATGGTGCCAGCATCTGCTTCTGATGAGCCCTCAGGAAGCTTTTAATCATGGCAGAAGGTAAACAGAGAGCAGGCATCACATGGTGAGAGGGAGCAAGAGAGAGGGGAGGAGATGCCAGGCTAAACAACCAGCTCTCACATGAATTTAACAGAGCGAGAAGTCACTCATTACCATGGAGATGGCACCAACGCATCTATGGAGGATCCACCCCCATGACTCAAACACCTCCCACCAGGCCCCACCTCCAGCATTGGAGGCCGCATTTCAACATGAGATTTGGAGGGGACAAATATCCAAACTATATCACCAGACCATTCCCGTGCTGGGGGTTGAGAAGTGGCGTGTTTCAGCAAATGGTGTGCAGGTTGCCGTGGCCGTGCTAAGCATCTACACATGTCCTAACAATGGCTGCTGGAAACAGAGGCTCAGCTGGGTGACATGCTGCAGAGCTAGTGAGAGCCAGAGCTGGACTCCAGCCCAGGCTGTCTGTAGTAGGGGAGCTATAACTGCTTCTCACAGGAACAGAGACTGGAAGGGAATGTGCAAAATAAAAATGGTAGTGATGCCAAGCCCTGCATCCTCGTCTGCATTGTGTGTCTGTTCCCCAGCTCTGAATCTGGCTGCCCTCTGGACACACTATGGCTGTCTCATGAACACTTCAACACTGGACCTCCACTGACCCATCCAAGCCCATCTCTCACACCTGTGTCCTCTAAGTGAATGTTCCAACCCTGTTACTATTACCTTGAAGATAACTTTGATTTTTGCCATCACGACATTGAATGGGCAATCAGACCTGTCCTGGCCCCACCTTCCCAGCCTTGATTCCTTCCTGGCTATTCCTCACCGGTCACCTGTTCCACCCTCCTTCATAACCTGCTACATCTCACCCTCTTCAGCCTTCAGATGCATCTGGTCCCAGAAACCCATCTGTCTGCTGGCGTGGCTTGGTGCTCCATTTTCCACTCTATTAAGAAGTCTCTGTGGGCCGGGCATGGTGGCTCAGGCCTGTAATCCCAGCACTTTAGGAGACCAAGGCAGGCGGATCACTTGAGGTCAGGAGTTCGAGACCAGCCTGGCCAACATGGTAAAACCCCTTCTCTATAAAAAAAACAAAAATTAGCCGGACATGGTGGCGCACGCCTGTAATTCCAGCTACTCGGGAGGCTGAGGTGGAAGAATTGCATGAACCCAGGAGGTGGATGTTGCAGTGAGCCAACATCACACCACTGCACTCCAGCCTGGGTGACAGAGCAAGACTCCATCTCAAAAAAAAAGTCTCTGTGGCTCAGCCTCAGTTTACCCCTATAGCCTCATTTTCTACCACCACCCCTCCCCCAACACATACAACCCTTGTCCTTGTACCCTCCCATGTCCCCTGAACCTCTGTTTCCCAAACATGCCAAGTTCTTTCATGGCCCAGAGCCTAGACAGTCAGTGCTTAGAAAGCCCATGCTCCTCCCCTACAGCAGGTGACCAGGTGCACTCTGACCCACCCTTCCCCACTCGACCCTGCACACTCCTGGACAGGGACCACCCATCTCTGCCCCCACAGCACCCTGCACAGAGCCTGGCCCCAGGTGCAGCTGGCAGAATGAATGCTGGATGACAGAACAATGCCATTAAGAGGACCCTGCAGATGCTCCCCAAGCCAGGACCTGGATGAACTTGAACCAGTTCCAGGCAGCAACTGAGAAAATGCACAGAACAGCCTGGGGCTCAGAATTAACTAACAGCCTTCTCTTTGTCCACAACTGATGAGCGTAGAATTGATGTGCCCTCCAGGTCAGAGAGGCTGGGTGCCAAGTTGAGCACCTCGTCAAACACTGTGGCTGAAGGTTTAGCCTTTGAGTGCCTGTGGCTCCCCACCTGGGTGGGTTTTCCTACAGCACTGATTGCCCGGCGCCTGATGCTGCCAGCTCCAGGAGCACCCAGGTAGAGCCACCCACCTTCCCATCCTCCCTCCTACCAAAAACCCCCTGTGCCTGAATTAATTAGGCAATTATAGGCTCTGATATGAATTCCATTTCCTGAGCATGCACAGGTCTGCTACAGTTGTGAAAAACATCCTTTTGAAACCAGTGAGGACACCAAGCCTTTCGAGAGCCTCTTCATCTGGTTCTTTTTCTCCCCAAGAGGCCAGAAATGCATCCATGCATCCAAATAGAGGCTCTGCTGCTTCAGTGAATACACAAAACTGTTCAACCTTGTGCTCATAGAAAATAAGCCATCAGCATCCCTGGGGGGCCCACTAGCATCCTCAGCTCAACCACACAACAGCACCCAACCTCCCATGAAGCACCTGGCTTCATTCAGCAAGCTGCCTGCCTGCTTGTGCAGTGAGCTCTGGCCACCTGGGGAGACAAAGTGATCCCATGCTCTGGGCCAGAGTGATTGTTCCAGGGGATCCAGGGTTCAGCCATTCAGCCCAGAGTATTCCTGACATAACCTCAGGAATGCACATGTGTTCAATGACACATAAGGAAAATGTGTAGGGGCTTCCTGGGTAAGTTTTCTTGCTGTCTGGAACAGCCTCAAGAAGAGGCATGGCAACAGTTGTGAGGGCTGGAGCTCTAGAGGACTTTTTGCCACCATGAGGGAAGTTGCATAATGACTAAGCTGTAAGTCTTCCATCCTGGAAAGCAGAAATTGAAGAGAAACCAGATCGCTTGGCCAGGGCACAGTGGCTCATGTCTGTAATCCCAGCACTTTGGGAGGCCGAGGCAGGAGGATTGCTGGAGGCCAGGAGTTCAAGACCAGTCTGGGCCACATGGTAAGAACTCATCTCAACAAAACCCTTTAAAAATTAGCCAGGCATGATAGTGCATGCCTGTAGTCTCAGCTACTCGGTAGGCTGAGGCAGGAGGATCACTTGAGCCTAGTAGATAGAGGGTACAGTGAACTATGATTGCGCCACCGCACTCTCCTGGGTGACAGAGCAAGACCTTGTCTTGAAAGAAAGAAAGAGAAAGAGAGAGAGGAAGGAAAGAAGGAAGGAAGGAGAAGAAAGAGAGAAAGAGAACAGGGTGCTTGATTATATTATTGGGCTGCTGAACTAAACCAACTCTGAAATCTATCTTACCTTTGAACCTTGCTGGTACCTGACTCAGTCAATCTCCCTTTGGTGGTAGAGCCAGTGGGAGGCAAGTTTTCTTTTTCTGATAGTCCTAATAGAGTCAATCCAGCCTAGAAAATGGCTTCTGCAGAGGTGAGAGTTCTGCACCACAAGACAAAAATCAAAGTTGCCCTTAACCTCAGTCTCCCTGTCAATGAAAGGGGTAACTCATCGACCTTGCAATGGAATGGGGGGTAAATATAGTCCTTGTAAAATTCCTGACTAGACACTATGAGATCAAGGACTCTCCTTCTCTCCATATCTCATACTGAGGGCAGAGGCTGGCCCTCAGCAGATGATTAAGAGAACAAAATCCTAGGTCCACGCGGCACCTTTGGAAAATTAGAAAAAAGCACCTGGGTCTGGCATGGCAGCTCACGCCTGTAATCCCAGCACTTTAGGAGGCGGAGGCAGGAAGATTGCTTGCGCCCAGAAGTTTGAGGCTGCTGTGAGTTATAATCACACCACTGCACTCCAGCCTGGACAAGAGAGTGAGACCCTGTTTCAAGAAAGAGAGAGAGAGAGAAGGAAGGGAAAGGAAGGGAAGGGAAGGGGAGGGGAGGGGAGGGGGAAAGGAAGGAAGGAAAAGAAAGGAGGAGAGAGAGAAAGAGGGAGAGAGAGGAGAAAGAAAGAAAAAGAAAGAAAGAGGAGAGAAAAAAGAAAGAGAGATAAAGAAAGAGAAAGAAAGAAGAAAGAAGGAAGGAAGGAGAAAGAAGGGAAAGGAAAAGAAAGGAAAGAAAGAAGAGAGAGAAAAAAGAAAGAGAGATAAAGGGAAAGAAAGAAAAAAGGAAGGAAGGAGAAAGAGAAAGAAAAAGAAATGAAAGAAGAGAGAGAAAAAAGAAAGACAGAGATAAAGGGAAAGAAAGAGAAAAAAGAAAGGAAGGAAGGAGAACAGAAAGAGAAAGAAAGAAAGAAGAAAGGAAGGAAGGAAGAAAGAGAAAGAAAGAAAGAAAGAAAGAAAGAAAGAAAGAAAAGAAAAGAAAAGAAAAGAAAAGAAAGGGAGAAAGAGAAAGCATTTCTTTGGGCAGATGTTGTTCAGCAGCCATGTGGTCTGTCCAGCAGGCAGTTCTCAGCTGCCCTGTCAACATTCCTGGTATATGACTCAGTCCATCCCCCTTTGGTGGTGGAGCCAGTGTGAGGCAGATTTTCTTTTTCTGACCATCCTAATAGATTCAACATGAGATTCATCAATAGATTCATACTGAGATCCAAGTGAGTGATTTTCCATGGTCCTTTCCACTCTCAACCACCCATTTCTTCTTAATATTCCTCCAAACACATCTTCGTTCCTGCCACACTTCTCTCCTGGTTCTCCTCCTTCCTCTCCCCACCTCCCAGCCCACCCAAAACGCTATAGGTGTGGGACACTGGCTCTGGGCCGTTGACCCCTGACAGACCTCCCCTCTCTGCCTCTTTCTCTATTTCCCTCCAAGCATCTGCTTCTTCCCGTTCCAGTGCTGCTGGGTTTTTAACTTGGAAAAGAAAGGACCTCAGCCAGGGGTAGCTCTGAACTCACGTTCTGGCTGCTTAGCAGCCCAAGAGAAAGGAACACTCCTTCTTTGGACTGTAAACGTTAAAATCCCAGGGAAGCACTCTGATTGGCCTTGCTTGACACATGTCCCCGCCCCTTGGGCCAATCCCTGAGCAAAGTTGTGATGATTGGCAGCACCACTAGAATGACCCAGAGGGAGGGATTAGGTTACCCCAGGAAGTGTGTGATGGCTTTTCTTCCTGGCACCTCCTCTCTTGGGACCCATTTCCCAACCTGCCTTGTTCCTTTACACTCTGCCCAGCCCTTCTGAATCCTTTCAGCCCAGCCCCCTGAGGTTTGCAAGGGCTTGACAACCCCTCCCTGCCTACTAGAAACGGCCCTCTTACCTCCCAAGATACAAGCTGCACGCAGAGAGGCGGGAACAGCAATTGAAGAGAAAACGACAGCCAATCGAGACACAGAGAGGCCGGAAGGCCCAGCAGGGTCTCAGTAAATGACAGTTTTTTCCTCTTTCTATGACCATGCCTGTGACGGCCAAGCCACTCTGAACTGTGGCAGTTTCTCTCCAGAATGTCTCTCCAGATGTCCACTGGGACTACTTCTCATCTTTAGTAAAAATCTCTATTCCAATGTATATTTTCACCAGGCGCGGTGGCTCGTGCCTGTAATCCCAGCACTTTGGGAGGCCAAGACAGGAGGATTGCTTGAGGCCAGGGATTTGAGATCAGCCTGGGCAACATAGTGAGATCTCATCTCTACAAAAAATAAAATAATTAGCCAGCCATGGCGGTGCATGCCTGAAGGAAAGAAGAAAGGAAGGAAAAGAAAGAGAGAGAAGGGGAGAGAGAGAGAGGGAAGGAAGGAAGGAGGGAGGAAGGGAGGGAAGGAAGGAAGGAAGGAAAAGAAAGAAGAAGGAAAGAAAGAAGGAAGGAAAGAAGGAAGGGAGGGAGGGAAAGAAAGAAGAAGGAAAGAAATGAAAGGAAAGAAAGGAAGGAAGGAAGGAAAGAAAGAAAGAGAGAGACAAAGCAAACGGGTTATTCGGGAGGCTGAGGCAGGAGGATCACTTGAGCCCAGAAGGTCAAGGCTCCAGTGAGCCATGATTGTGCCACTGTACTCCAGCTGGGGCAACAGAGTGAGACCCCAACTCAAAACAAAGGTATGTTTTCTAGGGAGGTCAGGGGACTGCATCTGTTGTCAGTCTGCAATAACTTAGCATGAACTAGATCCCGGATTAGATGGTTGGAGAGCACAGCCACAGAGATGCACGAATCAGGATGCCGCCGAGCATAAGGAAAAGACCCAGGGGTAACAGCTGGGACTGGGAGCAGCCAGGAGGCACCATGAAGACCCCAGGAGCTGAGCAGGAGGAGGATGCTGGAGAGAAGCTGCTGTGTGCCTCTATCTGATATATTTATGGTATTCTAAAGAAAAGATGGCTTTGGGCCGGGCTCCAAGGCTCACACCTGCAATCCCAGCACTTTAGGAGGCTGAGGTGGGAGGATCGCTTGAGCCCAGGAGTTCAAGATCAGCCTGGACAACAAAGCAAGGCCTCCATCTCTACAAAAAAAAAAAAAAAAAAAAAAAAAAATTAGCTGGTCGTGGTGGCACGTGCCTCTGGTCCCAACTACTTGAGAAGCTGAGATGGGAGAATTACCTGACTTCAGGAGTTGGAGGCTGCAATGACCTGTGATCTCGCCACTGCACATCAGCCTGGGAGACAAAGCAAGACCTTAGAAAAAAGCAAGAGAGAGAAAGAGACAGAAAGAAAAAGTGACTTTGCTTCTTAAAAATAAAAGATGGGAGAGGGGCTGGGCACAGTGGCTCACGCCTATAATCCCAGCAATTTGGGAGGCCAAGGAAGGTGGATCACTTGAGGTCAGGAGTTCGAGACCAGCCTGGCCAACATGATGAAACCCTGTCTCTACTAAAAAAACAAAAATTAGCCAGGCGTGGTGGCGCATGCCTGTAATCCCAGCTACTCGGGAGGGTGATGCAGAAGAATTGCTTGAACCTGGGAGGTAGAGGCTGCAGTGAGCTGAGATTGTGCCACTGCACTCCAGCCTGGGCAACAGAGCAAGACTCCGCCTCAGAAAAAAAGGGAGGGAGGAGGAGGGGAACACAAGGATGTTCCCTATGTCCGTGAGTCTGAGTTAGAGGCTGGCTTTGCACTTTTCCAGGAAGTTTGCTGAATGTAGAAATGAAAGTATCAGTATGTCATCTTTAATTTGTCCATGTAAAATCACCAGGTTTCCAATGATGGGGCCTGGGGCAGTGGAAAGGGGACCCCCTACTGCTAAGAGGCACTGCTGCCCTTGGAGAGCCCTGATCTGTCATCGCTGCCGTGAGATCCGGAGCAACTAAGAGTCAAGGTCTCCGTGGGCCTCAGATGGCAAGAAAACATTCAAGGTCATTTTCTGCTGAGTCGCAGACAGGAGAACACAGGTAAGAGGACACGTGGCAGTGACTAACAGCGATTGCTTCCAGGAGTGCCTGGTCACATCTGTCTGTTTGCCCTTCTCTAAATCTCCCTGACCACGTTGCTCCTTTCCATGTACTGTGCTAATATCAGCAAGCAGTGATTATCATTACCACTCTTGTTAATTTAATCGAAAGTCATATTTTGTGTAAAAATAGGCACAGATGGCTGGAAGCAAGGGTTAATGCTTTCAGCTGGCGAGATCCAGGGAAATCTGGCCACATGTGCTCAGCCTGCATATGACCAGTTGCCCGGATGCAGACACTTAGGAGAGGAGAGGCTGTTCTCATCCTCCCAGGTTTATAGATCAGCAAACAGGCTCCAAAAAGTAAGGGCCTTGCCCAAGCAGGGATTCAACCACCCCCGCTTCTGGAGGCAGATCATTATAGCAAGGGTTTCTTTCATTTACTTTTTCTATTTTAGGGACAGGATCTCGCTATGTTGCCCAGGCTGTAGTGCAGTGGTGCAATCTTGGTTGCAACCTCAAACTCTTGGGCTTAAGTGATCCTCCTGCCTCAGCTTCCAGAGTGACTGAGACTATAGGCATGCCACTACACTTGTCTCAATTTTTTTTTTAATAGAGGTGGGGAGTCTCACTTATGTTGCCCAGGCTGGTCTCAAACTCCTGGCCTCAAGTGATCCTCCTGACTCAGCCTCCCAAAGCACTGGGATTACAGGCAGGAGCCACCACACCTGGCATATCAGGAGTTTTCAATATCATAAAGTTTATTTGTTTTCCTGCTCCCCCCACCCCAATAAAAAGAAAATTCCAGGAGATCAGGAGACAGTGGCAAGATGTTTTTTTCTTTTTTCTTTAGACGGAGTCTCGCTCTGTCACCCAGGCTGGAGTGCAGTGGCACAATCTCAGCTCACTGCAACCTCCGCCTCCGGGGTTCAAGCGATTCTCCTGCCTCAGCCTCCTGAGTAGCTGGGATTACAGGCACGCACCAGCACACCTGGCTAATTTTTGTATTTTTAGTACACATGGGGTTTCACCATGTAGACCAGGCTGGTCTCGAACTCCTGACCTTGTGATCCGCCCGCCTCGGTCTCCCAAAGTGCTAGGATTACAGGCGTGGGCCATCGCGCCCGGCCGGAGGTGTGTTTTAGAACACTTCCTCAAACTGACTTTGATTATTTCCCTCTGGTGAGCTGCCTGCCCTGCCTGCTCTGGGTGGCTGTGCTAGCCTTTGCTCAGTGGTCATCCTTCTGAGCCTCGATCCACTGAGCCTCTCGGCACCGACTCCGAGGAGCAATGAACAGGTTTCTCGCCACTTGCAGTTGCAGCCCCGTATCAAGTCTCACCAGTGACCGCGCTTCCAGGAAGCCAGAGAGAGCTCTGTTCCCTGCCACCTGGAATTTCATTTGGCTCTGGCGCTGAGTTCATGTGACAGGGGAACAGTGGCGTGTCTGGGCACTTAAGCCATTTGTGGTAAAAGGATCCGGATGTGCAAATGGCTGAGTTCCGTGTTATTGGATTTTTCTTTTTTTCACTTGATGAAAAACAGAATTTTTTTTCCAACTGTCTGCAGCTCCATTCAAGTAATAACAAAAATAACTTATTTTAGCACAATATATACATGGTTAAGTCTTTTTATTTTTTTCCTGAAACAGTCTGTCTCTGTTGCTCAGACTGGAGTGCAGTGGCATGACCATAGCTCACTGCAGCCTCCTACTCCTGGGCTCAAGCAATCCTCCCACCTCGGTCTCCTAAGTAGCTGGGACTACAGATATACACCACCACACCTGGCTAATTTTATTTTTTGTAGAGATGGGGTCTCACTATGTTGCCCAGCCTGGAGTGATCCTCCCACCTCTGCCTCCCAAACTGTTGAGATTACGGGCATGAGCCACCACGCCTGGCCCCATGATAAATCTTTAAAAGAGAAAGCCTTGCTTCCTACGAGACCCAGCATGATGGGCAGGGGATGGCCGATGTTTTTCTGATAGTTACTGAGCCCCTTTTGGAGCACGGTACTATGGCGGCTGAGCTAGATAGGAAATGCATGAAGAAGCAAGATTGTAAGGCAGGGGAGAAGGTATGAGCACTCCAGGCTGAGGACATCTCAGAGATTCATGCCAGGGTGATATGAGGGGCCCTGGCTGGTGAGGGAAGAGTGAGTCATCCCATATAACCAAGGGAAGGCTAGGAAGAGGAGCTGGGGGTAAAAGTCCTTCACTCACAGTTACCTGAGCAATGCCCCAGGTGCTGGGCTAAGTAGGCAGGTGGAATGAGTGAGGCCAGTGGCGGGGAGGCTGGTTAGGAGATTTCCTTGTACACTGAACATTTATGAGGCTCCTACTGTTTGCTGGCACCATGCCAGGTCCAGAGGAGCGACAGAGAGACAAACTGGATGGCTGCCTGCCAAGGGCTCTCCTTCTCAGGTGGCAGCGACACAAACAGATGTTGTGATGCCTTACATAGAAAATAAACAAAGATGCCTATAGTTCCAGCACTTTGGGAGGCCGAGGCAGGAGGATTGCTTTAGGCCAGGAGTTCCAGACCAGCCTAGGCAACATAGCAACCTCATCTTTACTAAAAAAAAAAAAAAAAAGTGTTTTATTTATTTTGTTTTATTTATTTATTTATTTATTTTGAGATGGAGTCTCACTCTGTTACCCAGGGTGGAGTGCAGTGGCGTGATCTCGGCTCACTGCAACTTCTGCCTCCCAGGTTCAAGTGATTCTCATGCCTCAGCATCCTGAGTAGCTGGGACTACAGGCGCACGCCACCACGCCCAGCTAATTTTTTGTATTTTTAGTACAGACAGGATTTCACCATGTTGGCCAGGCTGATCTCAAACTCCTGACCTCAGGTGATTCACCCGCCTCGGCCTCCCAAAGTGCTGGGATTACAGGCATGAGCCACCATACCCAGACCTACTAAAAATTTTTAAAATTAGCTGGGCATGGTGGTGCTTGCCGGTAGTCCCAGCTACTCAGAAGGATAAGGCAGGAGGATGGCTTGAGCTCAGGAGATCTAGGCTGTTGTGAGCTAAGATCACACCACTGCACTGCAGCCTGGGTGACAGAGCAAGACTCCAACTCAAAGAAAGAAAAAAAAAAAAAGAAAAGAAACAAAGGGGAGAGGAGGCGGGGAGGCAGGAGCCAGCCACGGGTGTGAGCAGAGCAGGTAGAGGGAGATGTGGTCTTTATTTCAGCCAACAGAGAAATCACAGTGTGATGAGGATGTTCAAGTGGATTTTTTTGTTTGTTTTTTTGAGACGGAGTTTCACTTTTGTCGCCCAGGCTGGAGTGAGTGCAATGGCATGATCTCAGCTCACTGCAACCTTCACCTCCCAGGTTCAAGCGATTCTCCTGCCTTCCACCCACCTAATTTTTTTTTTTTTTTGTATTTTTAATAGAGACAGGTTTTCACCATGTTGGCTAGGCTGGTCTCGAACTCCTGCCCTCAGGTGATCCACCCACATTGGCCTCCCAAAGTGCCGGGATTACAGGCATCAGCCATTGCATCCAGCCTCAAGTGGATTTAGATCCATAGCTTCAACCAAGCAATTCCCTTTCAGAGTGTGAGCAAACCCTCAGTGTGCAGGGCACTCCAGAAGTGTGCATGGAGCTCTTCAAGTCCATTCACAAGACTTCACCCTCCCCTCTCCTGCCTCCCACCACTCTGGGCCATGTCAGTGCAAGACTCTGAGAATTTCACTTTCTCTTCAAATGAGCTTCGTATACTGCCAGAGCCAGCTTTGAGCCTTTTCTTCATCCCTTTTTGTGTTGTGGTGGTGGTTTGGGGGTTCTATTTTTTTTTTTTTTGAAGATCACATTCCTAATAGGAAACCTAGCACATTTGGGCACCCCACGTGGGCAGAGGTGTTTTAAATGCCGTGGAGACAGAGCACGGCTGAGCTATGTCTGGATGTCATATTTTTTTTAGCCGCATAAAAAGAGCAGGTCTTTGTTGGTGCTGCGGGTGATTAAGTCTCAAATCTCTGTGAGATCTGAGATCTCAGCAGCTGCCAAGGCAAATCACCCAGTTAAATAGCAGCACTACAAATATATCACTGCCAGGAACTCCACCCCACAGTGAAGCTGTGCAAAGACTTCGGTTGCAAGGGTAAGACCTTAACTGTCCTACAGCCTGTGCTTAAAAGAGTATGTCACATGGTTACCCTGAGACCCAATGGAGAGCCCAAGAGACTCACGGCTTCTCTGTCATTTTGATGCAGCGCAGGCAAGTCCCAGAATTGGGGCTTAACCTGGAAAGGTTCTTGGCTTCACTCAGGAAAAAATTCAAGAGCAAGCCAGTGGTAGAAGAAAACAGCTTATGGAAGCAGTAATGTTACACTCCATGACTCCTCATGCAGACCAGGGCTACCCTGTGGGCAGTGTGCTGAGAGTAGCAGCTCAGAGGAAGCCCTGCAGTAAGATTTATACCCACTTTTGATTACCTGCAAATTAAGAGGTGAGTTATTCAGAATTTTCTAGAAAAAGGGTGGTACTTACTGGTTGTCGCCGTGGAAAGGGGCGGTAAGTTCTGGGTGTTGCCATGGCAATGGTAAACTGACATGGCCCTCTGGGCATGTCTTATGGAGAGGTGCATTCCCCTCTTCACTGTTTTAGCTAGTCTTCAGTCTGGTCCAGAGTTGAGTCCTGCCTTCTATCTCAATTTGGGAAAGATGATTTTGACACATGTGCCTGGAGCTGCCATCTTGGTGTTCATTTACACCTTTGGTTTCTGGTTAGTTTTGTGGCTTTGTAGCACCTAGATGAACATATAAGAAGTGTGTGATTGGCTGGCCATGGTGGCTCATGCCTGTAATCCCAGCACTTTGGGAGCCTGAAGCAGGTGAATCACAAGGTCAAGAGATCAAGACCATCCTGGCCAACACGGTGAAATCCTGTCTCTACTAAAAACACAAAAATTAGCTGGGCATGGTGGTGCGCACCTGTAGTCCCAGCTACTCAGGAGGCTGAGGCAGGAGAATTGCTTGAACACGAGAGGTGGAGGTTGCAGTGAGCCAAGATCGTGCCACTGCACTCCAGCCTGCCGACAGAGCGAGACTCCGTTTCAAAAAAAAAAAAAAGTGTGAGATTGTGGTCTTTTCTGGCTGTCAAGAAGAGTTCCCACAAAAGGCCATTTGTCCCCCAGCAAACCCTCTGGCCGCACCAGCCTCCCTTTGGAAAGAGAGAAGGATCCAAGAGCTCCTGATTTCTTTTAGGAATGTGCATGGAAATATTTTCCGTGTTGAATGGAAAGAAGAAACCAACAAGGTGTGCAACAATTCTATTCTAACACTAACTACCAAGAGTTAGCATAGACCTCACAAGGGCTCCCCAAGGCTCCCACTACTTCAGACACATGTTGGTGGTCCCCAGTTCACCCACACTTCTAACCAACTGGCTACAAATCATGAGCTCCCACAACTTCCTCAGGTTCAATCACTCACAAGAATAACTCAAAGAATTCAGGAAAATGCTGTACTTACACTTACAGTTTTATTATAAAGAATACAGACCAAGAACAGCCAAAAGAAGAGACTCATAATAGCACAAGATGAGTGAGGGTCCCAAATGCAGAGCTTCCTTGCCCTGACCCCATGAACTCGGGAATGTCACCTTCTTAGCACATCAATATGTTTACCAACCAGGAAGCCCACCTGAGCCTTGGTGTCCAGAGTTTTTATTGAGGTTTCATTACATAGGCATGATTGATTGAATCACCAGTCATGTGACTGAACTCAGTCTCCAATCCCCCTCCCCTCCCTGGAAGTCAAGCTGGTATCGCGTAGCTCAAAGCCCCAACCCTCTAATCACTTGGTCTTTCTGGCACGACCAGCCCTTATCCCGAGCCATCTTGTTAGCTGAAACTCAAATGGAATCCAAGGGGATCATGAAAAACAATGACACTCCTATTTCTTGGGAAATTCCAGACTTTACTATACAACAACGTCCATAATGGCCCAGGGCCAAAATACAACACTCGGCTCATAAAGCTTCCTGTTATTTGGGCAGAGATGATGAGTTCCAGCTTTGCAGCCCTTTGAAGCAATGGAGCAGAGCATGATACAGGCAGGCATTCCCATTATTCATTCATGCCCACAGTCATATAATTAGTTTCGGAGTCCTACTTTGTACAGACGCCATGGGGTTTGTGATACTTCTAGGCCAATTACTTTATGAGCGTAATAAAACACTACTGAACCCTGGGCCCCTCCCAAGGCCAGCCTGGCTAATACTTTGGGGAGTGTTGTTTAATCACAGGCTGCAGGGAGAATCTTCCCAGGATAGAGGACTTACCAGGGTGAGAAGCCCTCCTAAGGACTGTTGTTTGAGTGACTCTGGGGCCATTTTCCCACTTGCGTCTGGCTTCAAGTTGGGAAGCTGGCCCAATGGGGGCAAGTTAGAAAACGTTGGAGAATAACCAAATACTGCAGCATGTATGAGAACCCCTCCTATGGCCCCTTTGAGGGATGAAAAAAATATGGCATTCCCTGGGCACAGTGGCTCATGACTGTAAGACCAGCACTTTGGGAGGCTGAGGCGGGAGGACTGCTGGAGCCCAGGAGCTTGAGACCAGCCTGGACAACATAGTGACACCCCATAGCTATAAAAAAAAATTTTAAAGTGAGCCGGGCATAATGGTGGGCACTTGTAGTCCCAGCTGCTTAGGAGGTTGAGGCAGAAGAATCATTTGAGCCCAGGAGTTCAAGGCTGCCGTGAGCCATGATGGTGCCACTGCACTCCAGCCTGGGCAACAGAGTAAGATCCTGTCTCTAAACATATACATATACATATACATATACATATACATATACATATACATATACATACACACATATATATGCCATACATATGACATGTATATGCCATATAGTGTGCATATATATATAATGCATATATATATATATATATATATATAATGCATATATATATATATATATATATATATATATATATATATATATGGCATTCACTTCATGAATACTTAGCACTATGCTAGGAAAACCACCATGAACAAGACCCAAAACCCCTGCCCAGTAGTCAAGTTTGTGAGGCCACCCCGAGACATGGGTAATGAGGTGTCAGCATGGCTGAGCTCTTTCAAGGAAATGGGAAAAGTCTTTTGCAGGAATAATACTCAGGAGACGGGACCTTGTCTTGCCCTGTCCCAAAACAACCTCTTCCCAGAAGCTTCCCCAGACCCCTCCCACCAAAGGAAAGCCTTCCTCCTCCTCCAGACCATGCAAGGTGCCCACTCAGGTAATCCTCCTGTGATGTCTACAACATCAGTTTCTCACCTTGTATTGAGGACCGTTGAGTAACCACCTCTTCTTGTGAGGGTCTTATCCTCCAGCTGGACAGGAAATTGCCCAAGGCTATGGGGAGCGTCTGAGGATTATTGGATGATCATTCTCCCAAAATCCGAGTACAATGGTCCTGTGATTGTCCCAATCTTACAAGGAGGAATTATATGAACAAGACAATGTGCATAAAGCATTCAGCACAGGGCCCAGCACATTGTAGGCATGAAATTATATATAAATATATATACATATCTATGTAACATATATAAATTATATTTATAAAATGTGCATTGTATGCACTAAATTGTATGCACTATGTATAGAAATATATATAAAAATACATATATAAACATATACATAAATATATAAAAATACATACAATGCATTAAATTATATATAATTTCTATATGTATTTATACATATAGAATTCTATACATATTATTTCCTAAATATATATTCATTTTCCTTATACAAATATATGTAATATATACATATATGTATTTCCACATACAAATATATGTACTATGTAGTATATATTTATATACATAATATATATATTTATGTACATACATTTTTGTATATAAATATATTTATGTATATATGTATATAATATATTGCATATTGTAATATATATTACAAATATATATACATACATATGTATATTTATATGTAATATATATTACAAATATATATATATACGTACATATGTATATTTAGGAAACTGAAGCCCAGAGAGGTCAAGTAACTTCCCCAAGGTCAAACAGCTATGAAGAAGCAGCACTAAGGTTTGAATAAATCTCACGCTCCTATTGAAGATTGATTGGCACTTGCTGGGTGTAAGGTAAGGGTCCATCAGGTATCTGCCCTCAAGAATCTTAAACCTAGTGCTGGGGGGCAGGCACACACAGGTGTGGTGTGAAGCAAACTGCAGTAGGGGGTGTCCAGACCTGGTGAGGACAGGGAAGGGAGCTACCGGGGACTGTGCAGATAGCATGTGAGGCAGGCCTTGAAGAGTGGGTGGGATTTTGACAGACAGGGTGGAAAAGGGCATTGGAGCATGGGGAACAGCATGTGCAAAGGCACCGGGATAGGAGGACATGGCATATGAACCAGGGATGGAGACGTGTCCATTGCAGGAGATGCAGGGGCCGGATGGCAGGGGTGGGGAGGGGGGCTGCAGGAAGGAAGCCTCAGGGCAGGCACATCTGGATCACAGAAGATGGGGCCACCAGGCTGAGGCACCTGCCCTTCATCTTGGAGCCTCCTGAGGAGTAAATCGCCCTCCCCAGACTCGGCAGATGTTTGGTCAGGAGGCCAATGCTCAGCTATTTCATCATGAAAATCCCGACCCAAGGCACAATGCCCAGCCCAAAGCTGTATCCAGTCAGTGTGGGCACCTGGCCCTGCTCGAGGGGAGCCACGGCAGATCAGCCCTTATGCTCACAGGAGCCTTTCTGGTGGGTCTGCCCTGGGAGACAAGTTCAGCTGTGGGGAGGAGACTGGCGCCTCATGCCAGAGAGTTGAGGGTTGGCACCAACACAAGGACCCTGCCAAGCCACTCTATCATTGGGGGATGGAGGCTTTGCTGACACCCAGTGGGGGTCTTTCCCCCACCTCCCTCACCCATGGCTTTGCCTCAGTTCTTGTGTAGGTTCCCAGAATAAAACCATAAGCACAGAAAGACTGTGGTTATTGGGGGAAAAAAGTAGGTAGGAAGATAGTTAGCTGTTTCCTGTCTTCTCAAGATAGGTAGATAGGTACCTGCTTATCTAAGTAGGTAAGTGGGTAGGTAGGTAGACAGGCAGGAAGGTAGGTGGGTAGACAGGTAGGTAGGTAGGTTCACAGGCGGGTAGGTAGATAGGTAGGCAGGCAAGTAGATAGGTGCACAAGTAGGTAGGTAGGGAGACGGGCAGGTAGGTAGACAGGTAGGTATGTAGATAAGTAGGTAGGCAGGTAGGTAGATAGGTAGTTAGGTAGGCAGGTAGATAGGTAAGTAGGTAGGCAGCCAGGTAGGTAGGTAGGCAAGTAGATAGGTAGACAGATAGGTAGGTAGGCAAGTAGGTAGATAGGTAGGCAGGTAGATATGTAGGTAGGTAGGTAGACAGGCAAGTAGGTAAGTAGGTAGGTAGGCAGGTAAATAGGTAGCTAGATAGGCAGGTAGATAGGTAGGTAGGCAGATACATAGGTAGTTAGGCAGGTACATAGATAGGTAGGTAGGCAGGTAAATAGGTAGCTAGATAGGCAGGTAGATAGGTAGGTAGGCAGGTACATAGGTAGTTAGGCAGGTACATAGATAGGTAGGTAGATAGGTAGGCAGGCAGATAGGTAGGTAGGCAGGTAGGTAGGTAAGTAGATAGGTAGGCAGGTAGGTAGGTAAGTAGATAGGTAGGCAGGTAGATAGGTAGTTAGATAGGTAAGCAGGCAGGTAGATAGGCAGGTAGGTAGGTAGGCAGGTAGATATGTAAGTAGGTAGGCAGGTAGATAGGCAGGTAGGTAGGTAGGCAGGTAGGTAGGTATGTAGGTAGGCAGGTAGGCAGGTAGATATGTAAGTAGGTAGGCAAGTAGATAAGCAGGTAGGTAGGTAGACAGGTAGGCAGGTAGGTAGGTATGTAGGTAGGCAGGTAGGTATGTAGGTAGGCAGGCAGGCAGGTAGATAGGTAGGTAGATAGATAGGCAGGTAGGTAGGTAGGTTGACAGGTAGGTAGGTAGCATGACTACAGGGAGATGAAGCCTGCTTTCAACAGCGCCGCTGCAGAACACATCAGATAGAAAAAGAAAACAACCTCGCTTCACATTAATGGATGAGGCGCAGTCACGGTGGGTCTGCGCACCTCACTGGGAAGTGACCGTTTTCTACCCCACCATTGTTTCCTATTCCCTGGGTCCTGCAGCTATAAGGTAATCATACTCTTCGGCACATCCAGAAAATAGCTCCATCTCTCATGATGAGACAAGAAGGGCTCATATGTGCCTCGAAACTCCAAAGCATCCACATTCTGCCCAAAGACCAGAGGAATTGTCAGAGTTGATGCAGAGATTTCCCCACATTTTATATGATCAAGGGAAGAGTGGGTCCCCAGGCTTGCATTTAATTCTGCTACCTTGGGTCTTGAGCTATTAAAACTTTATAGAATTCTCACACAGCCTTCCCTAGGGACCTGCCTGCACTGGCGGGTGCTACACTTCAGAATTTATGCTCTTTCCTTTTCCAAATTGAAGATTTCATGTCTTCCCATGCTGCATCTTGCTTGGGCCAGAGCAGAACAAATTACCTTGGCAAAATAAGTCCTTACCAACTGGCAACACTGCAGGAAAGAAGCTAAATCCACACTTGCAATAAATCTGAGCAGAATATTCTGAAGATCTTCCAGAAATAATGTACCATTGGCTAACCTGCTCTATGGATACAGCTGTGTCTCTGAGAGTGCGCCTTCTTCTTCCAATAGTAAGTGATTTCAGGGCAAGGACGCACTCCACAAAATCCCCAGGAACTGGTCTAGGACGCTGAGGGTGTGAGTGGGAACACCAAAGGCACTGATGGAGCGAGAACTGGAATAGTTAGGGCCTGTCTTTGGGGAAGGATTAGAGGGGACTGGGGGCAGATTGCTTCAATCCTACTATTGTTTGTTTGTTTGTTTGTTTGTTTGTTTGTTTTGAGACGGAGTTTTGCTCTTGTTGTCCAGGCTGGAGTGCAATGGTGCAATCTTGGCTCGCTGCAACCTCTGCTTCCCAGGTTCAAGCGATTCTCATTCCTCAGCCTCCCAAGTAGCTAGGATTGCAGGCACCTGCCACCATGCCTGGCTAATTTTTGTATTTTTAGTAGAGACAGGGTTTCACCATGTTGGCCAGGCTAGTCTCGAACTCCAGACCTCAGGTGATCTGCCTACCTTGGCCTCCCAAAGTGCTGGGATTACAGGCGTGAGCCACCGTGCCCAGCCAGTTATTTTCAAAATTAAAATTGAGCTGGGCTCAGAGGCTCATGCCTATAATCCCAGCACTTTGGGAGGCCAAGGCCAGGAGTTCAGTACCAGCCTGGGCAACATAGTGAGACCTCATCTCTCTCTCTCTCTTTTTTTATTTTTTTTTTATTTTTTATTTTTTTTTTAAGATAGAGTCTCGCTCTTTCGCCCAGGCAAGGATGCAGTGGCACGATCTCAGCTCACTGCAACCTCTGCCTCCTGGTTCAACTGATTCTCCTGCATCAGCCTCCTGAGTAGCTGGGATTACAGGCACCCACCACCATGCACAGCTAATTTTTGTATTTTTCTGTGGAGGCGGGGTTTTGTCATGTTGGCCAGGGTGGTCTCGAACTCCTGACCTCAGGTAATCTGCCCACCATGGCCTCCCAAAGTGCTGGGATTACAGGCATGAGCCACTGCACCCGGCCGTGAGACTTCATCTCTACAAAATATTTAAAAATTGGCCAGGTATGGTGGTGCGCACCTGTAGTCCCAGCTACTCAGGAGGCTGAGGCAGGAGGACCTCTTGAGCCCAGGAGTTCGAGGCTGCAATGAGCTATGATCACGCCACTGTACTCCAGCCTGGGTGACAGAGCGAGACTCTGTCTCTAAGAAAGAAAGAAACAATTAAAATTGAATTAATTCGGCCGGGTGCAGTGGCTCACGCCCATAATCCCAGCACTTTGGGAGGCCGAGGCAGGCAGATCACCTGAGGTCAGGAGTTCAAGACCAGCCTGGCCAACATGGTGAAACCCTGTCTCTACAAAAATACAAAAATTAGCCAGGCATGATGGCAGGTGCCTCTAATCCCAACTACTCAGGAGGCTGAGGCAGGAGGATCGTTTGAACCTGGGAGGCGGCGGTTGCAGTGAGCCGAGATCGCGCCACTGCACTCCATCCTGGGTGACAGAGTGAGACTCCATCTCAAAAAAAAAAAAAAAAGAAAAAGAAAAAAAAGAAAAGAAAAGGAAGTGGTACTTGATGAGGAAGCTCAGGCTCTCGCTGAGCCCACGTATCATGAGGGCATGTCACCACGACTTAGACCTTTGGAACAAAGAGGTGCCCAGCAGAGAGAGGCCAGTTCAGCCTCTTGCCATGGCTCTCAAACCCCTCCCTTTCCAAAGCACACGTTAAGCTTTTTTGGAAAACCCTTTAAAAAGAGCCAAAATCCTTGCTTAGAACTGAAAAAATAAATTGTTTTTATAAGTGTAACAGCTCTATCACGAATCATAATAATTCTGCTCTAAAATTACATTTGACCCCTCCGAGGAGTTGATCCAATTGTACACCCTGAGAGCATGATTCAGTCCTTCTCAATGCTCAAAATGCCACTCTTCTCCCCAACGGCCTCAAACAAATTCATGTGTTTATATCCTTACCAGTCTGTAAGTTCTCAGGGTGTGAAGGGGCTGTTTACTTTAAAGAGCAGACACAAGTGCGAATCGTAATCATGGTTGTTCTGCTCTGAGGGTTGAACGCTAGGAGCAGACAGCGCCTTCTGAGTCCGTGTGTGATGACCCACGAGAGTTCGCAAGGAGAGAAGGTAGTCCCTTGCTGGGGGTGACACTGAGGGAGCAAGGCCCACCTCCTACTGCTGATCATTTCAAAATAATTCACTGTCAATGCATTCATCCAGCAAGTGTGGATAACGGTGGCTGACCTTCACCGAGCTGAGCGCCCACTAGGCATGCCTTGCGCTGAGCTAAACTCTGTGCACAGGAGGCATTTAATCCTCATTGCAGGCTTTGAGGCAGATGCTGACCTCATTCTCATGGTATCCACGAGGAGACCTGGAGCTCAGAGAGGCTGAGCTAGGCAGCACAGGACAGAGTCTCAACCCAGGCTCTCAGCCAATGTTTTCCGAGTCCCCCTCTTCCCTGGGAGCCGAGGTCACTGGGTTCCCTACCCACCCCAAACCCCAACCCAAGTGCTATGACCTTTGTAAGAAGCTCCCGTGGCCAGGTGCGGTGGCTCACGCCTGTAATCCCAGCACTTTGGGAGGCCAAGGGGGGCAGATCATCTAAGGTCAGGAATTTGAGACCAGCCTGGCCAACATGGGAAGCCCCGTCTCTTCTAAAAATACAAAAATTAGCCAGGCGTGGTGGCATGCACCTGTAATTCCAGCTACTCGGGAGGCTGAGGCATGAGAATGGCTTGAACCCAGGAGGTGGAGGTTACAGTGAGCCGAAATTGCCCCACTGCACTCCACACTGGGCGACAGAGCGAGACTCCATCTCAAAAGAAAGAAGCTCCCATGGACTGATTCTGTGTTCAGAGGAAAAGATCTCTGTGCAGCAGGGCTAGGTCCCACCCAGGTGCTGCAGGGCAGAGATGCCCACAGCAGTGAGCATTAATGGACCCAGCTCCTCCTACCTCCTTCCTTCAGGATGTCGCCACCCTGAACAGCCTGCCAGGGAACCAGCGCTTCGCTTACTTCTCTCCAGACTGAATCATCACCAGAGACGTTAATTAACATAAAATATTTGAATGGCTATTTTAATTCTTACTCCTGCATTTAGGGTTCTAGCTGATTGGTGAAGAGTTGCCTTTTTCCCCCCCATCAGATGTTTGGCCATATCCTCATTTCGAGAAAACTGGACTGATGATACTGAACGTTGTTATAGGGCAACTTTTATACAACAAGTTGGAGGATGCTGACAAAGGCACGCCGTGAGGGAGAATCCGATCACTCTATGGGGAGCGGCAGGTCTCCAGGGTCTTTAGCAGGGACTCCCATCTCTACCACTGTGGGACCCAGGGCCTCAGGAACATCACATGCCACTGAGCCTCAGGGTCCCCAGCTGGGCTGGGAAAGGATGGCTGAGGGTCAGGTGGGTGGCTGTGATCAGAGAGGCCCTCCCCTGTGTTCTCATGATGAAGCCTGGAAATGCGGGCAACTCTTAATTTTTTTTTTATACTTTTTGAGACAGAGTCTCACTCCGTCACCCAGACTGGAGTACAGTGGTGCAATCTCCGCTCACCGCAATCTCAACCTCCCGGACTCAGGTGATCCTCCTGCCTCAGCCTCCCGAGTAGCTGGGTCTACAAGGGCACACCATCACACCCAGCTAATTATTTAAATTTTTCTGTCGAGATAAGATCTCGGTGTGTTGCCCAGGCTGGTCTCGAACCCCTGGCCTCAAGCAATCCTCCTGCCTCGGCCTCCCAAAGTGCTGGAATTGCAGGCATGAGCCACCACACCCAGCCTCAACAACAGATGTGAATAGTGTCCTTGCCAAAATTCATGCCCACTTTGAACCTCAGAATGTGGTCTTATTTGGAAACAGGTCTTTGCAGATGTAATCAAGTTGCAATGAGGCCATCTGGGTCACTCATCTGGGTGAATCTTAATGCAGTGATTGGTGTCTTGAAAGGAAGAAAGAGATAAAGGGAGGCACACAGGGCTGAAGGCCATGTGAAAAGCAGAAATAGATTGGAGTGATGTATCCCCAAACCAAGGGACCCTAAGGATTCCTAGAGCCACCAGACACTGCAAAGAATCCTCCCCTAGGGCCTTTGGGGGGATCATGGCCCTGCCAACAGCTTGAACTTCTGGCCTTCTGGTCTCCAGAACCGTGAGAGAATAAATTCCTGTTGTCTTAAGCCACCCAGTTTGTGGTACTTTGTTACAGCAGCCCCAGGACACTCATATAGTATGGACATTACCCATCTCAAAACAGAGTCAGCACCTAGCATGGTGCCTGCCGCCAGGAAGCCATGGAGAGGGAACCCTCGTGCACGTATGCCTGTAACAGGACTTATCACACACACACGAAAAAATGCCTGCACATATGCCTATGATGGGAACTACTCAAGGAACTCCTCTAAAACCCAAGGCCAGGCGAGGTGGCTCACGCCTGTAATCCCAGCACTTTGGGAGGTGGAGGCAGGCAGATTACTTGAGGTCAGGAGTTCGAGACCAGCCTGGCCAACATGGTGAAACCCTATATCTACTAAAAATACAAAAATTAGCCAGGCACGGTGGCACGTGCCTATAATCCCAGCTACTTGGGAGGCTGAGGCAAGAGAATTGCTTGAACTTGGGAGACGGAGGTTGCAGTAAGCCCAGATCGCGCTACTGCACTCCAGCCTGGGTGACAGAGCAAGACTCCGTCTCAAAAAAAAAAAAGAAAGAAACAAAAAACCAGGGTTCCGAATAAGCCCCTCACACAACAACACTTGCCCGATGATGGCTGCTTCTACCAATGAGTAATTGCCAACTCCTGCAATGAGCCCCTTTAATCAATGTCTTTGTTTCAAAACAGTTTACATGGACTTCTCTCCTTTTTTGTCTTTAAAAGCTTCCCTGGCCGGACACAGTGGCTCATACCTGTAATCCTAGCACTCTGGGAGGCTGGGATGGGAGAATTGCTTGAGGCAAGGAGTTTGAGACTGGCCTGGCCAACATGGCAAAACCCTGTCTCTATAAAAAATAAAAATTAGCTGGTCATTACACACCTGTAATCCCAGCTACTCGAGAGGCTGAGGCAGGGGAATCACTTGAGCCCAGGAGTTTGAAGCTGTAGTGAGCTATGATCACACCACTACACACCAGCCTGGGTGACAGAGCAAGACCTTGTCTTTTAAAAAAATAGATAAATAAAATAAAAGCTTCCCTCAGCCCCAAATTCTTTTGATGCACCTAAAATTCGTCATAGCATATGTATCCTAGATTGCAACTCCTGAATACACTCTCTCTTTGGAGAGCTGATCTCACTGATGTTTGTTTGTTTGTTTGTTTAGAGACAGGGTCTTGCTCTGTCGCCCAGGCTGGAGTGCCGTGGTGTGATCATAGCTCACTGCAGCTTTGAACTCCTGGGTTCAAGCCATCTTCCCACCTCAGCCTCCCAAGTAGGTGGGACTACAGGTGTGCACCACCATCCCCAGCTAATTTTCAAATGTTTTTGTAGAGATGGGGGTCTCACTATGTTGCCCAGGCTGGTCTCCAACTCCTGGGCTCAAGTGATCCTCCTGCCTTGGCCTCCCAAAGCACTGGGATTACAGGTGTGAGCCACTGGGACAGGGACCCTGATATTCACACAGGAAACCTACTGTGTTGACAACAGCCTGGTTTGCCTATAAGTTCAGAACATCCTTGAGCTTACTGACCCTCCTCTGGCCTTGGGAAAGGGGAACAGAGGAAGAGCATGGTGGTCCCTGGCTGCCCTGTCCCTACGCTGCGGCTTAGATTGTAGGTCTCGCCGAGCCTTTGGAGCCCATGACCTTGAAGGCTTTGTGAGGGCAATAAAGAGACAGCAGCCACTGCCCCAGGATCAGTCCCTGGCCCACCGTCTCATCACCCATCTCCCTTGTGAATGGGGCTGCCACCACCTCCCTCCCGCAGTGGACTCCCTATTCAATGGGCATGTCAGCATCTGCTCACATGCGGGACCGTTGCGAAATGGTGACTGGCAGGCAAGACACAATGGCAGGCACGGTGAGACCACAGGAGGGGTGGCAGGTGGCTGGTCAGGAAGCCTCTCCTGTGTTCACTCCACAGCAAGACCCCAGGAGGACAGGGGCTCAGCCACAGTCCAGGGGCTCAGCCACAGTCACCAGCTGATATGGATGCTTTTTCTGCAGACCACACCTGTCCCTCTTCCAGGGTCATCCTGCAAAGTGGGAACCAGGAGGCGGGCCTGCCTCCCGCCCTGTGACATTCATGGCTCTGCCCTCCTGCCCTCCCTACTCCCTGTCCTCTCCTGAAGGCAGCCTCACTTCAAGGCATCCAGGCCCCTGCAGATGCTATGCTGCCCAGAGGGCAGAGGAGGTCACCTCTCTGCCTGGTCTGGCCCTGCCTGGGCACAGACTGCTTTGTGCAGGGTTCAGCGGCTCAGAAAATAGGAGCCCCAAATCAAGGCTGAGTGGCTGTGGAGGCAGAGCCCTTTTGGCCGAGGAGCAGCGATGGTAGCCACGCCACGTGGATGCACCCATGCAAGCCCACTCCTCTCATCTCAGAGCTCCCAAGAGACAAGAGGCAGCAGAGGAGGAAGACGAGGCTGAGAAGGGGAAGGTAGGGGACTGCCCAAGACAAGCAGCCAGCCTAGGAACCAGGCAGCCCCAGGGCCCCAGGCCAGAGTAGCTGCGGAGATTTGACAGATTCCTAACAGCTTCCAAACCACCTTGCAGCTGCTGCCCTCCCATCAAGGGAGGAAGAATGTTAATTAAAGCGTGATTTAGCAAAGCAGGTAAAATCTAAACAAATAAGATGCGATGAAGTGCAGGAGAGGTGGTCAGATGGCCTCCTGGCATCTATTTATTTATCAAACACCTGTCACCTGGCAGCAGGTGCTGTGTTAGGTGCTGAGAACAAGCCCAGCCCACTGCCCGCCCAAGGATGCAGGCACGGAGAAGGAGGGCACTTGATGCATTTACACCTGCATGCCAGGCCTAACATAGTGCCTGTTTTTGAGCAGGTGCTCAAAAACCTCTGAGGAATGAATGAATGAACAAATGAATCTACCAAAAGAAACAACATGAACATCTAAATTCAACCAGGATGGGAAGAGGATTTGAGCTATATCGTAGAGAGCAGTCACTTCAATCTGCAAGCAATCCAGGAAGGCTACCTGAAGGAGGCAGCACTTGGTCCAAGCTTGAAAGATTGAGTAGACCTTTGAGAACTGGAGAAGGAGGCCACATATCAAAAAGTACATACATTTTTTTCAGAAGCAGGGGCAGTATTCCTAAACAGCCTGTACAAGGTCAAACCTAATCAGATTCTAGAACACTGAGGCATTTTTATAAGTGATAGTGGCTGGGTGCAGTAGCTCATGCCTGTAATCTCAACATGTGGGGAGGCTGACAGGAGGATTACTTGAGGCCAGGAATTCAAGACAAGCCTGGGCAACATAGCAAGACCCCCAACTCTACAAAAAATAAAAATAAATAGCTGGGCATGATGGTGTGAGCCTGTAGTCCCAGCCACTCAAGAGGCTGAGGCAGAAGGATCACTTGAGCCCAGGAGTTCAAGGCTGCAGTGAGCTATGATTGTGCCACTGCATTCCAGCCTGGGTAGCAGAGCAGGACCCTGTCTCTAAAAATAAAAAACAAAAATAAATAGTCATAGCGAGATCTCTGGAGGAAGTCAAGGAGGCCCAGAGTCTGGCCATGACCTCCAAGGAGAAGTTCCAGCTGCTACTCATTTGTGAATTGCTATTGTTAGATTGGGATTGGTTACTGCTTGGCAGGAGTAGGGGCGGAGCTCGGAGTGACCCCTGGAGAAGGGCTCATTGCAGGCTGAGGAGCAGGTCCTGCCTTAGCACTGAAGGACACTGGAGTCTGTGAACCTAAGAAGGGACACAGGGTTGGGGGTAGAGTGGCAAGAACTAGTGTTCCTGAGTCCCATTCTATCTGAGATGTGCACAGGGAACAGACAGAGGGACTCCACCAGGAGACAACTGGAGTATTGGAGAGTAAGTGGGGTCAGCGGGCCAAGCCCAGTTGCATATCTTTTTTCTTTATTTTTTATTTGTTGAGATTGGCTCTTGCTGTGTCACCCAGGCTGGGGTGCAGTGGCTCGATCGTGGCTCACCACAGCCTCGAACTCCTGGGCTCAAGCAATCCTCGCACCTCAGCCTCCCGAGTAACTGGGACTACAGGCACACACCACCACACATGGCTAATTCCGTTTTTGTAGAGATGGGGTTTCGCTGTGTTGCCAAGGCTGGTCTCGAACTTCTGGGTTCAAGTGATCCTCCCACCTCGGCTCCCCAAGGTGCTGGGATTACAGACGTGAGCCACCACACCTGGCCTGCTTCTCCATCCTTGAGCAGCCCCAGCCCCTGCAGTTTGACTTCTCAAGGCCAAACTTGGAGAGTTGGGATTGACTGTGTGAGGGAGGTGTGTGCCCTTGGTCTTATCCCAGCCCAGTGGGACGGCCCTGCCTTCATCAGGTTGCAGTCAGATGCACATATAAACCATGCTGGGCATTTCTGAATTCCGTAGGGGTTTCAGCATGAAAAATCATGGTGTTGCCAGACAGACTTGCAGCCAAAATACAAATGGGATCCCTCGATCCACACAGGACCAAGGGTTTTCACTCTTGGGAACCTTGGGTCAATCCCCTAGCCAGGACTCAGCTTATGAGTACATTTAAAGAGTCTCTCTCAGGCCAGGCGTGGTGGCTCATGCCTGTAATCCCAGCACTTTGGGAGGCCGAAGCAGTTGGATCACCTGAGGTCAAGAGTTCAAGACCAGCATGGCCAGCATGGTGAAACCTTGTCTCTGCTAAAAATACAAAAATCAGCCGGGTGTGGTGGCATGCACCTGTAATCCCAGCTACTCAGGAGACTGAGGCAGGAGAATTGCTTGAACCCAGGAGGCAGAGATTGCAGTGAGCTGAGATTGCACTACTGCACTACAGCCTGGGCAACAGAATGAGACTCCGCCTAAAAAAAAAAAAAAAAAAAAAAAAAGTCTCTCTCAATAGCCCAAACTCAGAAACTCAGAACTTCCCAGGTAAGTTTCAGAGAGGGGTCTGCTTTTTCTCAGATCTTCAGCATCATGGAAAAATTTAACCCATCAGAAGAGCACATCTAAAGACACCTATCATCTGTCAGCATCTTATTAAAGGAATTTTTTTCAGGTAGAAAAATGACTCTCATACAAATACAAAGTGAACACATGTCAAAGATCTTCTTTAACTCATTAATTACTGTGGGAACTAGTAAGATGTTACAAATGGTTTAAAGAAGGATTGAAAGCATCACAATAAACGGTGCTGATGTAAATTTGCAAATAGATGCAAAACTGATCTATCTGTGGCGTGATAATAAATTGCCTTCCAGTAGACACACTTCATTTGCATTTCGATGGACGAGAATCACTTACATCCTATCAGTTATCTACAACGTGCAGAGTGGTAAAAGAGCTCAAACACAACAAAAGGCAGAGATAACTCAACTTGACAGGGTGCTACATAGTCTTTTTTTCTTTAATAAATTTTTTTTTTTTTTTGGCTGGGCCTGTAATCCCAGTGCTTTGGGAGGCTGAGGCAGGAGGATTGCTTGAAGCCAGGAGTTCAAGACCAGCCTGGGCAACATACGAAGACTCTACAAGAAATAAAATGTAAAAAAATGATCCTGGCATGCCTAGTAGTAGTAATCCTAGCTACTCAGGAGGCTGAGGCGGGAGGATCATGTGAACCCAGGATTTCAAGGCTGCGGTGAGCTGTGATGACACCACTGCACTCCAGCCTGGGCAACAGAGTGAGACTGTCTCTTAGAAAAAAATAAAAAAAATTACTGACACATTGTAATTGCACATATTTATGGGATACAATTTTATGTTTTGATACATATAAATGTTGCATAATAATCATAATAATCAAATCAGGGTAGATAGCATATCCATCACCTCATGCACTTATTTCTTCATAGTGAGAACATTCAAAACCTCTCTTCTAGCTATTTTATAATATATACCTTACTGCCAATTATCAGCACCCCAATGTGCATTAGAACCCCAGAATTTACTCTTCCTATCTAATCATCACTTTGTATCCATTAACCAACATCCTCCCATCCTCCCTTTCCCCCTCCCTGCAGGATGTGGGGTCAACCCAAATGTCCAGTAATGGGTGGAATGGATAAAGCAAATGTGGTATATATGCACAGTGGAATACTATGCAGCCATAAAAAAGGATGGAATCCTGCCACTTCCAGCAACAGGGATGAACCCAGAGGTCATTATGTTAAGTGAAAAGCAAATGCCAGACACAGAAAGACAAATACTGCATGATCTCACTTTTATGTGAAATCTTGAAAAAATAAAAAAAAGAGTTGATATCATAGAAGCAGAAAGTAGAACAGTGGTCTCCATACTCTTTCTTGCCTGGCGATCATTCCCAGCAGCAAAATAACAAGCTGTTATGTCTCCCATCTCTTCCATCAAATAAATCAATAAATAAGTTTCAAAGAAAGAGAAAAATAATCCCTCTGGAAGCTACCACTCCTTGTCTTTGCTCTTGTTTATAGTAAATCTCTCTGAAGAGTTATCCATATTCCCCTGTTCCCATTCTCTCTTCCCACACTTTCTTAAGCCCATCGGAGTTGGTGCTGCTGTAACAACACAAGAGTGGCTTAAACAACAGAAATGTATTGTCTCACTGCTCTGGAGCCTGGAAGTCCAAGATCAAGGTGTTAGCAGGGCTGGTTCCTTCTGAGACCTCTCTCCTTGGCTTGTGGATGGCTGTTTTCTCCCGTGTCTTCATATCATCTTTCCTTTGCACACATCTGGGTCTAAATTCCTCTTTTTTTTTTTTTTTTTTTGAGACAGAGTCTCACTCTGTCACCAGGCTTGAGTGCAGTGGCGCAATCTCAGCTCACTGCAACCTCTGCCTCCTGGGTTCAAGTGATTCTTCTGCCTCAACCTCCCGAGTAGTAGCTGGGACTACATGCTCAGCTAATTTTTGTATTTTTAGTAGAGACGGGGTTTCACCATGTTGGCCAGGATGGTCTCGATCTCTTGACCTTGTGACCTGCCCGCCTTGGCCTCCCAAAGTGCTGGGATTACAGGTGTGAGCCACTGTGCCCAGCCAAGCTCCTCTTTTTATAAGGACACCAGTCCTATTAGATTAAGGTGACCGCATCTCACCTTAATTCACTGCTTAAAGACCCTGTCTCCAAACAATGTCACATTCTGAGGTGATAGGGGTTAGGGCTTCAACATGTGGCTTCTGCCAATAACAGTACTCTTGCCAAGGTCAATTCACCCCCTCATTGGCAGCTTCTTGAACCCTTGTGCTGGTTTATTCTCTTCTCCTTGACTTTGGAGGGCTCCAGGACTCAGACTTCTGTTCTCTTCTCTTCTTCATGTATCCTTGTTGCTTTGACCTTGTTCAGTCTCATGGTGTATAAATTCCATCTATGGGCTAGTGACTCCCAGTTGTACATCCCTAACCTGGCTCTCTCTCCCAAACTCTAGATAGATGTTTATATCCAACTTCCGAATGAGTATTTCCATGGAATTGTCTAACAGACACCTTCAGTCAACCCGTCCAAAACTGAACCCCCAGCCTTCCATCCAAAACCAACTTCTCACATCATCCTCTCCCTCCTTGTTGATGGCGGCTCTGTTCTTCCAGGCCCCTGGGTCAAAAGCTTTGAGTCATCCTTGACTCTTCTCTTCCCCTCACATCCCACACCCAATCTGGCTGGAAATTCTTACAAAAATACATCCAGAAACCAATGTCCCCACTTCCCTACAGCCACCCAAGTTCAGATCTAGGGCCATCATCTCGTATGTGAACCGCTGTGACCACCTCCTAACTGGGCAACCTGCTGTATTCTTGTGTCCCTAGAGCAGATAATGTCATGTCTTTTATCAAAGCCCTGAATCAGCCAGGCTCAGTGGCTCATGCCTGTGATCCCAGCACTTTGGGAGGCCCAGGTTGGGGGATCACTTGAGCCCAAGAGGCTGAGGCTGCAGTAAACTATGATGGCGCCACTGCACTCCAGCCTGGGAGACAGAGTGAGACTCTATGTCTTAAAAATAAAACCAAACAGGCCAGGCGCGGCGGCTCACACGTGTAATCCCTGCGCTTTGGGAGGCTGAGGTGGGTGGATCACCTGAGGTCAGGAGTTCGAGACTAGCCTGGCCAACATGGCGAAACCCCGTCTCTACTAAAAATACAAAAATCATCCAGGCACCTGTAATCCCAGCTACTTGAGAGGCTGAGGCAGGAGAATCACTTGAACCTGGGAGGCGGAGGTTGCAGTGAGCCGAGATCGCACCATTGCACTCCAGCCTGGGCGACAGGGCGAGACTCCATCTCAAAACAAAACCCCTGTAGTACCTCCCCATCTCATTCAGAGTAGAACCCAAAATCCTTCCATGGCTTCACTCATCTCCCGCCTCCGTGCCTGAAACACACCAGGCACACTCCTGCCCCAGGGCGTTGGCACTGACTGTTCTCTCTGCCTGGACACCCTTCCCCCAGATCTCCACTTGACTACTCCTCTTGCGTAATTCAAGTCTTTGTTTAAAAGTCACCTTCAGGCCAAGTGTGGTGGCTCATACTGGTATAATCCGAGCACTTTGGAGGACTGAGGTGAGGAGGATTGCCTGAGGCAAGGAGTTCCAGACCAGCCTGGGCAACATAGTGAGACCCCATCTTTACCAAAAGTAAAGAAAAAAATTAGCTGCGTATGGTGGTGGGTGACACCTGTGGTCCCATCTACTCAGGAGGCTGAGGCAGGAGGATCCCTTGAGTCCAGGAGGTTGAGGCTGCAGTGAGCTATGATCGTTCCACTGCTCTCCAGCTGACAGAGTGAGACACTTTCTCTAAAATAAATAAAAAAAAGTTAAATATAGTAATAAATAAAAAATAAGTCAGCTTCTCACTGAGTCCCAGCTTCCAGCAGCCTTATAGGATTTTGCAACCTCTCCCCAGGAGCTACTTCCCACCCCTTACCTGTACTCACAGCCCCTTACCCAGCTTGATACTTCCTTTTCTCATGATGCTTGGTACTCTCCAGCATGCTGCAGAATCTTTTTTTGTTTTTTGTTTTGTTTTGTTTTGAGACAGAGTCTCGCACTGTCACCCAGGCCGGAGTGCAGTGGCACAATCTTGGCTCACTGCAAACTCCGCCTCCCAGATTCAAGCGATTCTTCTGCCTCAGCCTCCTGAGTAGCTGGGATTACAGGCGCTTGCCGCCACCCCCAGCTAATTTTTTGTATTTTTAGTAGAGACAGGGTTTTACTATGTTGGCCAGGATGGTCTCAAACTCCTGACCTCATGATCTGCCACCCCCTTGGCTTCTCAAAGTGTTGGGATTACAGGTGTGAGCCACCGCACCCGGCTGCTGCAGAATCTTTTTAAGCATTATGCTTTCTGTTTATTGGTTCTTTCCCATTGGAATATGAGCCCAGGAAGGAGGGTTGGCTGACTCTACACTGTTGTGTCCTAAGCACCTAGAACAGTACCAGACACCAAGCTCCCTCTCCAGTTGCACACAGTTTTCATCCTGACACCCGAAAACATCTTCTCTTTCCTAGCAGGGCACACTCTGGTAGCCACTAAGGCCATAGCCTCCACCAAAACCACAGTACTACAAGAGCCAAGAGACTTGAGACTACAGACATGAGCGGGCAGACGGAGGAAGGGTTTGCAGCTGATGGTTGGGTCAGGGAGAGGGACCCTGCCCATCCCACACCCTCACTCCTACCCTAGACTGGGCTGATATTATTTTTTTTCTTTTTTTGAGATGGGTCTCACTCTGCCACCCAGGCAGGAGTGCAGTGGCACAATCATAGCTCACTGCAGCCTCGACCTCCTGGACTCAAGTGATCCTCCCACCTCAGCCTCCCAAGCAGCTGGGACTA
This sequence comes from Homo sapiens, assembly GCF_000001405.40. NCBI lineage: Eukaryota > Metazoa > Chordata > Mammalia > Primates > Hominidae > Homo > Homo sapiens. Next base: position 98,533,299 of record NC_000007.14, on the reverse strand, counting down.
CAGGCGCACACCACCATGCCATGCTAATTTTTTGTATATACATCTAGAGATGCAGTCTCACTATGTTGCCCAGGCTGGTCTCAAACTTCTGGCCTCAAGGGATCTTCCCACCTTCCTCTCCCACAGCGCTGGGATTATAGGCATGAGCCACTGCACCCGGCTGGACTGACATTTTCTAATGGAGAGTGAAGAAAAGGGAAAAAAGACACCACATTAAAACAGACTGAATGCTCATATGTTGCTTAATCCATTTAAACTTAAGTGATAACTCCAGAAGAGTGTATTGTGCTTGCTTTACCCTGAAAAGTAGGAATTTCAGACTCTTGTGGAAGATATTGGGAGCAGAGAGAACAAACGCAGCTTGATCACAAAGTATGTGCCAGACACTTTGCCTTCTCTGATTACATTTGCACCGCAACCTTACACCATGAACCATCTCCCAGGTAGGGGCCTTGGGGCTCCAGCTGACAAAGTGAGGTACCTAAAGCCACCCAGCCAGTAGGGCGAGAAGCTAAGAATTCCAACCCAGGACTCACTCTCCACATGCCTGGAGTCTCTCCTTCAAGAGGCAGGCAGTCCCAGAGAGCAGCATCTTTGTCATCTCCTTGTCCCTGTCCCCGCAGGCTCAACAGCAGAGCTCCCCTCAGATCCTAGGGCAATGACATTGACAGAAGCTCATGTTTTATGAGGAAAGATGGGCCCTGTCTCATTGGAAGAATTTAATCTCAGAGCAGCATGCCCTTGTCTAAGACATTGTCCGGGCAGCTTGCAACCCAATAAGACTCTGACGGAATGAGCCTCTCAGGGCTGCAGCCCTGATGTGAGATTTGGGACCAGGCTGGCAGCTGTGGCGCCAGAATCCCAGCCAGAAAAAGGAAAAGATGAGAAAGAAAAACAAATAGCCCCATGCGAAGAATTATGGTGGAAGGGCCATGCCAGAGCGGCTAATTCATCGCAGGGGTGCTGTATCTCTTGGTGGCAAGAGAAAGGACTTCCAGGGCCACGCCTGATTTTAAAACCTGGATGATAATGTTTGCCCCATGAGAGGCCAAAAATGTGTGCCCAGCAAAATAGGCCTTGGATGCATATGGACAAGGGGCTGCCCTGCACGACCTTTACTCTCACCTCTGCTCAAGCCAGCCGCAGACATGGTACATCCCCAAACACATGCCCACCCTGAGTGAAGGACTGGAAGGTATTTGGAGAAAAATCTGCGAGTCTCATTTCTACCTATCATGGCGCTTGGTGGTGAGGCCAGAGAACTGTGGTGGAGCACAAGGGAGTGGTGGGGCATGGGGGGACCTGACCTTGACCTCTCCCAAATCTGCAAAGCCCTCTGCTCCCACTCCCTTGGGCCAGGCTCACGCCTTTGGTACCTGATGCCACCCCCTGCTGGCTGCTAGAGATAAATGCTCCCCCAGAACAATGCAAGATGTGCATGAAACCCCTGGTTTCCTATTGCCCACTGGAGAAGGCTCACTACTTCACAAGACCTCACCAAGTAAGACAGGAAAGGCTGAGAAGAGGTAGTTCAGGAACTGTAAATAGCCCCATGTTGAAGTCCCACAATGAGCACAGCCAGCCCTGAAAGGCCTCTCCCACCTTGCAGTTCAGCTGACTCCAGCCAGGAGGGCCCCCATCTTGCTCCCAGGCTCAGAGCTGTAAACCAAAAATAAACTACTCCCAACCAAATGACTCAATCAACTCCCTCTGGGCGAAGAAGACCCCAGAGAAACCTGAAAAATGGAATTGTCTGCCATAATAAGGAAGGAGGTTGGAAATGTCTCATTATACCTCCTCCCTCTTAGGATTTAGACACAACTGGCCAGCATTAACATTAAAATAGAAATCATGAGACTGACAGGACAGACTCTTTGTGGCAATAAGATCTCAAATTCCAACCTGACTCTGGTATAGCATCACATGACAGATAGCAGACCCTGAAGGACATCGAAATATTTTACCCCAAAATACGTTTCTTTGACATATTTTGAAATGGCCCTGCAAAGCCGTCTTTGGTGGGTGGGGGAGATTTGCATCTGTAGAGAAAGAGAAGCCAGGACTTTCCCAGATCTAGGAGAGATCAACTGAGAGTATGACACCTTTTAAGGTCAGAAAAAGGACATTTGCCACCTCTTCTCTCTGAGGGCTGCCACCTCTGAGGTTCCATCTACATAACAAAAGCCTTGGTGTCCACGATCCCTGTGTATCAGTTCATTCTCACATTACTATTAAAAAAAAAAAAACCTGCCAGGCATGGTGGCTCACACCTGTAATCCTAGCACTTTGGGAGGCCGAGGCAGGCAGATCACCTGAGGTCAGGAGTTCAAGACCAGCCTGGCCAACATGGTGAAACCCTGTCTCTACTAAAAAAACAAAAAATTAGTCAGGTATGGTGGCAGGTGCCTGTAATCCCAGTACTCGGGAGGCTGGGGCAGGAGAATCACTAGAACCTGGGAGGCAGAGGTTGCAGTGAGCCAAGATCGTGCCACTGCACTCCAGCCTGGGCAACAGAGTGAAACTTGGTCTCAAAAAAAAAAAAAAGAAAGAAAGAAAGAAAAGAAATACCCAAGACCGAGTAATTTATAAGGAAAAGAGGCTTAACTGGCTCACGCTTCTGCAGGCTGTACAGGAAGGATGGTCCTGGCACCTGCTCGGTTTCTGGGGAGGCCTCAGGAAACTTTTAATCATGGCGGAAGGGGAAGGGGAAGCAGGAACGTCTTACATGGCCAGAACAGGAGCAAGAGAGAGAGGAGGGAGGTGCCACACACTTTTAAACAACCAGATCTTGTGCACACTCACTCACTCTACAGAATCAAGGTGGGGGATGGTGCTAAGCCATTCATGAGAACTCCACCCCCATGATCCAATCACATCTCAGCAGGCCCCACCTCCAGCAGTTGGAATTACAATTCAACCTGGAACTTGGGTGGGGACACAGATCCAAACCATATTACCCCATTATCTTAACTTAAGCATTTATTTCTGCTGACTTCAAGTCTTTAGCCAAAGCTTAACTCTTTCAACCAGTTGCCAATCAGAAAATCTCTGAATCCACTTGTAAGTCCCTGCTTCAAGATAACCCACCCCTTTAAGCTGAACCAATGTACATCTTCTATGTATTGATTTGTAATTTTACCTACAATTCCTGTCTTCCTAAAATGTATAAAACCAACCTGTAACCCAATCCCCCACTTAGGTATACTTTGTTTTTTTTTTTTAATTGGAGTCTCCTTCTCTAGCCCAGGCTGGAGTGCAGTGCCGTGATCTCAGCTCACTGCAAGCTCCGCCTCCTGGAGCCAACCCCCAGCTTAGGTACACTTTTTTTTTTTTTTTTTTTTTTTTTTTTTGAGACGGAGTCTCCTTCTGTAGCCCAGGCTGGAGTGCAGTGCCGTGATCTCGGCTCACTGCAAGCTCCGCCTCCTGGGATTCAAGTGATTCTCCTACCTCAGCCTCCTGAGTAGCAGGAATACAGGCACCCGCCACCACACCTGGCTAATTTTTGTATTTTTAGTAGAGGCAGAGTTTCACCATGTTGGCCAGGCTGGTCTCAAACTCCTGAACTCAAATGATGCACCCACCTCGGCCTCTCAAAGTGCTGGGATTACAGTCATGAGCACAATGCCCGGCCCTCAGGTACACTTTCTCAGGACCTCTTGAAATTGTTCCTAGGCCCATGGTCACTCATACTGGCTTGTAATAAACCTTTTTGGATATATTACAGAATTTGCTGTGGTTGTTTTTTGTTTTTGTTTTTGTTTTTTGTTTTTTTTTTTTGAGATGGAGTTTCACTTCTATTGCCCAAGGTGGAGTGCAATGGTGCAATCTCGGCTCACTGCAACCTCCACCTCCCAGGTTCAAGTGATTCTCCTGCCTTGGCCTCCCAAGTAGCTGGAATTACAGGCTTGCACCACCACGCCCGGCTAATTTTTTATATTTAGTAGAGATGGGGTTTCACCATGTTGGTCAGGCTGATCTCAAACTCCTGACCTCAAGTGATCCTCCCGCCTCAGCCTCCCAAAGTGCTGGGATTACAGGCATGAGCCACTGCGCCTGGCAGGTTGGGGTTGTTTTTCAACAGAGCTCTACCTGATCATCCACATGGCTGGGGGCCTGGGGGCTGGGGGCTGCCTGGGATGTGAATCTGTGGCACCTGTGCCCTGTCTACATCACAGGCAGGGGCTGCAGACCTCAAAGGGTGAATCAGAGCATGAGAGAGGCTGGCAGTAAAAGCCAACTGCACCCCAGGGTACGATCAGCCACATCCAGCCAATGGGGACTCTGCAGGACAAATAACCTAGTTTCTTTAAAAAATTAAATTAAATCAAAATGTCAAAACCATAGAGGGGGAACCTATCAAGTGAGATATTTTCTTAAATCAGGTCCCAGGAAGCAAAGCCTGAGTTGGGAATTGGAGAGGAAAGGACACGGTTTATTGATGGAGGCCCAGGCAAGACGGGGCACAGGGGAAGTCCAGCAAGGATATGACCTCAGGCCACAGCCAAATGAGACTTAAGGGGTCTTTGGTGAGAAAATTGCCCTGCAGAGCTGTCCTGTTGAGAAGCAAGGAGTTGGAGAGGGTTTATACCCACAGGCTGCCTCTGGGGTGGAAGGTAACCCTTCCCCTCTACTCCCAGGCAGAAGAGGGGCCCTTGGCCGCCATGGCTGTAGGCAGCAGCACTCAAAGCAGCACCTTTGTGCCCACTAATCCCAAGGTATGACCCAACGGGGGTTAAACCGTGTTCCCCAAAAATACATGTAGAAGTCCCAAACCCCGAACCTGTGTATGGGATCTTGTTTGGAAATAGGATCTTTGCAGAGGTCATTAATCAAGTGAAAATGAGGTCGTGCTGGATTAGAGTGGGTGCTAATCCAAGGACTGGTGTCCCCAGAGGAAGAGACACAGAGACACACACACACACAAGGAGGAGGCTGGTGGAGATGGAGGCAGAGACTAGAGTGATGCAACTACAAGCTAAGGAATGCCAAGGCGGCCGGCCACCCCAGGAGCTGGAGAGAAGCAGAGGATGACGGTCCCTCAGAGCTTCCAGAAGGAACCAGTCCGGCCGACGCCTGAATTTTGGACTTCTGGCCTCCAGACTGTGAGAGGATCAATTTTTGTTGCCTTAAGCCACCTGGATTGTGGTAATAAGTTACATTGGCCCTAGGAAGCTTCCTTTTTGGAGGAAGGAGGAGGAGGAAGAGAGACAGAATGAAAACGACGTGAATCCTGACAAGTTATTTAACAATATTGGAGATTAACACTTTTTTTTAAGTGAGATGATGGTATTGTGTTTATGTTTTCTTAAAAATGCAGTCCTGGCAGGGTATGGTGGCTCATGCCAGCACTTTGGGAGGCCGAGGTGGGCACATTACTTGAGCCTGGGAGTTAGAGACCAGCCTGAGCAACACAGCAAGACCTCATCTCTACAAAACATACAAGAAAAAATAAATAAATAAGCTGGGCATGGTGGTGCACACCTGTAGTCCCAAATACTTGGGAGACTGAGGCGGGAGGATTGCTTGAGCCTGGGAGGTTGAGGCTGCAGTAAGCCATGATCGTGCCACTGCACTCCAGCCTGGGAGCTGGACCTTCTCTCAAAAAAAAAAAAAAAAAAAATTCCCAATTGCAGATAAAATGATATATGGTTAAGGATTTGTTTCAAAATAATCCTGATGGTGGTAGGTGGGGGGGTGGGGGGGGTGGTTTGAAGAACTAATCAATGAATTTGCCAATGAGCTGTTGAAGCAAGGAGATGAGATCATGGGGCTCCTTCATTCACTCCAATACTCTCTCCATTAGGTATGGGTTTGTATTTTTGTATAATAAAAAGATAAATATATCAAAAATATATAGAAAGGACCAGGTGTGGTGGCTCATGCCTGTAATCCCAGCACTTTGGGAGGCCAAAACAGACAGATCACCTGACGTCAAGGGTTCAAGACCAGCCCGGCTAACGTGGTGAAATCCCGTCTCTACTAAAAATACAAAAATTAGCCGGGCGTGGTGGCACATGCCTGTAATCCCAGCTACTCAGGAGGCTGAGCCAGGAGAATTGCTTTAATCTGGGAGGGAGAGGCTGCAGTGAGCCGAGATCATGCCACTGCACTCCAGCCTGGGCAATAGAGTGAGACCCTGTCTCAAAAAAACCCAAATATATATATATATATATATATATATATATAGAGAGAGAGAGAGAGAGAGAGAGAGAGAGAGAGAGAGAAATAAAGAGAAGGAAAGAAAGAAAGAAAGAAAGAAAGAAAGAAAGAAAGAGGAAAGAAAGAAAGAAAGAGAGAAAGAAAGAAAGAGAGAAAGAAAGAAAGAAAGAAAGAAAGAAAGAAAGAAAGAAAGAAAGAAAGAAAAGAAGGGAGGGAGGGAGGGAAGGAAGAAAGGAAGGAATGAAGGAAGGGAGGAAGGAAGGATCAACAATCACAGACTAGAGGAAGCCACAAGCTTTCACTCCCAGAGCAGAGGCCACAGCACAGCCTAGGCACAGCTGAGGCAATTTATTGATCCCAGCTGAGCATGGTGGTGTGCACCTGCTAGTCCTAGCTACTCGGGAGGCTGAGGCAGGAGGATCGCTTGAGTCCAGGAGGTCGAGGCTGCAGTGAGCTATGATTCCACCACTGCACTCCAGCCTCAATAACAGAGTGAGACCCTGTCTCAAGAAACAAAAAAATTATTGGCCACTCAAGAGCCTGTGCCAGAATGAGGTAGGGGTGGCATTGACCTGTGGCCCATGGAGGCTTCACCCCTAAGAGAAGTCCCCCTAGGCCTCATCCACCAACCTCCTCTGGCCCACTAGCCCCCTGCCTCCTTCTATCCATGGCCTCCCATGTCGTGGGGCTGCCACAAAAGCTGAGTTGACCCTTTGCTGTTTGCAGCCACAGTCTGCCGGAGCCTGATGTTCAGGCTAGGGGTGCACAGGCTGCTCCCATCGGAGGAGATGATGTCCTTCCTCTGAAAGTCCCGCTTGTTTCTAGCCTAAGTGGAGAAGGTGAATGAGCATCGTAGGATTCACCTGCAGAGAGGGCCACACTCAGGCATATCACTGGGTGTGCAGGGAGCAGATATGACGACGCCTTGGGCTCCACATCAGGGTGCTCCACGCAGCCCCAAGTGTGTAACAGGGATGGGACAACAGAATACCCCCGTCCCAGCCCATGCCTGTGCTCAGGCCCCACCAGGAACAGAGGGCAGCACTGGGCATCTGGAGGGCCCGGTGTAGGCAAGGGGGCGAACCTGTCCTGGGGACACTGGGGAGCAGCTTCTGTGTCCCATCAGACTTCACTTACAAGACACAAATGCAAAGATGAAACTATTGAGAATTTCAATATGGCAACCACAGAGCATTAAACTCCAAGAGAGGGGCCTTTCCAAGCACGGGGCTCCATGAACCTGCACTGGTCACACACCCAACTGAGCCCAGAAATGAGACCCAAGTGCCATCCACACAAACCTGCATGATGGGAGCATGTCGTGTCATGTCCGGAGCATTCTGGTCACTTCAAAGGAAGGAACCGAGGCTGGATGGGGCAAGATCTGAGAGTGAGTGGAGCCACCTGACTATGGTCAGGGCAGCTCCATTCGTTGTCAGCTCTGTCTTTGGAGATGGCAATCTCTCCAGGATGCAGAGATCTTTTCCCACCTCAGAGACCCTGTTTCCCAAGCCCATTCATCTGCCTGCACCAGCAGCAGCCCTGAAGCCCTGTCACCAAGTGTTGGCCAAGTCCCCATACAGCTGGATGCCCCTTCCTCGGATCCTGCAAGTAGGATCCCTACCCCCACCCACAAATACACACACCTCTTCTCCGCAACCTCCAAGGCCTGTCTCCCACCCTCCCCTTCTGGAACACCAAGCACCTCTCTTCTATGATAATAGAGTTTTACAAAGCCAGCAATAGTGCAGTTTTCTGCACTGCATTTTGTAAATTCCTCAAAGCCAGGAAATGCAAAGAATTTAGTTTTGGTTTCCTGGGTCCACCATAACAAAGTACCATGAACTGGGTGGTTTAAACAACAGAGATTTATTGTCTCACCATTCTGGAGGCTATAAGTCCAAGATCAAGGTGTGGGCAGGATTGGTTCCTTCCCAGTGCTGTTAGGGAGAATCTGCTCTGGCCTCTCTCCTTCGCTCATATGTAGATGGCTGTCTTCTCCCTGTCTCTTCACACCATCTTCCCTCTATGTGTGTCTCTGTGCTCCAATTTCCCTTTTGTTGTTGTCGTTTTTTTTTTTAGATGGAGCCTTGCTCTGTCGCCAGTTTGGAGTGCAGTGGCATGATCTCAGATCACTGCAACCTCTGCCTCCCAGGTTCAAGCGATTCTCCTGCCTTAGCCTCCCAAGTAGCCGGGACCACAGGCACGTGCCACCATGCCCAGCTAATTTTTGTATTTTTAGTAGAGACGGGGTCTCACCATGTTCACCAGGGTGGTCTCCATCCCTTGACCTTGTGATCTGCCTGCCTCGGCCTCCCAAAGTGCTGGGATTACAGGTGTGAGCCACTGCACCTCGTCCCAAATTTCCCCTTTTTATAAGGACATCAGTCATATTGGATTACAGACCACCCTAACAACCTTGCTTTAACTTGTTGCCTCTATTTCCAGATGAGTCATTTCCTGAAGTACTGGGAGCTTTCACATATGAATCTGGGGACTCAGGGAGGTGCAGGGCAGGAGTCCCCAATCCCCAGGCCACAGACGGGTAGGAGTCTATGGCCTGTTAGGAACAGGGCTGCATGGCAGGAGGTGAGCAGCTGGCAAGTGAAGCTTCATCTGTATTTTATTTATTTATTTATTTATTTATTTATTTATTTATTTGAGATGGAGTCTCACTCTGTCGCCATGCTGGAGTGCAGTGGCATGATCTTGACTCACTGCAAGCTCCGCCTCCCAGGTTCAAGCGATTCTCCTGCCTCAGCCTCCCGAGTAACTGGGACTACAGGCACCTGCCACCATGCCTGGCTAATTTTTTTGTATTTTAAGTAGAGACAGGGTTTCACTATGTTGGCCAGGATGGTCTTGATCTCTTGCCCTTGTGATCCACCCACCTTGGCCTCCCAAAGTGCTGGGATTACAGGTATGAGCCACTGCGCCTGGCTGCTTCATCTGTATTTACAGCCACTCCCCATCGCTCGAATTATGGCCTGAGCTCTGCCTCCTGTCAGATAACCAGTGGCATTAGATTCTCATAGGAGCTCAAACCCTATTGTGAACTGTGCATGCGAGGGATCTAGGTTGCAACCTCCTTATGAAAATCTAATGCCTGATGATCTGTCACTGTCTCCCATCACCCCCAGACGGGACTGTCTAGTTGCAGGAAAACAAGCTCAGTGCTCCCACTGATTCTACATGATGGTGAGTTGTAGAATTATTTCATTACCTATTACAATGTAATAATAATTGAAATAAAGTGCACAATAAATGGAATGGGCTTGAATCATTCTGAAACCATCTCTTGCCCCATCTGTGGAAAAATTGTCTTTCACTAAGCCAGTCCCTGGTGCCAAAAAGGTTGGGGATCACTGGTATAGGGGACACAGTTAAACCCATTATGGAACCTGAAGGAAAAAGCATAGGGCAAGATGCACACACAAATTAGGATCCAAATAAGTGATCTATTGTCTGTGAATACCTCCCTTGCCCCAGTTTGGGCAAAGACATACTGATTAATTGTGTTCAAAGGGCAACCCCAAGAACAGTGGGGACCCCCACCCCAAAAGTGAAGAGTACACAGAACAGAAAAGAAATGGACACTTGTTGATTACAAACCTGCTTGTTTTGCCACTAACAAAGTGAGTTTCACGGCTGACTGGCTCTTAGAACTCTAAGTTTTTGCCATCAGTGACTTCAGACATCCTGAGACACCAAAGCTTGACTTATATAACTCTGCTTCCTCTCCAGGGAGGTAAAAGAAAACTATTGAGCTAGTTATGCAAGGAGATAAAATATCCCTTTCTGTTTGTCTTTTGCATTAGCTAATATTTGTGTTCCTGAAAAAGTTGTGGGTCAATTGATTTTGCTAAATGGAATCATTTTAAATGCACCAGGGAAGTCTGTGACTTAAAGGGCAATACACTGAGTTATTTGGGACATTGGGGTGCTCAGTTGGGATGGCTGTGTTTTGGGGTGGTTGTGTTCAGAGGGTGCAAGGTGTGGGAAAAAATTCCCACCTTGGGCCCCAAAAGTGATGGGAGCTGATACATATAGAACTCTGAGCACAATGCCTAACACATAGCAAGCTGTCAGTGACTACCAAAGGCCATCGTCATGTTACGTTCAGTCTTCCCTTTCTGGCCACCCAGTGGTTCTCCACCCCTCTGCTATGGACTGAATGTTTTTGCAACTTCAAAATTCATAGGGTGAAGCCCTACCCCGTGATATGATGGCATTCAGAAGTGGGGCCTTTGGGAGATAATTACGGTTAGATGAGGTCTTGGGGTAGCGTCCCCATGATGGGATTAGTGTCCTTACAAGAAGAGACACTAGCCAGCTCTCTCTCTTCCTCTCTCCCCACCTTGAAGATACAATGAGAAGGTGGCTGTTTGCAAGCCAGGAAAAGAGCCCTTACTGGAAGCTGTACCCTGACCTTGGACTTCCATCCTCCAGAACCATGAGAAGACAAACTTCAGTTGTTCAAGCCACCCAGACTATGCTATTTTGTTATGGCAGCCTGAGCTGACTAAGATACCTCCGTTTGAGGTGTTTATGCATGCAGACCCCTGAAGGCATCTCCTAGGACCTGGGGCTCCTCCTTTTTCTCCTTTTGAAAGGCCTCTCCCTTCCTATTGCATGAATGTGACATCAGTGTCCCTCCATGGCTCCCTGCAGACATAAGTACCCATGTCACCCCAGGTCACTCCCTCCTTCCCAACTTTACCAGCACCCTGACTCCTCCTCTGCCCAAATGTATACCCTGGGAAGAAGGGCATGGCAGCCATCTGTGCCTTAGTGGGATTTTGTTACCAGGTTTTCTCTAGTGACTCATCTGAGTCTTACATCTTGGAATCACAGAATGTTAGAGTTTATAAGTCCACTAGCCCAGAGATCTACCAGCTGCACAGAGGGCACTAGGAGCTGCTGTGGATGAGGAGGAGGAGCCCATGGAAGCATCTGAGTCCGCAACTCTACAGCCAGAGTAACTCCCTTCATCTGTTCCATATGTGCAGCTGGGGCAGGGCTCTGACACCCTCACACAGGCACATGCACACTCTCACACACACCTTCCCACACTCATGCACCTGCATGCACACCTGACCTCACACCATATATCACTCTCTCACACTCATACACACACTCACACCAGTGTCTGTGCATATGCACTGATAATCCACCCTCAGGGACCTGGGGAAGATGGGAGCCTCCAGTTGGGGGGAGGAGGACGGGTGAGGAGGGGTTGAACAGGTAACCACCCAGCATCCATTGCCATCCAGACCCCACAGGCACCACCCAGACCTGGAAGAGCCACTTTCCCCATCCAACTCAGCTCCCTGGCTCCCCTTGGGTCAGGAGCTTCCTGGCCTGTGCCCTCCACATTCCCACAGTGGGCAGGGACTGTAGTGAGGACCCCCAGAGGTCCCATGAACCAAGCAAGTGGACACAGGGGACTGAGTGGGAGCCGAAGGGCGAGGACCCCACCAACAGTGCCCACAGGGACTCACGATGTGACCCCGTTTTGGAGCCACAGGCAAGGACCCAGGACTTTGGAGGCTTTGTAGGGAAGCTGGAGATAACTTCTCTTGTCTCAAACCTGTCGTTTTCAGATGGGACGACTGTGTCTAGAAAGCTGAGGGTCACATGGCCAGTGAGTGGCATGGCTGAAACCAGAACTCGGTCTCCTGGTTTCTGTTGCATTAAATGTTCCCCAAGGGGAAGACACGTCCAGGTGCACTGAGTCTCATAGAAGTCTTGGGAGGGGACAGGTATGCACACACACTCATGTGCCTTGACCCCCTCTGCAGGGAAGACGATGGGAAACCCAGAGGAAGGAAAAACGGGAACCCAGTCCTAGAGCCCACCACGTGCCAGGCACCATGTGAGTGCCTCACAGGCACCTTCCCATTTGATCTGCATGAGGTGACTGTTGCTGATGAGGAGACTGGGGCAAAGGACTTGTCCATCTTATGCAGCAGACAAGCAGCAGAGCTAGATTCTAGGTCCAGAGGCCATGGTCTCTCCCGAACCATACCTTTTCCCACAGCCTGCTTTTATCCTCCCATTACCCCTCTTCCAACCACTGCTGACAGGTTCAGATCTACACCCATGCATGTCCAGAGACCTGCACACCCCCATCCAGGGCGCCACCCAACTCCTCCCAAAGCACCATCAATTATCATCCAGAGCCCTGCCCACCCCCAGCCAGAGCCCCGCCCACCCCCAGCCAGAGCCCCACCCACAATCATCCAGAGCCCCATCCACTCTCATCCAGAGCCCCACCCACTCTCATCCAGCACCCCACCCAATCCAGCCAGGCCCTGTGCATCCCCAATCAGAGCCACGCCCATTCTCATCCAGGGCCCCGCCCAACTCCTTTCAAAGTGCCACCAATTCTCATCCAGAGCCCTGCCCACCCCATTCAGAGCCCCACCCATTCTCATTCAGAGCCCCGCTCACCCCACCCAGAGCTCCACCCATCCCCATTCAGGGCCTTGTGCATCCCCATCCAGATCCGCACCCACTCCCAGCCAGAGCCCCACCCATTCTTATTCAGAGCCCCACCCACCCCATCAGAGCTCCACCCATTGCCAGCCAGGGCCTGTGCATCCCCATCCAGAGCCCCGCCCACTCTCATCCAGAGCCCCGCCCCTCAAGCCAGGCCCCGCCCATGGAAAGCTGACAGGTTCCCTGTCCACCCTCAAGGCGCCTCTTCTCCATGAAGTGGGTTTTCCCGAGCCAACACTCAGCCTGGATACAGTTTGGATTTGTTACCTCCAATTTTGGTCCTGGCTATACTCTGTTCTTTTTTAGTTCTATTAATCAAAGCTCTTTGGAAAAAAAAAAATTAAAATAAACCAGAGCCAGTGACACTTCCTTCTGCACTTTTGTCTGTGCATTACCTGAGAATCCAGTGAGGAAAAGAGGAAGAGACTCCTCTGAGAACAGTCAGCACCCACCTGTTTGGGGCCATCCCAAACTCCCCTGAGTCAGGGTTGTCATTCATTGTGGCGGTCCCGCCCGGCAACCTTTTGGGGTAATAGAATTAGTCTACAAAGGCCAGGCATGGTGGCTCACGCCTGTAATCCCAGCAGTTTGGGAGGCAGAGGGGAGAGGATCACGAGGTCAAGAGATGGAGATCATCCTGGCCAACAGGGCAAAACTCCGTCTGTACTAAAAATACAAAAATTAGCTGGGCGTGGTGGTGCACACCTGTTGTCCCAGCTACTCGGGAGGCTGAGGCAGGAGAATCACTTGAACCCAGCAGGCAGAAGTTGCAGTGAGCCGAGATCGCGCCACTGCACTGCAGCCTGGTGACAGAGTGAGACTCTGTCTCAAAAAAAAAAAAAAAAAAAAAAAAAAAAGAAAGAAAAGAAAAGAAAAAAAGAAAAAAGAATTAGTCTACAAAGACTGATGACTGGAAATAAGTGATACAACCAGGACAGCCATGATTTTTTGGTTTGTTTGCTTGAGATGGAGTCTCACTCTGTTGTCCAGGCCGGAGTGCAGTGGCACAATCTCTGCTCACTGCAACTTCTGCCTCCTGGATTCAAGCGATTAGGAGAGCCATGATTTGATGTGGAGTCCCCGGGAGTGGATCTGGAGTTGTTCCTAATGCAAGAGCCACACTCCGCCAGAAACCGAATTGCAACACCCCCAGTCTGGAGACCTGAGGCAACACCCCCGTCTGTCTGGCCGCCCTCCTATGCCCACTGGTTTCCCCTGGAAAATGGAATAATGTCAGGCTAGGTGTGGTGGCTCATGCCTGTAATCCTAGCACTTTGGGAGGCTGAGGCTGGTGGATCACTTGAGGTCAAGAGTTCAAGACAGGCCTGGCCAACATGGTGAAACCCCGTCTCTACTAAAAATACAAAAATTAGCTAGGCGTGGAGGCACTTGCCTGTAATCCCAGCTGCTTGGGAGGCTGAGGCAGGAGGATCGCTTGAACCCAGGAGACGGAGGCTGCAGTGAGCCAAGATCGTGCCACTGCACTTCAGCCTGGGTGACAGAGTGAGACTCTGTCTCAAAAAAAAAAAAAAAAAAAAAAAAAAGGAAAGTGCTCACAGAGATTTTTGGAATCATTCAAAACTTTCATTCATTTTCACAAGAACTGATTCCTGGAGTAACCAGGCATGTAGAAGTGTGCTCTCATGGGCACCTCTTCTCGGAAGAAGGGATGTGCAGTTTGGCTTGATTCAACCACCACCTCAACTCCCCCGTTGTAAAGATGACTCAATACTTCCCAAATGGCCCCAGGTTGAGTGATTGTTATTAAACCTTCGAGGAAGTTTAGGATGAATAGAACTGTCTGGAACATCTATAAAGGGAACCCAGAAAGGCCCAAGCAGCCTATCATCGGAGATCACGCCTGGGCTTTCTTCGTAGACTGTCTGTCCAGGGCCGTCCGGCCGTGGAGCTCGGGCCTCCACGTGGTGCCTGGAGACCTATTCAAAAGGCTGATATGGTTTTCCCGGGGAGGAGGCAGACAGGAAAGGGGAGAAAGTTCTTACCCGGTGAATAAGAAACTTCAGCGCGTTTCTGGAAGACAAGAAAATGAATGGAGCCACACGGAATGATGAAAGGGGGAGGAAGTCGTGACTAGGAATTCAGTGGAATGGTGGGGAGGCGGGGTGGGAATCCAGCCAGGCCAGCCTGGTGGAGGCTGGGGAAAGGGGGACTGAGAGTGGCATGATTAGGAAACGTCTGCTCCTGTCCGCTTTCACCAGCCGTCTCCCTGGCCCACGTGCTGACAAATATGGCAGCCTTCATCCAACCCCAGGCAGATCATTGGGCAATCAGGAGAGAGAGAACCAGAGCCCAGAATTGCCTTCCTCCCACAGAGACTGGGGGCATCCGGGGCAACCTACTCACCCACCCTCAAAGGAAGCCTGGGTGTCAGCACGCCCTCACGGTGTCCAAAGACCCCACTCAGGGAACCAATACAAGAAGGAAAAAGAATGTTCTCAGCTCACACGGGGAGAGAAGCAGAGGCAGGAAGAATGTGGTGTTGATCAATTGAGCAATTAAGTCCTCATTGACCACACAGCAAGCATCAGTAGTTCCTTTTTTAATTTTTATTTGTATGGTTTTTTGTTATTTTTTGTTTGTTTGTTTGTTTGTTTGTTTTTTGAGACTGAGTCTCGCTCTGTTGCCCAGGCTGGAGTGCAGTGGCACGATCTCGGCTCACTGCAACCTCCGCCTCCCAAGTTCAAGCAATTCTCCTGCCTCAGTGTCCCAAGTAGCTGAGATTACAGGAGCCTGCCACCACATCTGGCTAATTGTTGTATTTTTAGTAGAGATGGGGTTTTACCATGTTGGCCAGGCTGGTCTCGAACTTCCGACCTCAAATGATCTGCCAGTCCCAGCCTCCCAAAGTGCTGGGATTATAGGCGTGAGCCACCATGCCTAGCTTATTTTTATTTTTAGAGACAGGCTCTTGTTCTGTTGTTCAGGCTAGAGTATACTGGCGCCATCATAGCTCACTGCAGCCTCCAACTACTGGCCTTAAGCGATCCTCCCCTCTCAGCCTTCTGAGTAGCCGGGAATACAGGTATGCACCGCCATGCCCAGCTAATTTTTAAAAATTTAAAAAGAGACACAGTGTCTCACTATGTCACCCAAGCTGGTCTCAAACTCCTGGGTTCAAGCAATCCTCCCACCTCAGCCTCCCAAAGTGCTGAGATTACAGGCATGAGCCACTGCTCTCAGCCCCAGTTGTTACTCTTGGCAAGTGAAGAAACAGAGAAAGAAGCATATTGTCCAGCATTCCAGCAACAGCTACCAGATGAGCTGCAGAGGGAAACTGTGCAGAGAGGTGGTCCTGGAGTCAGCAGGATGGGGGTGGGAGGACAGGGTCAGGAAACTGCCATTTTCTATCCTAAGCTTCCACTTGGTTCGATTTGTATCTGAGGTCTTATATTATTGGAAATCGTTTGTGTAAATTTTTTTTTAACCAGAACATTTTCACAAGACTTACGGCCACAGACACCAATCACAATGGAGAAACTTAGTGGGTCCCTAATTTCAGAGCTTTGTTGGGGCCAGGCTCAGTGGCTCATACCTCTAATCCCAGCACTCTGGGGGGCCGAGGCAGATTTCAAGACCAGCCTGGCGCCACATAGCGAAACCCCATCTCTACAAAAAATTAGTTGGGTTCGGTGACATGGGCTTGCAGTCCCAGCTACTGGGGAGGCTAAGATGGGAGGATCCCTTGAGTTTGAGGCTGCAGTGAGCTATGATCACACCACTGCACTCCAGCCTGGGTGACAGAGTGAAACCAAGTCTCAAAAAAAAAAAAATTAAAAACTTTTTAAAAAGCAGATTTCAATAGAAAAGAGGGAGAAAGGGAGCCGAATGAGGAGAGAAACGGGAGGAAACATTTTAAACTCAAGAGTATTCACCTTACATTTATTTATTTTAAAAACAAAACAAAAAAAACACTGCCCAGAGAGCAGCCCTGAGAGCTTGCAATGGTGTGTGTTCCAAGATGATGTCTCCATGAATTCAGAGTCCAGGGGTGCTTCTGAGATGCATTCGAAGAACTTTCTTTGCATCTCATGGGCTAAAGAATAAATTAGGCCAGGTGCAGTGGCTCACACCTGTAATCCCAGCACTTTGGGACTCCTAGGTGGGCGAATCACCTGAGGTCAGGAGTTCGAGACCAGCCTGACCAACATGGAGAAACCCCATCTCTACTGAAAATACAAAATTGGCCGGGCGTGGTGGTGCCTGCCTGTAATCCCAGCTACTCGGGAGGCTGAGGCAAGAGAATCGCTTCAACCCGGGAGGCGGAGGTTGAGGTGAGCCAAGATTGTGCCATTGCACTCCAGCCTGGGCAACAAGAGCAAAACTCTATCTCAAAAAAAAAAAAAAAAAAAAAAAAAAGAAAGAAAAAGAAAAAGAATAAATCAATACCCCTAAGGGGCACAGAAAGAAGGAAGAATTCTAGCAAATTCACAAGTCAAAATTCTGTTTTCTAATTCTACTCTAGAGGACAATATTTTGTCGTTTAGTCTAAAGTAATAACTGTACATGTCACTAATACATGTGTGATCGAGCATGCCAAAGTCCCCCAGCTGAGCAAGTCACCCTGTCTGTATGGTTGCCTCTACTGTAGACAGAACATCTTATTTAATTAGATAATAATTAGATAAGTGAGAAGAGAGGTATAAGAAGTGTCGGTTCTAATTGCATTTCCTGCACAGGCCTGCATCCTGTTGTTTCACTTTTAGCGACAGTCACACCCGTCACAAGACGACCTTGACTTCAGGAATTTGAGACCAGAAAGGTGTGACCATCACTTTTCTTATTCTGCCTGACCTGCACTTGTGAGATAGGAGTTCCGTGGAGATGAGGCACAGTCCACTGGACCTGCCATAAACACTATATGTTCCATGTGTCCCAAAGACCAAGGCCAGTGTCTTCACTGCAGATGGCTCCCTGTGTAGGGGGAGGCAGGGAAGACTGTATGAATCCAGAACGCTGAGTTTCTGGGTGCTCAGGATCAGATCCCGCCCTGGTACATGTTTAAAATGAGTAGAGACTTTTGCAGACTGGGCAACATAGCAAGACCCTGTCTCTACAAAACAAAATAAAATTTTTTAATTAGCAAAAAATTTAAAAATCAGCCTCACGAGTAGCTGGGACTACAGATGCATGCCAACATTAGGGCATGGTAGTCCCAGCTGCTCATGAGGCTGAGGCATGAGGATTGCTTGAGCCAAGGAGTTGGAGGCTGAAGTGAGCTATAGTCATGCAACTGCACTCCAGCCTGGGCAACATAGCAAGACCCCATCTCTACAAAAAATTGTAAAATTAGCCAGATGTGGTAGTGCACAGTTGTAGTCCCAGCTACTCGGGAGGCTGAAGCAGGAGGATCGCTTGACCCCAGGAGTTGGAGGCTGCAGTGACCTAAGATCATGCAGCTGAACTCAAGCCTGAGCGACAGAGCAAGACCCTGTCTCAAAAAAAAAGAGAAGAGAGAGACAGAGACAGAGACAGAGAGACTTTTGCAGGTGTAGGGAAAAAACACTGCACCAGACATTCATCATCACAGGAAGGGGGACTAGAGAAAAACCAAGACTCCACATGTGAGGTTCTCTTCGCTGTGTGACATGAACATTGTGAGCCAGGAGGACTTTGATGGACAGCCTGTTGTGAGTGTGGTTTCTGGGTAACTAGGTGAGAGCAGCTGTGACGTTAAGAGTTGTATGGTCATAGACATCAAATCGGAGGCACATAGATGCAGTGAGTGCCTAAGACAAGCAGGAGGCCTCATCATCCTCAGGACCAGCTGCCTCGGGAGCTGAATCTTCCCCCAGGAGCTGAGCTGGGTAACAGCATCTCTCAAGCAAAGGGCACCTGAGTTTGGAAGGAAATGAAAAGAGGTGCGACCTCCTCTGGTCTTATGGGACCAAAGCTGTCTACAGCCCTTACTAGTCTGGGGTTACAAATGAGATCACGGCAATTTCCACATTACAGTGCCTCTGAAACCACAGCTGGCCCTAAGACCTCAGCACCCCCCAGTGTCACCCAGGATATTTCTGGGACACCCAAGAAATATCGTAATTGGGCTCAGGGACCCACGCCCTCATTCTGTAGCTCTAGCCTTCCTGCCTCAGCTGCTGGTGCCCCCGTGAAGCCACAGCATCCGTCACACGGTTTAGCCTGCAAGTGTCAATCACAGCTCCCTGTTTCCTGTTCCAACCCAAAAGCAGGGACTGAAGGGAGGAGCAAAAACTCCACCCCGGAATAGAGTGCGGAGTCTCGCCGTCCATCTAACTGGACTGGCTTAGGTCACATGGCCAGCCCTGGACCAATCACAGTCACCAAGGGAAATGACACGTGCTCAGGCTTGCTGGGGTCCAAGTGGGGAAAGGTCGGTGTTGTGGGAGGGGAGGCAGTCAACTCTAGCAACTTAGGGCTCTGGTGGAAGGAAAGAGGGAAATGAATTTTCGGTAGTGCATAAGGGTTCTCCAGAGAAACAGAACTAATAAGATATCTATATAAAGGAATGTATTATAAAGAATTAGCTCATGCAGTTAGGGAGACTGAGAAGCCCTAAGATAGTGTAGTCTGCCCGCGGGAGGCCCAGGAGAACTGATCGTATAGATTCAGTCCCAGTCCACCTCTGAAGGCAGAAGACCAATGTGCTGGCTTAAGGCTCAAAGACAGGCAGAAGTTTTTTATTTTATTTTATATTTTATTATTTATGTTATGTTATGTTATGTTATGTTATGTTATGTTATGTTATTTTTTATTTTTGAGATGGAGTCTCGCTCTGTTGCCCAGGCTGTAGTGCAGGGGCCCAATCTTGGCTCTCTGCAACCTCCGACCTCTGGGTTCAAGAAATTCTTGTGCTTCAGCCTACTGAGTAGCTGGGATTACAGGCACCCGCCACCATGCTTGGCTTTTTTTTTTTTTTTTTTTTTTTTTTTTGAGACGGCGTCTCACTCTGTCACCTAGGCTGGAGCACAGGGGCACAATCTCAGCTCACTGCAACCTCCGCCTCCTGGGTTCAAGCGATTCTCCTGCCTCAGCCTCCTGAGTAGCTGGGATTACAGGCGCACACCACCACGCCCAGCTAATTTTTGTATTTTTAGTAGAGACGGGGTTTCACCATGTTCGTCAGGCTGGTCTCGAACTCCTGACCTCATGATCCACCCGCCTAGGCCTCCCAAAGTGCTGGGATTACAGGCGTGAGCCACCGCGCTCAGCTCATGCTCGGCTAATTTTTGTATTTTTAGTAGAGATGGTGTTTCACCGTGTTGACCAGGCTGGTCTCGAACTCCTGACCTTAAGTGATCTGCCTGCCTTGTCATCCCAAAGTGCTGGGATTACAGGCGTAAGCCACCGTGCCCAGCCAATAAGTTCTCTTTTATTCAGGTTTTTTATCCTAA
Organism: Homo sapiens; assembly: GCF_000001405.40. Taxonomy (NCBI): domain Eukaryota; kingdom Metazoa; phylum Chordata; class Mammalia; order Primates; family Hominidae; genus Homo; species Homo sapiens. The sequence goes on along the minus strand of NC_000007.14, from coordinate 98,513,248 downwards.
TGAGGTCTTCAATTGATTGGATGAGGTCCACCCACATAAGGGGGAGGCAATCTGCCTTACTCCAGCCTACTGACTTAAACGTTAATCTCATCCAAAAACACTCTTAGAGACAAACCCAGGATGATGCTTGACCAAATGTCTAGGCACTCTGTGGCTCAGTCAAGTTGACACATAAACTTAACCATCAGGTTAAAAGCTGTGGTTCATGCCTGTGATCCCAGCATTTTGGGAGGTCGAGGCAGGAGGATTGCTTGAGGCCAATGTTTGAGACCAATCTGGGCAACATAGCAAGACTCCACCTCCACAAAAAATTTTTTTTAATTAGCCTGGCGTGGTGTCCCATACCTCAGGAGGCTGACGTGGGAGGATCACTTGAGCCCAGGAGTTCAGGCTGCAGTGAACTACGATCACACCATTGCACTCCAGCCTAGGCAACAGAGTGAGACCATGTTTCTAAAAAAAATAAAAAATAAAATAACCATCACAGGTAGGCACCAACAATGTACACCACAACTGTAGTGTCTGTGCCCGGGGTCTGCATGCCAGTGCCCTGGAAGCCATGGCCTCCCTGAGGCCAAGCACCGCTGGATCTACCTCTGCATCTATCAACAGAGTCCAGGGCCACTCTGCCCACCTTTGGGGCTTCACTGAGGTTCTTCTGAAAACGCCTCTCCACATCACAACTCCAACGGCTGTTGAAGGACACAGATACTGCAGTTCCCTCTCTGGGACCCCTCCTCGGTATTCTCTTCTTCCCATCTTTCTCCAGTCACTGCTACACAAATCACCTCCTTCCTCTTTCAGCCCCACCAAGAAAAGCCTCTATTCTAATCAATTCCTAAAAACAGATTAGTCATAATTGTATGAAGAGGGTAAACATTTTCCCTTCACGCTACAATTTTCCAAAGGGGACATGTTTTGAAAGTGTCATAAATGTATCAAACCATCAAATGTGTTAATGCATGAAGTCAGCTTGATAAATTGGCACAGTTAAGTCATGGTGGTGTGTGCTTTATGACAAGGTAAAAATTGCCCCATTTTCATCAAGATCAAAAATAAAAACCAATGACTATGATAATGAGTAGTCTGTGTTTCACCCATTCTCCAAACTGGAGCCTGGAAATGCCCTCTCACCAGCCCTGTGCCTGTCACAGGGTTCAGACAGGGAAACAGAGGCCCTGTGAGGACCGAGGGATGAGATTATACACACGTGCACGCACACACACACACACACATATATGCATGTATATATGTGTGTATACGTATGCATATATATGCATATATGTGTGTATATATGTATTCCAAAAATGAGGGAGAGGAAATTTAGGGAAACAGTCCACAAAAGGACTCTCACTTCTGACACCCCCAGCAAGTTCAGGGGGTCTCCAAGACCACCTTTATGTTTGATAATTTGCTAGAAGGACTCACAGAACTCAGAAGGGCATCCTACTCACACTTACAGCTTATTACAGCAAAAGGACACAGATTAAAATCAGCTCAGGGAAGAGGCACGTGCGGCAGAGTCCAGGGGGGCTCCACACATGGATCTCCCAGTTGTCCCCTCCCAGTGGAGTTGCGGGCAGCGCTGACATCTCCCAGCAATGAGGTCTGACAATGCACACAGATACGTTTCTCACTTGACATTTGGACAACAAGGATGTGTGGCGTTGGCAAGAAGGGCTGCTCACAAGATGAGTTCTGTTTCCTACCTTCACTCTCACTTCCTCTGATGGATTTCTCCTGCGGAACATGCCAAAGACAGCGCGCTCTCATGCCATGTCCAAGAGGTATCCTGAGCTGGCTTCTCCTGGGCTTCTCTCTTCCTCCCTGGGCCACCTTGCCTCCCTTGTGGCCATCTGCACACCACCCCAGGAAAGGCTCTTCCGCTTAGGGGTGGCACCTGGACACATGCCACCCAGGCTCGAAGGGGGAGCAGGCAGCCTCCCAGACCAAGCTCCACATGTGCAGGTGGCTGTATGTGCTGCAAAGAAACATGGAGATGTCAATGAAAAAGCAAAGAACCACTGACATCTCTCTTCCTTGCCACCTCAGGTCTCCCCACAACAGTCAGGAATAAGACTTGCCTCCTTCAACCACCTTCTGAATCTCCCCTTTATAAAACATGATATTTAAGATTGTTTAATTTTTAAAGAAAATTGGCCAGGCGTGGTGGCTTATGCCTATAATTCCAGCACTTTGGGAGGCTGAGTCAGGAGGATCACTTGAGCCCAAGAGTTTGAGACCAGCCTGGGCAACTTAGTGAGACCCTGTCTCTATTTAAAAGAAAAAAAAAAAAAAGAAAAAGAAAATTCAAAATGAGCCATAATCTCTCCACCTAGATAATTCCTACTGACATTCTGAAATAATAAAATATATATGTATGTGTGCCTATATATATTCATATTATATAGTCATATGTTGAATATATATTTATATGTTGAATATATAGTATATGAATATATATTTATATCACATATTCATATATATTCATATCGTGTATATTCATATGTTGAATATATATAGTATATGAATATATATTTATATCACATATTCATATATATTCATATTATATATTCATATCATGTATATTCATATGTTGAAAATATGTGTATATATATATATATATAAGCACACACACATATACATATATATGTAAAATTAGAAACAGATCAAAAGTTTAGAGGGGCCTGGGTGGGTATTTCATGCCTGTAATCCCAGCACTTTGGGAGGCTGAGGCAGGCAGATCACTTGAGGTTAGGAGTTCGAGACCAGCCTGGCCAACATGGTGAAACCCAGTCTCTACTAAAAATACGAAAATTAGCCGGGTGTGGTGGTGCACACCTGTAATCCCAGCTACTCAGGAGGCTGAGGCACAAGAATCACTTGAACCTGGGAGGTGGAGGTTGTGGTGAGCTGAGATCACACCACTGCACTCCAGCCTGGGCAACAGAGCAAAACTCCATCTCAAAAAAAAAAAGTTTAGAGGGGTATTATATTAGTCATCTACTAGAGTAATCATGCTGCATCCCAAAGAACCCCCAAATCTTAGTGGCTTTCAGTGACAAATACATTTTTCACTTACAGGTCTGCAAGTGGCTGGAACAGCTCTGCTTCAGTCTGTGGGTCTCCACATCGTCCCCAGTCTAGGACCAGTGATAACGTAGAGCATGTTCTCCTAAGGCCATTGGCAGAAACACAAGAAGCCAGAAAAAACCACAAAAGCACGTTGAAAGCCTCTGTTTGCACAACACTCTCTCACATTCTATTGCTGAAAGCAAATCACGTAACCAAACCCAAGGAGAGACGTCTACTTCATGCCCATTAGGAAGAGGAAGGGGAGCAGATAACTATTGAAAAATGGCTCAGCCTACCACAGATTTCTACAAAGTAAAGAAATTAAGTACACACGCCAGGCACGGTTCACACCTGTAATCCTAACATTTTGCGAGGCTGAGGCAGAAGGATTGCTTAAAGCCAGGAGTTTGAGACCAGCCTGGGCAACATAGCAAGACCCTCATCTCTACAAAAAATAAAATAAATATAAAGAGAAATGAAGTAAACACTTCCCTCCCCACTCCCATACAGAAATATACACATACACACATGTATAAAACAAATATTCACATTTATGTGGATATATTTTTAAATACAAAAAGGAGTCCTATCACACACATGCTATTTGTTTCTTTTTGAAAGCTTTGCACATATAATTTTTCTGTTGCTTTATCTAATAAACACTTACATAGGACTTCTTATGTGTCACACACCATTTTAAGAGCTTTACAAATATAACCCATTTATTGGCACAAAAAGATCCTGGGGCGGCCGGGAGGGATGGCTCCTGCCTGTAATCTCAGTACTTTGGAAGGCCATGACGGGCAGATCACGAGGTCAGGAAATCGAGACCATCCTGGCTAACACGGTGAAACCCCATCTCTACTAAAAATACAAAAAATTAGCTAGGCATGGTGGTGGGTGCCTGTAGTCCCAGCTACTCGGGAGGCTGAGGCAGGAGAATGGTGTGAACTCGGGAGGCAGAGGTTGCAGTGAGCCGAGATCGCGCCACTGCACTCCAGCCTGGGGAACAGAGCATCTCAAAACAAAACAAACAAAGATCCTGGGGCATGTATCTTGAGAATAGGTTTTTAGCATAACTTTACTGCTGAGAATATTTTTAATTTTCATGATTATTTCCTAGTTGTCTTCCAGAAAGAGTGCACTGATTTACACTCCCACTAGCACATAGGAAAGTATCTACTCCTCCATCCTCACCAGCCCTGTGGCATCACAGTTTTCCATTTTTGTTAACCTGATAAATGAACAACAAATTTCACTGTTGTTTGTTTTACATTTCTTTCTTTAAGAATGAGGCTGGGCAGCTTTCCCACATTTAATGGCCATTTGTGTTTATTTTACTATAAATTGACCATTCACATCCTTTGCCTACTTTTCTATTGTTTTATTTTCTTATTGACTTATGCAAATTCTTTATAAAGCAGAGAAACTGGCCTGTCCCATTCATCTGCCACATATGTTGCAAATATGTTTTCCCAGTGTTTCATTGTTCTTGACTTTATGTTATAGTCTTCTCTGCCAAATGGAAGTTTTAGAATTTTCTGTAGTCAAATTTATCAATTCTTTCCTTTTTGAGTTCTAGGTTTTGTATTTTATTTCACTCACACTTGCTTCTATAATTTTATTTTCTTTTTAAACGTTTTATTCTGAAACAATTATAGATTTATAGAACGTTATCAAGATAGGACAGAGAGGTTGTACATAATCCCCACCCGCTTTCTCCCAGTGGTTACAGATTACATAGCTTTAGAAATTGACGTTGGTACAATGTGTACTTGTAGTTCTACGTAATTTTATCACTTGTGTGGATTCGTGTAACCACCACTGCAATCAAGATACAGAACTGTATATCATCACAAAGATCTCCCTCATGCTATCTCTTTATAGACACACTCATACTCTTTCCCTCCACCACCTCTACCCCCAGGCTAATTTGTTTTTCATCTCTATAATTTTGTCATTTTGAGAATTTTATATAAGTGGAATCCTACACTCAGTGACCTTTTGGGATTGGCTTTTCTGAATCATCATAATGCCCTTGAGACCCATCTAAGTTGTTGCCCATATCAATAGTTCATTCCTTTTTACTGCTAAGTAGTATTTCATGGATGCTCCACAGTTTGTTAAACCATTCACCAATTGTAGGATTATTCCAGTTTTTGCTGTTACAAATAAAGCTGCTATGAATAATCCATTTTTGCATGGATATAAGTTTTCATTTCTCTAGGATAAACATCCAAGAGTGCAATTGCTACACCATATGGTAAGTGTTTCTTAAATTTTTAAAAAACTGCTAAATTATTTTCCATAGTGGCTGTTTTTGAATTTGCTATGCTAATGTCTCTCTTTTAACTGGTATACTTAGGCCATTTACATTTAATGTAATTATTAATTTGTTAGGGCTTAAGCCTGACATTTTATTTTTTGTTTTCTTTTTTATGTCATTTCTCTGTTTTCTTTTTTCTGCCTTCCTGTGGTTTACTTGAACATTTGTTTAGAATTCTGTTCTTATTTATGGTTTTAATGTATCTCTTTGCATACTTTTTAAGGTTACCTTAGATATTTTACTATGTATACATAATGAATCATAGTCTACTAGTGTCAGCATTTAATCAGTTTGAAGGTAATGCAGAAACTTTACTTCCCTTTACACTTTCCCATTTATAATTTAATTGTCTTAAATATTTCCTCTACATAAATTGAGTACTTCATCAATGTTATACCTTTTACTTAACCATCAGACATAACTTAGAACACTGAAGAATACAAGGAAGGCATATTGTATTTACCCATATTTTTAGCCTTTCTTTCTTTCTTTCTTTTTTCTTGGTATTCCAAGATTCATTCTTTATCATTTTCTTTTTTCTGAGACAGGATCTTGCTCTGTCACCCAGGCTGGAGTGCAGTGGTGTGATCACGGCTCACCTCAGCCTCAACCTCCTGGACTCAAGCAATCCTCCCACCTTAGCCTCCTAAGTAGCTGGGACTACCAGTGTGCACCTCCATGCCCAGTTAATTTTTGTATTTTTTTGTAGAGACAGGGCTTTACCAGGTTGCTCAGTCTGGTTCTGAACTCCTGAGCTCAAGCAATCCATCTGCCTTGGCCCTAAAAGTGCTGGGGTTACAGGCATGAGCCACTGCACCCAACTGAGACCTTTCGTTAGCCATTCTTTCAAAGTAGGTTGGCTGGTGACCAAATCTCTTAGTTTCTCTTAATCTGAGGATGTCTTAAATGCCTCTTCATTTCCAAAGGACATTTTTACTTCATGTAGAATTCTGGGCTGACGATTCTTTTCTGTAAGCATTTGAAAACTGTTGTGCTTCTTCTTTTATGGCCTTTATGGTTTCAAATGAGAAATCTGCTATAATTCGAATTATTTTTTCATATAGATGAAGTGTTATTTTCTCTCATTGTGTTCCAGATGTTTTTTAGAAATCTGATTATGATGTGTCTTGGAATATATTTCTTTGCATTTTCCTGATGGGGTTTGTTTACCAAGCTTCTTCAACCTGCAGGTTTATGTCTTCCATCACATTAGGTGGGGGTGGGGGGGTTCAGCCATTCTTTCTTTGAAGAGTTTTTAGCCCCAACCTCTTTCTACTCTCCTTTCGGGACTTCTATGACATTAATGTTAGATCTTTTATTATTATCCTATGGATCCTTGAGGCTTTATACAAGCCCATTTTCTCCCTGTGGTTCAGCTTGGGTAATTTCTATTATTCTTTTATCAAGTTTGCCACTTGTTTCCTCTGTCCCATCATTCTGTGGTCAAGCTCATTCACTGAGGCTTCATTTTGATTACTGTATTTTTCAGTTCTAAAATTTCCATTTGGGGCCAGATGAAGTGTCTCACGCCTGTAATCCCAGCACTTTGGAGGGCCAAGGCAGGTGGGATCACCTGAGGTCAGGAGTTCGAGACTACCCGGGGCCACATGGCGAAACCCCTGTCTCTACTAAAAATACAAAAATTAGCCAGGCATGGTGGCTCGTGACTGTAGTCCCAGCTACTCAGGAGGCTGAGGCAGGAGAATTGCTTGAACCCAGGAGGTGGAGGTTGCAGTGAGCTGAGATCGTGCCACTGCACTCCAGCCTGGGCAACAGAGCCAGACTCCGTCTCAAAAACCAAAAAGTAAAAATAAAAATAAAAAATAAAAATAAAATTTCCATTTGTTGTTTTTCATATCTTCTATTTCATATCTTCTATTTCTTTGCCAGGACTTCCTATTCCTTTGCTGAGACAGTCTACATTTTCATTTGTTTCAAGTGGGTTCACAATTATGGAAGCATTTTTATGACAGCAGCTTTAAAATCCATTTCAGATAATTTTAACATCTGTGCCATCTCAGTGTTGGTGTCTGTTGATTGCTTTGTCTCATTCGAGTTGAGATATTTCTCGATTTTGGTATAATGAGTGATTTCTTAAGTTGAAATCACTCTTATAATATGTTACAAGACTGTGGATCTTATTTAAACCCTCTGTTTTACCAGAACTCCTTCGAATCACTCCAACAGGGAGGAGAAGGGGTGCCTCATTATCACTGGGTGGGGGTGTCAGTCTAGGTTCCACAAGGGTGTCCACCAAACCTGCAGAGGGAGCGGCTTTCATGAGCACCCAGCAGGAATGCAAGTATCAGTCCTCACTGGAGGCTTCCCTGCCACCACCTCAGTGAAGGGCTGGATTAGGGTGCCTCATTACAACCAAAAAAGGTGACAGTCTGAGATCTACCCTTGGCCTTTGCTGGCAGGAGTGGGCATAGGTTCTCAGTGCTTTCAGCCTTATTTGGCTGGAGTGCAGAGGTTATTGCCTAAAGTTTGGGGATTTTTTTTGAGTGAGAGTCTCACTCTGTCACTCAGACTGGAGTACAGTGGCATGATCATGGCTTACTGCAGCCTCAATCTCCCCAGGCTCAGGTGATCCTCCCACCTCAGCCTCCCAAGTAGCTGGAACTACAGGTTTGCACCACCATGTCCAGCTAATTTTTGTATTTTTCGTAGAGACGAGGTCTCGCTGTGTTGCCCAGGCTGGTCTTGAATGCCTGGGATCAAGCGATCCACCTGCCTCCACCTCCCAAAGTGCTGGAATTACAGGTGGGAGCCACCACCTCTAGCCCAAAGTTTTTTTTTTAATCTCATGAGGCTGTCCCTTTCCTGGCCCTTTCCTCTAGTCATTTGGCTTAAAAAAGCAGGCTTTTTTTGGAGTGTTTAAAAAAAAAAACCTGTACCTGTTGGCATTTCTAGGCTGCCAACTTCTTCAGAACGCAGTCTGGGATATATGAGACAAGAAGAAAACCCAGGGACCTCACTGCCAGGCCATTCCTTGAGTTCTGAACTCCCAGCCCATCTGCCTTCTCTCCCCACCATTCAGAGTCTTCATCTGTTTGTTTTACATCCAATATTCAAAGGTTTTAGCTGCAAAGGAGGAATTGTGAAAAGTATGTCTATTCCACCGTCCTGGAAGCTGTGGCTTTGTTTTTTTTTTTTTTTTTTGATAAGACATTTAATTCTCTGATCCATCTAGAATTCATTTTTACATAAGGAGCAACAGAGGGACCCCAGTTCCATGTTTTTCAGACTGTGCTAAGTTATCTCAATACCATGTCTTGGATAATCCCACTTTTTCTCTACTGATTTGAAATGCCAAACATTTTCATGCATATGGGAAACTGTTTCTGAATGTATTGTGTGCTATCAACCTGTGTGCTTCCTTATACCAATTGGTTTATTTGCTGTCTCATCCAATGTATGCAGTTTTCTAGAGCTTGTCTCCTCCTTGTTCTGCCTGGGGGGCCCCAAGAGCCGATTCTGCAGACCCTCTTCCTCACACCCTCTGGGCGTGTCTGTCTTAGTTTCCTGTGACACAAACTAGGTGACTCAGAACAACACCAAACTCAAGCTGTTGCAAGGTTGTTTTCTTCTTGGGGGCTCAGGGGGAAGATCTGCCCCTTGCTTCCTTCCTGGCTTCTTGAGAAAGGGTCTCACTCTTGCTCAGGGTGCAGGTGCAGTACAGTGGTACAATCATGGCTCACTGCAGCCTCACTCTCCCCAGGCTCAGGTGATCCTCCCACTTCAGCCTCTCAAGTAGTTGGAACTACAGGTTCGCACCACCATGCCCAGCTAATGTTTGCATTTTTTGTAGAGATGAGGTCTCGCCATGTTGCCCAGGCTGGTCTTGAATGCCTGGGATCAGGCGATCCGCCTGCCTCTGCCTGCGGCTGCCGGCAATCCTTGCAGGACAGTGGCTTGTGCATACACCACTCTAATCTCTGCCTCTGTCATTGTATGCCTGTCTTCCCTCTGTGTGTCTGTGTGTCCTCCTCTGATGATAAGGACACCAGTTGTGTCAGATCAAAGGCTCCCCTACCACAGTTCGATCTCATTTTACCTTAACTCATTACTTCCATTACTTCTGCAATGACCCTGTTTCCAAATAAAGTCACATTCTGAGGTCCAGGAAGGACATGAATTTTGGGGGGTACACAATTCAACCCAGGACAGACTTCAAAAGGCTGCACTTGGCCAGTCACGATGGCTCGCGCCTGTAATCCCAGCACTTTGGGAGGCCAAGGCAGGCAGATCACCCAAGGTCAGGAGTTCGAGACCAGCCTGGCCAACATAGTGAAACCCCGTCTCTACTAAAAAATACAAAAACTAGCCAGACGTGGTGAGGGGCGCCTGTAATCTCAGCTACTCGGGAGGCTGAGGCAGGAGAACTGCTTGAACCTGGGATGTGGAGGTTGCAGTGAGCCAAGATCGCGCCACTGCACTCCAGCCTGGGCAGCAGAGTGAGATCCATTCTCAAAAAAAAAAAAAAAAAAAAAAAGTCTACGCTTGTCAAGACACTCCCTCCCCACCCTCCCCACAACATTCATTCACCTTCTCCAGCTCCTCAGCATGGGAGCTGACCAGAGCCTCTCTCCTGCCTCCAGGTGTCAATCACTCTGCACACTCCAGGAGCCCATCAACCCAGCTTCCCCAGCCTACTCGCACTCCACCACCTTTTGCATGGGACGTTCTTTTTCCCTTTTCTTTTCTTTCTTTCTTTCTTTTTTTTTTTTTTTTGAGATGGAGAGATGGAGTTTTGCTCTTGTTGCCCAGGCTAGAGTGCAATGGCACAATATCGGCTCACCACAACCTCCGCCTCCCAGGTTCAAGCGATGCTCCTGCCTCAGCCTCCCGTGTAGCTGGGATTACAGGCATGCACCACCATGCCGGCTAATTTTTTATTTTTAGTAGAGACGGGGCTTCTCCATGTTGGTCAGGCTGGTCTCGAACTCCCAACCTCTCAGGTGATCCGCCCGCCTCAGCCTCCCAAAGTGCTGGGATTACAGGTGTGAGCCACCACACCCAGCCTGCATGGGGCCTTCTTAAGAGGGGCAGCCCATCGGGGACTCACTTATGGTGGGAATTCCTTGGTCTGCATCACAGGTCACACTCTGCAGGGGAACAGGGCAAATGGGCACCAGCAGGGGAGGTCATCAGGGTGCCTCTGTCGGGGCAGGTGGGGCTCAGAGCTCTCAGAAGCATTGCACGGGAGGGCAGACATCCAGGAAAATATTTTTCCACCTGACACCTTGTTCAAAAGGCACAGAGTCCAGCCAGGTGCAGTGGCTCACGCCTGTAATCCCAGCACTTTGGGAGGCTGAGACGGGCAGATCATTTGAGATCAGGAGTTCGAGACTAGCCTGGCCAACATGGTGAAACCCCGTCTCTACAAAAATACAAAAATTAGCTGGGCATGGTGGCGGACGCCTGCAATCCTAGCTACTAAGGAGACTGAGGCACAAGAATCACTTGAACTTGGGAACTGGAGGTTGCAGTGAGCCAAGATCACGCCACTGAACTCTAGCCTGGGCAACAAAGCGAGACTCCATCTGAAAAGAAAAAAAAATGCACAGAGTCCTAGCAGAGTTGATAGTCTGTGCTGGAAACCAATTCAATGTCAAGCATATCACATAGAATATCCTTGTTCCTCATTAAAGCCCTGCAAGGGATACATTGTTCCCATTGTACAGGAGAGAAAACTGAGTCTCACAAAGGGTTAAGTAATGTGCCCAGGTCACATACAAGGAAGACACAGACAGGGGTTTGAACCAGCTCTGTCTGGCTTCTCCATCCCCCTTCCAAATGCACTGGGACTCTCTGAGGGCTCAGCCTGGCTATGCTGCTGGGTTTACCCTCTACTATTTATTGCCTGCAAGGCCACCGATATCAACCTTAAAAAAACTTCCTGGCCTGGCACGGTGGTTCATGCCTGTAATCCCAGTGCTTTGGGAGGCCGAGGCAGGAGGACTGCTTGAGGCCAGGAGTTCAAGACCAGGATGGGCAACATAGTGATACCACCCCCCTACAAAAAAAAATTGTTTTAGAAAATTAGACAGGCATGGTGGCACATGCCTGTAGTCCTAGCTACTTGAGAAGTTGAAGTGGGATCACTTAAGGCAGGAGATTGAGACCAACCTGGGCAACATAGTGAGATTCCATCTCTATGGAATATATATATATAAAGTTCCAGGCCAGGCTTGGTGGCTCATGCCTGTAATCCTACCACTTTCAGAGGCCAAGGCAGGTGGATTGCCTGAGCTCAGGAGTTCAGGAGTTCAGGACCAGCCTGGCCAACATAGAGAAACGCTGTGTCCACTAAAAATACAAAAAAAATTAGTCAGGCATGGTCATGTGTGCCTGTAGTCCCAGCTACTCAGGAGACTGAGGCATGACAATCGCTTGAACCAGGAGGCAGAGGTTGCAGTGAGCCAAGATTATGCCATTGCACTCCAGCCTGGGCAACAGAGTAAGACTCTATCTAAAAAAAAAGAAGAAAGAAAGAAAGAAGGAAGAAAGGAAGGAAGGATGGAAGGAAGGAAGGAAGGAAGGAAGGAAGGAAGGAGAGAAAGAAAAGAAAAGAAAAGAAAAGAAAAGAAAAGAAAAGAAAAGAAAAGAAAAGAAAAAAGAAGTTCCTGTCAATGACCTCCATCTTTAGCCAGGAAGAACTCAAAAGTATTGAATGTAATTTGTCCAATCAGCCTCAGGGAAAAGGAGGCTCTCACTACAATGTTACTTTGATGGAAATTTTATGTTCTCCCTTTTGAACTTGGAGAGTGTTGCATTTAAGCTCCTTTGAGGCCCTATGTTGCTGCAAAATCATTAGCACTAGACGGAGACCCAGCTGGGACCTTTCCAACCACCAGCCACAGTTGACAGTGTTTCCATGAATTATGTCATCGTCTTCGCTCTCAGACAGGGAGCGATGCCTCCCCTCCAGCCACCCTCCACCTCTTCCACACGTGACAAGACCTCCCTGGGTCTCATTTAACCCTAGTAAAGACCATGTGCCATGGTGGCTCGTAGGGAGGCTTGGATGTCAGACTCCAGGGTTCAAATCCTCACTCTGTCACTTATCAGTCAAGTGAGCTTGGGTAGGTACATGAGTTTATTTCTTTAAGCCCCAGTTTTATCATTGGTGAAATGGCTTTAGTGTGAGTTGGATACAGCAGTACGTGGAACGTGTTTAGCACAGTGTCCAGCCCATAGAATATTCTTCCTAAATGCAAACTGTCAGTACTGCCATCCCCAGTTATTACTATCATTGCTATTATTCAAGCAGGACTGTGATCTCTCACTGGTCTAAGACACATGAGCCTCTGTCTCCAAAGATCAACCTGGAGCCAGAAATGTTTGCCATAATTCAGGCTGGTGCTGCCGTGAGGAATTGGGTCTTGATTTTTGGCTTACGGGTGGAGCTGTCCAGTAAAAACCATTTGACATTTGTACCATATGCAACACCCACTTGTGCCTGCAGGTGCATATGGCCTTTATTGTATCCCTGATATGGTTCGGCTGTGTCCTCACCCAAATCTTATCTTGAATTGTACTCCCATAATTCCCATGTGTTGTGGGAGGGAGCCAGTGGGACATAATGTGAATCATGGGGGCAGTTTCCCCCATACTGTTCTCGTGGTAGTGAATAAATCTCATGAGATATGACAGTTTTATAAGGGGAAACCCCTTTTGCTTGGCTCTCATTCTCTCTTGTCTGCCGCCATGTAAGATGTGCCTTTTGCCTTCCACCATGCTTATCAGGCCTCCCTAGCCATGTGGAATTGTAAGTCCAATTAAACTTCTTTTTCTTCCCAGTCTCGGTATGTCTTTATCAGCAGCATGAAAATGGACTAATACAATTCCTGAGAAGAAGCCAGGGAGAGCTGTCAGTCACTATGCAGACAAGCGGCAGAGAGGGCAGATCTGGGCTCCAGTCAACTCTGCCTGGATTCCATTCATTCAAGTTCTTTTTTTTTTTTTTTCGAGACAAGGTCTTCCTGTCACCCAGGCTGGAGTGCAGGGGTGCAATCATAGCTCCCTGAAGCCTCAAACTCCTAAGCTCAACTGACCCTCCCCTCAGTCTCCTGAATAGCTGGGACTACAGGTGTGTACCATCATGCCCAGGTAATTTTTTTTTTTTTGAGACAGCATCTCGCTATGTTGCCCAGGCTGGTCTTGAACTCCTGGGCTCAAGTGATCCTCCTACCTCAGCCTCCCAAAGCACTGAGATTACAAGTGTCTGGCCCATCCAAGTTCTGAACTTGGATTTTTCTGCCTTCTGCTCTTCCATGCCTGCATGGGAGAAGGGCTGGGACCCTCCCTGAGGATTTCTTTGTCATAGCTCCTAATTCTTGCTCCAGATGATTCCTGGGGAGATCTTAGGTAGGTTTTGGTTTGGTATTTATTTTATGTATCATTTTTTTTTTTATTTTTTGAGACAGCATCTCACTCTGTTGCCCAGGCTAGAGTGCGGTGGTGCCATCTTGGCTCACTCCAACCTCTGCCTCCCGGGCTCAAGAGATTCTCCTGCCTCAGCCTCCCAAGTAGCTGGGGCTACAGGCGGCCACCACCACGCCTGGCTAATTTTTGTATTTTTAGTAGAGATGGGGTTTCACCATATTGGCCAGGCTGGTCTTGAACTCCTGACCTCAAATGATCTGTCCACCTCGGCCTCCCAAAGTGCTGGGGTTACAGGCATGAGCCACCACGCCTGGCCTGTTTTTTATTTTTTATTTTTTGCTTTTGTCACTTGTGACTGAATTTTGTGAAAAACCTTTGTTTCCCAGTCCAGGGAGAGGGGGAGTTTAGGGCCTCGCCCTGTTGCCCAGGCTGGAATGCAATGGTGCAATCACACCTCACTGCAGCCTTGAACCCCTGGGCTCAAGCAAACCTCCCACCTCAGCCTCTGGAGTAGCTGGTTCTACAGGTGCACGCTACCACATCCCACTAATTTTTTAATTCTTTGTAGAGATGGGGTCTCATTATGTTGCCCAAGCTGGTCTTGAACTCCTGACCTCAAGCAATCCTCTCACCTCAGCCTCAGCTGAATGAGTCTTGCCTTGTTGCTGATGACCTTGACTAGAAGATGTTGCTCTCAGCACACCCCACCTTCCCCAGGCCTGAAGCAGCACCCACATTTCAGGCATTTTCCTGTCCCCAAAAGTTACTCTCCTCCATGTCATCCCCTCCACAGGGGAGTGAAGGATTGATGGCCTGTTGTCAGTCAAGGGCACGGCTCTGGACCTCCAGAGCTGAATTTGGATGTATTCTGGGTCAAACCACAGTTGCCCAAAAGCAATTCATTACTTCATTCTTTCCACCACATTTAAGAGCACCTGCAATGTGCATGATGCATTGGAGATGCAGCTTAGAACAAGATGTGCCCATCCTCCAACCTCATGGAGACAGACAATACACTCCACATGAAGACCAGAAGACCGGGCGCAGTGGCTCACACCTGCAATACCAGCACTTTGGGAGGCCGAGGCAGGCAGACCTCTTGAGGTCAAGAGTTGGAGACCAGCCTGGCCAACATGGTGAAACTTGTCTCTACTAAAAATACAAAAGTTAGCTGAGTGTGGTTGTGCACACCTGTAATCCCAGCTACTCAGGAGGCTGAGGCACAAGAATTGTTTGCACCCGGCAGGCAGAGTTTGCAGTGAGCCAATATCACACCACTGCACTCCAGCCTGGGCAACAGAGCAAGACTCCATCTCAAAAAAGAAAAGAAAAAAAAGACCAGAGAAAATATTAGCATGTGAGGGGCACGTGTGGGGTATTTAAACAAGATGGCATGATGGAAAGTGACCCAATGGCCACTCTAGATTGGGTGATCAGGGAAGGACAACGTTGAGCTGGTATCCATGCCATGAATGGGATGACAAAAGGAGCCAGCTGTGCAAATGCCAAGGAGGCAAACATTCCAGGTGGCAATAAGGACCCGTGCAAAGGTCCTGAGGCAGGAGTGAGCTTCGACATCTTCAGAGAGCAGAGGACCATTGTTGCTGAACCACTGAGCCAGGACAGAGAATTCTGCATGCCATGGGGGACAAGCCAGATTCCAGATGGCAGGAGGTGGGGTTCTAAGATCATGTTCTGACACTTTGAAGTTGAGTCACTTGGGCAAGTCGCTGTCCCTGCAAGCCTCAAGTGGCCCAGTGAGTGCTCTGTTAGCACACTGAAACTGTCCCTATAAACTTTATAAAATTAATCAGGGAAGAATGGAGGGGAAGAAATTAAAATAAACCAAGCTTATAGCACATTCAGCACATTCACTAGGTCTCAGCCTGCTTTCTGACCTGTTTCCACATAGCTGTGCATTGCCTATTGTCCTAGAATTGTGTAGACCCTGTTAGAAAATTATAGGTCCCCTTAACAGCTCTATAGATACCAACTTGAACATTATCAAACATTACGTTTTCCATCTGAGATGTTCTTTCAGGTCCTGCATGCTGACACCAACTGGTCTGAAGGACTGCATGACAAGCTGACTCACCAAAGAATGCAGTTTCCACATCCTGAGGATTTCATCTCCTTTACCCCAATCAATCAATGACGCCAATTTTCCAATCCTTTGCTCTCCATTGTCCCCTTAAAAATCGCAGCCCAGAACTCGGCCAGACTTGGTGGCTCACACCTATAATCCCAACAATTTGGGAGGCTGAAGCAAGAGGATTGCTTGAGTCCAGGAGTTCAAGACCAACCTGGGCAATATAGTGAGGCCCCCATCTCTACCAAAAAAAAAAAAAAATAGCTAGGCATGTTGGCAGGCACCTGTAGTCCCAGCTACTCAGGGAGCTGAGGTGGGAGGATTGCTTGAGCCCAAGAGGTAAAGGCTACAGTGAACTATAATCACACCACTGCACTCCAGTCTGGGTGACAGAGTGAGACCCTGTCTCCAAAAAAAAAAAAAAAAAAAACCCAGGCCAGAACTCCTCAGGAAGATGGATTTGAGGATCTTCTCCCATCTCCTTGCTCAGTGCCCTGCAATCATTAAACTCTTTCTCTGCTGCAAATCCTGCTGTCTCAATGTATTGGCCTATTGTTTTCCAATGGACATACAAACCTGGCGGTCCTATAACAACACTGCCCAGCTGCTCATGTCACTGGGCCTCAGAATTCCCCTAAATTCCACACTGGGTTGACATTTTGGCTTGTTGACAAGGATGAGATATTCACGGACCATTGAGGCCAAGATACATTTCAGCATGCCATACTCTGCAGGGGCCAATGCCCACAAGTTCTTCCCTATACTATAGAGTCATCCAGTGAGTTAGGAATTCTGCCCCTCTCCTTATGGCCAGCTCACACCAGCCCCATCCTGACCGCTACGTTTGCTACTATCACCACAGTAAGGAGAACTAGGCTTGCTGGGCCACAGTTTGTCACTTTTACTAGCAGATTTCAGTTAATTCTGCTCTCCAGCAAGGCTGGCAGAGAGGGCCCTTCTGTCTCAGATATCCCTGTTAATGGAGCATTCATGTGTACCTTGCACAGATCTCCTGTTCTCAGAGAATTATAAAAGAACAAAATGCATTTGGCACTAAAACCTTGGTGACCATAATTTAATCTGGCTCTGATACACACAAAGGCTCACCAGGATTTTTTGTTGCTGGAGGGCCATAGTTATGAGTATGAATTACTATTCCTACCTTAGGTGTGCAGATCTGCTGGTTAATAGAGATTTCTGGTGGGGAAGAAAATGCTCTATCAACCACCTCTTACGACCTGCACTCCTTGCCTGCCTGAAAAGCTATGCGTATGGATGAAGGTGGTTTTTCAGGCCCCACAAATATCTGTCTTAATGAAGATGTACGCTACCCTATTAGCACGCCCTCATTTCCTCCAAAGCTTGCCGCTATGTTTGCAATGGATGGCAGATGTTTGCAGAACTACCAAATGCCTTTACACTGAGTTCCAGTAAGATCTTCCCCTTCATGCTTTCCCTCCACGAAGGCGAGTGATGCTGGAGAATTGGCTACCAGATCATTCTGCCCTTGCCAATCGCAGAACTAACAGAAATATATTCCATCAAGCCCTTGTAATTAGACTCTGTTGCACTGATATTTCAGATGGACACAGTAACGTTCAAAATAAGCCCGGATTCATCTCACAGAGAAAAGAGGATGATGCAATCCAAGACGATTTTCATGTCAGGAAGAGACAGTAAATTTTATTTTTATGATTCCATGTAGATTTATGTTCTTATTACCTATCACACTTGCATATGATAAAAAAAACAAGTGTAAAAGCACCCGTTTGCCTGTTTTCCATACAGGGGATCTCATAAACTGTATCCAGAATGGGATCATTATACTTACACGTTTTACAGTAATGTTTTCTTAACAGCCTAAAGCACTTTCATTCAATATTAATAAAGCAGATGTTCTGGCTGAAAATGACTGGAAATCACATGCCTTTTATATGTTCACGAATGATGGTGCCTTCCTCTGTAATATTCTCCAGGCGGTCAACATCTCCCCAGCCCAGAGGCCCAGCTTCCCATCAGAAACAGAGGCAGATTGATTGCTCCGATCCTGGTCCCTCTCATCTTTTCTTACAGCCATGTAGGTAAATTAGGGAGAATAGAAATCCTACTCTAATAAACCAAGGTCTGAAAGACAAGGAAGTGTGGGAAGAGACATGTTTCTCTCTTATCAGCCCCTCCACTGGAACTAACTTTAATTTTGAACTGGAATACAGAAATAGCCATGGGCAGCTGGGTGCATTGGCTCACACCTGTAATCCCAGCACTCTGGAAGGCCAAGGCAGGTGGCTCACTTGAGGTCAGGAGTTCAAGATCAGCCTGGCCAACACATAGTGAAATCCCATCTCTACTAAAGACACAAAATTAGCTGGGTGTGGTGGCACATGCCTGTAGTCCCAGCTACTTGGGAAGCTGAGGCAGGAGAATCACTTGAACTTGGGAGGCAGAGGTTGCAGTGAGCCGAGATCGCACCACTGCACTCCAGCCTTGGTGACAGAACAAGACTCTGAATAAAAAAAGAAAGAGAGAAAGAGAGAGAGAGAAAGAAAGAAAGAAAGAAAGAAAGAAAGAAAGAAAGAAAGAAAGAAAGAAGAAAGAGGGAGAGAGAGAAGAGAAGAGAAGAGAAGAGAAGAGAAAGAGCCATGGGCCAGCCATGGTGGCTCACGCCTGTAATCCTAGCATTATGGGACGCCAAGCTGGGAGGATCACTTGAGGCCAGGAATTCAAGACCAGCCTAGGCAACATAGCAAGACCCTGTGTCTATAAAATAAAATAAAATAAAATAAAATAAAAAAATTAGGCAAGCATAGTGTCAGGTCCCTGTAGTACCAGTTACTGGGGAGGCTGAGGCAAGAGGATCACTTGAGCCCAAGAGTTCAAGGCTGTAGTGAGTTATGATTGCACCACTGCACTCCAGCCTGGGTGACAGAGCAAGATGCCATCTCTAAAAAAAAAAAAAAGAAAAGAAAGAAAAGCTCAATATATAAAAAACAAATAGCCAAGAAGCTCAACATCACTAATGTCAGTAATGATCACGGAAATGCAAATCAAAACCTCAATGCAATACCACCTTACTCCTGCAAGAATGGTCATAATCAAAAAATAAAAAACAGTAGATGTTGGTGTGGATGTGTTGATCAGGGAACACTTCTACACTGCTGGTGGGAATGTAAACTAGTACAGCCACTATGGAAAACAGTGTGGCGATTCCTTTAAGAACTAACAGCAGAACCACCGTTTGATCCAGCAATCCCACTACTGGGTATCTACCTAGAGGAAAGGAAGTCATTATTCCAAAAAAAATCCTTGCACACGCGTGTTTGTAGCAGCACAATTCACAATTGCAAAATCGTGGAACCAACCCAAATGCCCATCAATCCACAAGTGGATAAAGAAACTGTGCTATATATATGATGGAATACTACTCAGCCATAAAAAGGAATGAATTAACAGCATTTGCAGTGACCTGGATGAGATTGGAGACCATTATTCCAAGTGAAGTAACTCAGGAATGGAAAAGCAAACATCGTATGTTCTCACTGATATGTGGGATCTAAGCTATGAGGATGCAAAGGCGTAAGAATGACACAATGGACTTTGGGGACCTGTGGGGAAGAGTGGGAGGGGTCGAGGAATAAAAGACTACAAATGTGATGCAGCGTGTACTGCTCGGGTGATGGGTGCATCAAAACTCTCACAAATCTTCCCTAAAGAACTTACTCATGTAACCAAATAACCACGTGTACCCCAATAACTTATGGAAAAATAAAATTAAAAATTAAAAAAAAAGAAATACCACGTGACTTTACCACTAAAGCAAATCAGTAGAATTTGTGGGGTGGCAGGAAGTGACAGAGCTGCTCTACTGGGCCCTGGCTGGGAACATGTTGCATCCGCTTTACAAACTTTGCTTTGGTGGCCGCATGACAACGTTCCAATCCAACAATGAGCCTGGACACTCTCCCTCTCCTCATCATAAAAAAAAAAAGCAGCTGGTTAGGTAAATTTCCCCTTGGCAACCCCTTGTTCAGACAGACAGAAGATTTTTGAAATGTGCGGGGATGTTTGCTCCGTAATACCCTGGAGGATTCAACACTTGGCTTGTCTCAGACATGCACTATAAATAAAAATGAAAACCCCGCACCGTTAATGCAGAACCGGGCTGGCTCCCCTGCCTGCCAAAGGCAGACGATCGGCTTATTAGGAATGCCTCCCGTTTGTAAGCCAGGAAAGGAGCGGAAGAGGGAAGCCATGGAGGTTAAAACATACAACCTAATGAATTTATCCGTTGATCGGGCAGCCCTGCAGCAAACACAAAAACACAGGGCGCGGTGGTGAGGTTAAAGGGTTGGATTCTCTCTGGCTTTGAGGAATAGATGCTTGCAACACTGATTAAATGGGGTCCCGGGGCACCCAGCTTTTTCCCTGGGCTTGAGAAACATTATTCTAAAGACCCAGCAGCCCCCTCTGGAAGTGGTTCACGAGGTGTGCAGAATTGATGAATGGTCCGCTGTATTCGCAAGGAGCCACGAGGAAGGCTGATTTTAGCCAGGGGCTGAACTCATCCGAATTTGTCACTCTGCACAAGGACCTCTAATCCACAGGGACTCACATCCCTCCAGTCCATTACCCGGATAACCTGGCCTTGGGCGGACGAATAACTGGAGAATCGATTGTTTTCTTTGACACTGAGCAGGGCTTCAGGGATACCCTTAATGAACGAGGGAATGAGTGAATTAACCCACACAAGGACGCCACGGCTCTCTCGGGCTGGGGTTATAAGTCGATGCTCCAAGCAAAATGTGTGTGTAGTCCAAACCGCCTTGGAGAAATCCCTTACATGGGCCAGAGAGAAGCAGGACAAATGTCACCCTGGCGGGGGTTTCTTGCAGCCACCGTTACAGGCCCCGTCACGGGCTTTACTTCATCACTCAGAAGGGCCGTGACTTGCTCAGCTCCAGCTGCCAAAACAAAATGCCGCAGACTAGGTGGCTTCGACCTGTTAATTTCTTTTTCTTTTTTTCTTTTTTTTTTTTTTTTTTTTTTTTGAGATGGAGTCTTGCTCTGTCGCCCAGGCTGGAGTGCAGTGGCGCGATCTCCGCTCACTGCAAGCTCCGCCTCCCGGGTTCACGCCATTCTCCTGCCTCAGCCTCCCGAGTAGCTGGGACTACAGGCGCCTGCAACCACGCCCGGCTAATTTTTTGTATTTTTAGTAGAGACCGTGTTTCACCGTGTTAGCCAGGACGATCTCGATCTCCTGACCTCGTGATCCGCCCACCTGGGCCTCCCAAAGTGCTGGGATTACAGGCGTGAGCCACCGCGCCCGGCCCTGTTAATTTCTTACAGTTCTGGAAGCTGGAAGTTCTAGCGAGCTCCCTCTTCCTGGCTTGTAGATGGTGACTTCTCATTGTATCCTTACACTTGATCTTAGCCAAAAGGTCAAGAAGCGATATCACTGTATCGTTGCAATGTAAGAAAGAGAGCAAGTTCCTGGTGCCTCTTCTCATAAGGGCGCTACTCCCCTTCATGAGGGCTCTACCCTCATGACTTAATCACCTCCCAGGGGCCCCACCTCCTAGTACCACCCCATTGGGACTTAGGGCTTCAACACATAAATTTGGAGGGGACATAGACATTTAGCCCAGAGCAGACTGGCTTTCCATCCCTGGTGGGACCATCCTGTTTCCCCAGCTACACCCAGACAGATGGAGCAGGGGGATGGACTGGCAGGTGCTCAGGTGCCCGGCTGCACAAAGCCATCAGCTTAAACGCCAGAATCCACTCTGCAGCCAGGGGCAAAAACACACTTCCCGCCTCAAGCTGCTGCAGCCTGTGGTCTTGTGTGTTTGCATTAAAATTTTCCTGTCCTCCCCACCCACCCTCCTTTATTTTTATACCAGGCGTGATGATTAAATCCTGGAATTTTAAATGACTACATGAGGACATTGCAAGATAGAGCTGTTTGAAATCCCGACAGCTGTAAGCCCCTTGCCCAGGAATCGATGGCTAGTCCAGGCCCAGGGCACCGGGCACCTGACCATGCTGGTCACAGAGCCTGCCAAGCTGAGAGCCCCCCACTCTCAGCTTCTAGAGTGGAGGGTGTACAAGGTGGTGTCAGGAATCCTAAGGCATTTCAAGGAAGTGGCAGAAAATGATACTTGCAATCAAAATGCAAGAATGTTCCACCCGATGAATAATGGAGTGGTCTTCAATAATCTATTGGCTTATATTAAAAATTCCAAAATGATATAAAATATGAAAATCACGGGAAATGATAACACTATATTTTGGGGAAATGGAAGCTCGCCTCTAGACCTCCACCGGCTCAGCTATGCACACACTAGCTTCTCCACCCACAGCTCCCTGCCTGACTCCACCTCCCTCCCCCGCCACCACCCCATTTCTTTGTCCCGATTCCTCTCTTTCTCCTTCCTTTTTTTTTTTTCTTTTTTTTTTCTTTTTTGACTGAGTTTTTCTCTTGTCACCTAGGCTGGAGTGCAGTGGCGCTATTTCGGCTCACTGCAACCTCCATCTCCTGGGTTCAAGCGATTCTTCTGCCTCACCCTCCCAAGTAGCTGGGATTACAGGCGCCTGCCACCACACCCAGCTAATTTTTTGTATTTTTAGTAGAGATGGGGTTTCACCATGTTGGGCAGCCTGGTCTCGAACTCCTGACCTCAGGTGATCTGCCCATCTCCAGCCTCCCAAAGTGCTGGGATTACAGGCATGAGCCACTGCACCCAGCCCCTCCCTCCTCTTAAAGAGTCAGGCTTGGCCAGGCACGGTGGTTCACATCTATAATCCCAGCTCTTTGCTGGTCGCTGGCAACCTCGGGCTTGCAGTGGTATCCTTCCAATCTCTGCCTGTCTTCAAAGACCCCGTGTGTGTGTGTGCGTGTGTGTGTGTGTGTGTGTGTGTGTGTGTGTGTGTGTGTGTATGTGGTCTTTTCTGCCTTTTTTTTTTTTTGAGACGGAATCTCGCTCTGTCACCCAGGCTGGAGTGCAGTGGCACAATCTCTGCTCACTGCAACCTCCGCCTCCCAGGTTCAAGCGATTCTTCTGCCTCAGCCTCCAGAGTAGCTGGGACTACAGCCACGCGCCACCACATCCAACTAATTTTTGTATTTTTAGTAGAGACAGGGTTTCACCATATTGGCCAGGCTGGTCTCGAACTCCTGACCTCGTGATCCACCCGCCTCGGTCTCCCAAAGTGCTGGGATTACAGGCATGAGCCACTGCACCCAGCCTTTTCTGCCTCTTATAAGGACATACATCATTGGATCATTGGATTTAGGGCCAACCCTAAATCCAGGATGATTTCATCTTGAGATTCTTTTTTTTTTTTTTTTTTTGAGATGGGGTTTCACTCTTGTTGCCAGGTCTGGAGTGCAATGGTGTAATCTCAGCTCACTGTAACCTCTGCCTCCCAGGTTCAAGCCATTCTGCTGCCTCAGCCTCCCAAGTAGCTGGGATTCCAGGCGCCCACCACCACATCAGCTAATTTTTGTATTTTTAGTAGAGATGGGGTTTCTCCATGTTGGCCAGGCCAGTTTTGAACTCCTGACCTCAGGTGACCACCTGCCTCGGCCTCCCAAGGTGCTAGCTTTACAGGCATGAGCCACTGCGCCCAGCTTGAGATTCTGACCTTACTTAATTGCATCTGCCAAGAGCCTATTTCCAAATGAGGTCACATTCATATGTATTATGGGTTAGGCCCTGGATATGTCTTTTGGGGGACCACTAGTCAACCTACTCCATCCACTACAAATGGCATCATTCCACTGGCCAGGGTCCCCAAGCTGCTGAGTCCAGTATTGATTCTCCATTCTCATCGTGTCTAGCCCATCATCAACATCCCTCTTCTGGGTGCTTCTTCTCTTGGCCTCCAGGACCCTACCCTCTCCCCTGGTTCTCCTCCTAGCTCCCTGGAGGCCACTTCTCAGTCTCTGCTGGTTCCTCCTCCTCTCCCCAATGTGTTCACATTGGAAGGTCCCAGGCTCAGCTGTTGCTATTTTTTTTTTTCCAGAAACAGGGTCTTTTGCTATCACCCAGGCTGGAGTGCAGTGGTGCAATCATAGCTCACTGCAGCCTCGAACTCTGAGCTCAAACAATCCTCCTACCTCAGCCTCCCAAGTAGCTGGGACCACAGGTGCGTGCCACCACGCCCAGCTAATTTTAAATTGTTTTGTAAAGATGGAGTCTTGCTATGTTGCCCAAAGTTAATCACAATCCTTCATTTGTGTTCAATCATTCCTCCGCTTTTCGTTTTCTTTTTTTTTCTTTTTTTGGAGAGACGCGGTCTCGCTCTGTCACTTAGGCTGGAGTGCAGGGGCACCATCATAGCTCACTGCAGCCTCCAACTCCCTGGCTGAAGCAATCTTCTCATCTCAGCCTCCAGAGTAGCTGGGACCACAGACATGTGCCACCATGCCCAGCTAGGTTTTTTTTTGTTTTTTTTGTTTGTTTGTTTGTTTGTTTGCTTGCTTACTTTTTGTTTTGCATATACAGATGGTGTCTCGCTATGTTGCCCAGGCCGGTCTCGAACTCCTGAGCTCAAGCTATCCTCCTACCTTGGCCTCCCAAAATGCTGGATTACAGGTGTGAGCCACCGCATTCAAACTCTGCTTCTCTTTAATGTTTTCCTCAAATATATGTATCCCTAAATCCATATATTACGCATATACATAATACATACACAGATACATGCATAATATATATGATAAACGTTTTTTTCATTCACATTTTCAAAAAATATGTTTATGTGCATAGAAGTGCTGACAGTAGTCATCTCCAAATTACAGGGACTTTTAATTTTCTCTTCGTTCTTTTCTGTATTTTCCAAAGCTTTTGTGATAAACACAGATTACTTTTGCAGTCAGACAGTGATGAAATGCATGCCCAGAGATATCTAAATGGCCTCATTGCAAAACAGGAGGCACGTTTGTTTGTGAGGCAAATAAATGTCACCACTTCTGTCCTTATGTCCCTCTATGGCTTACCCTCAAGAACAGGTTCAGATTTGTTTAACGGGGCAGAGGAGCAAATATTGCGTACATGAATCTCGAGAACGACGTGCTGATAGTGGCTGGCTGGGTGAGCTGCAATGGGGCCTTCAACATCCTGCTCCCCAGGAGGGGACCCCCCCAGGTTCTGCTGCTGCTCCTGCCTGTGATTTGCAAAGCTGATCTGCATCCTGTATGGTCTCCAGTCTTATTACAGTGATTTATCTCTTCTATTATTAAAGACACTGACAGTCCTATTTTTTTCCCTCTTGCGACTGTCAGGGACACCCATCCACTGAGGCTGAGGATTGTGCAGGGTGGTGGGCTGGGAGGCTGCACTGGGGAAATCACACCTGTAATCCCAGCACTTCAGGAGGCTGAGGTGGGAGGATCTCTTGAAGCCAGGAGTTCAAGACCAGCCTGGGCAATAGAGTGAGACCCTGCCTCTACAAAAACAGACAAACAAAACAAAACAAAAACAACTTTGTGGGAAGACAGGAGACTATGATGGGGGAGGGAGAGACACACAGGACGTCAAATGAACAGGCTGTGTTCTCATTTCAAGCTGGGTGGTGGGCATGTGTGTTGGTCAGGCTGGTCTCGAACTCCTGACCTCAGGTGATCCACCCACCTTGGCCTCCCAAAGTGCTGGGATTACAGGTGTGGGCCACCACATCTGGCCCTTTGCTTCTTTCTTGTTTGTTTAGAGACAAGGTCTCACTTTGTTGCCCAGGCTGGAGTGCAGTGGTGCAATCATAGCTTAATGCAGCCTCCAACTCCTGGGCTCAAGCTATCCTCCTGCCTCAGTCTCTCCTGAGTAGCTAGGACCACAGGCATGCCCCACTATGGCTGGCTAATTTTCTTATTTTTTGTAGAGATGGAGTCTCTACTAAAAATACTAAAAAGGAAAAAGAAAAATTAGCCAGGCATGGTGGCACACGCTTGTAATTCCAGCTACTCGGGAGGCTGAGGCACAAGAATTGTTCGAACCTGGAAGGTGGAGGTTGCAGTGAAGCACAATCATGCCACTGAACTCCAGCCTGGGCGACAGAGTCTCTCTCTCTCTCTCTCTCTCTCTCTCTCTCTCTCTCTCTCTCTCTCTATATATATATATATATATAGTAGTGGAGAGACATTGGATTTTTCTCTAGGAGTTTCTCCTGCTCCCACCCTACAGCCATCACCCTCCCAATTTTGCACATGCACACGTATTTGCACACCCAGAGACACAGGAAGGTACACACACAGATACACATGTGAACACACACATGCTCATGCACACATACCTGCACCTATGCATGCACACACAGATACACGTGTGTACACACATGCTTATGCACATATACATGTACCTATGCATGCACACACAGACACAAGTGTGCACACACACGCTCATGCACACATACGTGTACCTATGCATGCACCCAGATACATGTGTGCACACACACGCTCATGCACACATATGTGTACCTACGC
This sequence comes from Homo sapiens, assembly GCF_000001405.40. Classification (NCBI taxonomy): domain Eukaryota; kingdom Metazoa; phylum Chordata; class Mammalia; order Primates; family Hominidae; genus Homo; species Homo sapiens. The sequence goes on along the minus strand of NC_000007.14, from coordinate 98,486,893 downwards.
ATGCACCCACAGATACACGTGTGCACACACACGCTTATGCACACATACATGTACATACACACGCACCCACAGATACACATGTGCACACACACGCTCATGCACACATACATGTACCTACGCATGCACACACAGATACACGTGTGCGCCCCCATACGACACACGCACATGTGCACAGAGACGTGCATGCACACCAACACACACACTCACACACACGGCAGCCTGTGCTCTGAAACGCTACTTCCCTGCATCTTCCCTCTGTCTCTTCTCCTCATCGGCCCTTGCCCATCCTGGGCCCCAGTTCCTCAGCATCTCCCAGGGTGAAATCCCTGAGACACCATATCAGATTCTCCTGAGGACCTCAGATTAGAAGGGAATCAAGAGAAATAACCACAAATGCATGTGGTCTGGGTGAGATCCTGGAACAGAAAATGAACATTAGCATAGAAAATCGTGCAATGCAAATACGATCTGTCTTTTAGTTAACAGCATTGCAGTGTGTTAATTTCCTGGGTCTGATCATTACACAGTGGTTATGTCTGATGTCAGCTAGAGGTGAAGCTGGGTGAGGGGGGACATGGGAACTCTCTGTACCATTTTTACAGCTTTTCTGTATATTTCAAGTGAACTCAAAATAAAAAGTGTTTTTTAAATCACCTTGGAAGTTTTTTGAATCAAAGTTCCCGGGCCCAGTGCAGACCCAGGAAATGAGAAACTCTAGGGGTGGGCTCCAAGTAGCTACATTTTTTTTTAGACTGTATCTCCAAATGGAGTCATGTTCTGAGGTTGTGGCAGTTGGGACTTCAGCAGATGGGCTTTGAAGGGACACAGTTTAGCCCCTAACAGTCTAACATACTGATTCCCTGTAAACCCTCTGGCCATTCTCCCAGGACACACGTGCTCTGCTCTGGACACAGTGCCAGGGCTGTATCACCTGTGAACCACACAGGCTCTGCAGAAGGGCAGCAGCACAGAACCCCACTTCCACTCCCATTCCCTTCCCCTAGTTAGGGTTTGAGGATGGCTGACAGATCCACCCTTGGGCCAGCCTAGCATTAGGGACCCAGGAAGGACCAGCCTTTGAGGCCAGGAGCACAGCAGAAGGCAGGACAGAATGGAGATGAGAAGGCTGTAGGCACTCGGAGTCCAGGCCACGAGCCACCCACTCCATGTAGCTACATTTTTAACAAGGATCCAAGGAGTCCTTCCTTTCCGTGAAGGCTGAAAACCACCTTTTGGGTGCTCACCTATATGAATCAAGCAAGGCTGCAGGCACTAGCCCAGCATGGCCAATGGAACTTGCTTTTTTCTTTCTTTCTTTTCTTGTTTAGAGACAGGGTCTCGCTCTGTCACCCAGGCTGGAGTGCAGTGGTGCAATCACAGCTCACTGCAGCAGCCTTGACCTCCTGCGCTCAAGCGACCTCCCCACCTCAGCCTCCCGAGTAGCTGGACTGCAGGCAAGCACCACCATGCCCGGCTAATTTTGAACTTTCTATAAGGATGGAAATGTTCTATATTTGTGCTGTCCAATACAGCAGCCACCTGTGGCCACTAAGCACTGGAAATAGGGCTAATGTGACTGAGGAACTGCATCTTAAATTTTATTTAACTTTGGCCGGGCGCAGTGGCTCACGGCTGTAATCCCAGCACTTTGGGAGGCCAAGGCAGGTGGATCACCTGAGGTTAGGAGTTTGAGACGAACCTGGCCAACATGGCAAAACTCTGTCTCTACTAAAAATTTAAAAAAATTAGCCAGGCGTGGTGGCAGGCACCTATAATCCCAGCTACTTGGGAGGCTGAGGCACAAGAATCGCTTGAACCCGGGAGGCAGAGGTTGCAGTGAGCCGAGATCATGCCACTGCACTCCAGCCTGGATGACAAAGCAATACTCCATCTCAATAAATAAATAAATAAATAAATAAATAAATAAATAAATAATAAAATATTTTATTTAATTTTAATTTTAAAAGTCACATATGGTCCATGGCAGGCAGATGGGCACGTATCTTCAGCCCTCTCCTCTTCCATCCCATCCCAAACTATTCACAAACCACAGGGTGACATTTTCCCCTCAACACCAGAACTCAAGAGGGTGACCTGTATCCAGGCAGACCACCAGGGGAGGGGAGGGGCTTGCAGGCACCTATTGCAATCAGCCTCCCTCCCCACCCACCAGCCACAAGTGACCCTGGGTGGCAAAAAGGAATCTTCCCCAAAAGTCAGTCCAAAATAAAATAGGTCACAGGCTGGGCACACTAGCTCACACCTGTAATCCTAGCACTTTGGGAAGCCAAGGCGGGAGGATCACTTGAGCCCAGGAGTTCGAGACCAGCCTGGACAATGTACTGAGACCCCCACCCCCATCTCAAAAAATTAAACAAATAGAATAAAACAAAACAGGGCACAGATGCATTGTAATTTGAGTCTCCAAAATCCAAACAGCAAGGTCCTTTGGGGTCAGGTAGGAACGTGTCTCCCCCTCGGTCCAGCCTTGTCTAAGCAGCCACAGCTTACACAGGCCTGCGCTGGGCCACTGTTGCTCTGAAATCCGATTGGAATTTACATATAGAATGGAAATGCCCAAGAGAGGGCTGCTGAAGCCTGCATCAATAATAAATGTGAAGCCACAGACCGCTCTCAGAGGCGTCTTTCCCTTCAAAGCAGACACAGTGTCCAGGATCCTAGACCCCTGAGAGACAGGGACACCCTCTTTTGTCGTCAAGGGCAGGACTGGGGTGGGCCAGGGCCTGAGAGGGGTCACCAGAGCAGGCTTTCTTCCAGCCACGGCCCAGACCTCTGCCCTCCAGGATGGGACGTAGAAGGCCTTCTTGTACCCTACCCATTGGCTGAATCTGGCCCCAGATTTGAGACCCGGATAATGAAAGCCCCTGGATGGCTTCCCCTGCCCTTGGGGGGACAACTCCCCGATGGGGTTAATGAAGAGGTCAGAATGCAGCAGAGGCTGAAAGATGGGAGGATAGAGATTGCCCGAGACTGTGAGCCCTTGGTAGGAGCTGGGGAACACCCCACTGGCCTGTCACCCGTATTGCGGAGCATTTGTGGGAGGACCCTCATGTAGGAGGACCCCTATCTGTTGTCAGTGAGCCTGCAGTCTAGAAAGGACAGTCTGAGAAGCATTGTCTTACAGCAGATCCAAGACAAAGGTTCAGGGTCCTAAAGGTTTCCTGGGAGGTGATCCCAGGAAGCATTTTCAGGGGAATCACTGAAACAAGGAAGGTATTTTGGACTAAACTGTCTCTGTCGAAATTTATATATTGAAGCCCTAACCGCCAATAAGACTGTATTTGGAGACAGGGCGTTTAAGAAGGTCATTAAGGTTAAATGAGCTTATAAGGGTAGGTCCCTAATCTCACAGGTCTGATGTCCTTATAATAAGAGGAAGAGAAACCAGAATCTCTCTCTCTCCCTCCTCGAGAGCACAGAGGAACGGCCATGGGAGGATGCAGCTAGCAGGCGGCCATCTGCAAGCCGGAAAGCAAGCCCTCACCAGGAACCAACCCTGACGGCACCTTGATCTGGACATCCAGCCTGCAGAACTGTGAGAAAATAAATTGCTGCTGCTTAACCACTCAATCTATGGCAGCCCTAGCGAAGTCATACAGGAGGGAAGGTGGCCAGTAAAGAGTGTGTTGTTAAGCCAGTTACCCCAGTAGGCAATGAAGGATGGCCTACTGCAGAACTCTCTGGAATGTGGCATAAGTGCTTCAGAGTTACCCATCCAAGAGGGCAGGCTCATGAATTTATCCACTAATTCCTGGAAGTCACTGAGGACGACTTCTAGGAGGTGATAATGCCCTAGATGTAGAACAGCTTCAGAGAAAGCCCTAGGGCAAGGTGATGTGGCTGCTGGCAGCTGGATATCAGGCCGGTGTGCACTGAGAAGGTAAGTCACAGGGGATATGGGCAGGCACCAGTGAAATCTGCACCTGGCAGCCTAGCCGAGGTGGGAGCCTGGTGAAAAACACAACACACACTCAGAGGGCCCAGCTGAAGGGAGCTGGGAGGAAAGGGCTGAGTACGGAGGTGTGAGTGGAGTTCATAGATAGTGAACACCCAGGGTTTAGCATCAGTCAAAAGCTGTTACAACCGGCCAGGCATGGTGGCTCACACCTGTAATCCCAGTACTTTAGGAGGCCAAGGCAGGCAGATAACAAGGTCAGGAGTTCAAGACCAGCCTGACCAACATGGTGAAACCCCATCTCTACTAAAAATACAAAAATTAGGCCGGGCACGGTGGCTCATACCTGTAATCCCAGCACTTTGGGAGGCCGAGGCGGGCAGATCACCTGAAGTTGGGAGTTCGAGACCAACTTGGCCAACATGGAGAAACCCTGTCTCCACTAAAAAATACAAAATTAGCCAGGCATGGTGGTGCATGCCTGTAATCCCAGCTACTCGGGAGGCTGAGGCAGGAGAATCACTTGAACCCGGGAGGCGGAGGTTGCGGTGAGCCGAGATCATGCCATTGCACTCCAGCCTGGGCAAAGAGTGAAACTCCGTCTTAAAAAAAAAAAAAAATTAGCCAGCCATGGTGGTGTGCACCTGTAATCCCAGCTAATCAAGAGGCTGAGGCAGGAAAATCGCTTGAACATGGGAGGCAGAGGTTGCAGTGAGCCTAGATTGTGCCACTGCACTCCAGCCTGGGCGACACAGCAAGAGTCTGTCTCGAAAAAAAAAAAAAAAAAGCTGTTACAACCTAGTGATAGGACGGGGCTGCCAGTCAGGAGGAGAGTGTCAGAACCATGGCCAGGCAGGCAGGTAGGCAGTGGGGCAATACATACCCCAATTTTTCCTCCCATGTCTTATCTCTGGCGTAGGTAATAGGATGGTTGAATGATGGCAGGGGTGTGCTGGTCAATGTTCAACAATCAGCTCTCTAGTGTAAGGACCTGATTGTAGCATCTGCCGATTCCTAACGTGTAAATACTCCCACCAAAGCCTATTTCAAGTTACCAATGTGACATCCACCAGCTGGTAAAATTCCTGAAAGTTTAACAACAGCTCTCACCAGGCAACCCTAGTGACACCACTTGATGTTGGTGTCATTCAAAGAAACAAAGACCACAGGACAAGGAGCAGGAGGGAAAATAGTAATTACTATAAGTATTATAATGCTAATGCTAATGCTAATGACTAGCACTTATTGAGTGCTTTCCAAGTGCTAGGCACTGCTCCAAGCCCTACATGTATTAAGCCATCAGGTCATTATGACAACTCCATAAGGGAGGTGCCATAATCCTGCCCTTCTTGTTGATGACAGGACTGAGGCACAGATATCCTAATTACCAGGTTCAAAATGCCCCAACTAAGAAGTTCCAGAGCCAGGATTCAAACCTGGTCAGTTTAGTGTCATAGCTCACCCCATTCAACACTTCTCTACACAAACTCCCCTGGGGTTCTAACTATTGCATTTAAACAAAGCTGCCTACAGTTTTGAGAATTATTATTAATATTGTTATTATTATTTTAGAGATGGGGTCTTGCTCTGTCACCCAGGTTGGAGTGCAGTGGCACAATCATGGCTCACAGCAGCCTTGAACTCCTGGGCTCAAGTGATCCTCCTGCCTCAGCCTCCTGAGTAGCTGGGACTACAGGTGCATGCCACCATGGCTGGCTAATTTTTTTATTTTTTATTTTTTTGTAGAGATGGTATCTTGCTATGTTGCCCACGCTTGTCTCAAACTCCTGGGCTCAAGCGATCTTCCCACCTCAGCCTCCCAAAGTGCTGGGATTACAGGCCTAAGCCACCGTGCCTGGCCTTTAGTTGAGTTCCTAACTGGCATAGCAGCCTGGAACTCAAAAATGAACCAAGGATAAATGGGGAAACTGAGGCCTCACAAGGAAAAGGACCTGCCAAGACCTCAGCATGTGACTGACCCAGGATCAGGACCCAGGCTCCTGCCTTCCAGGAGTTTCCTGCCCTCAATCCTGTGGCATGTCCCTGTGGGTGGCTGGGCTGGGGCAGGGGCAGTGTGATCACACAGAGAGCTGGGGTCCTGTGGAGGATACCAAGTGTCCTGGAGTCTCAGCATAGGATGGTATTTAAATCCAGGGTGCTAGGAGACCTTCCCCAAGAAGAGTAGCTACAGCAGTGATCCCCAACCTTCTTGGCACCAGGGACTGGTTTTATGGAAGACAATTTTTCCATACGCCAGCTTGGCAAGGGTGGGTGATGGTTTCAGGATGAAGCTGTTCCACTTCAGATCATCAGGCATTAGATTTTCATAAGAAGCACGTGATCTAGATCCCTTCTATGTGCAGTTCACAATAAGGTTCATGCTCTATGAGAATGTCATGCTGCCGCTGATCTGACAGGAGGCAGAGCTCAGGTGGTAACACTTGCTCACCCACCGTTTTCCTCCTGCTGTGCAGCCTGGTTCCTAACAGGCCATGAACTGGTACCAGTCCACGGCCTAGGGGTTGGAGACTTCTAGAGGACCCAGATGTAGGACAAGGCAGCATTTAAAGACTTAGGGAGGGATGCAGAAGAGAGGTCAGGCCAGGCACAATGGCTCACGCCTGTAACTCCAGCACTTTGGAGGTCAAGGTGGGAGGATGGCTTGAGCTCAGGAGTTCAAGGCTGCAGTGAGCTCTAGTTGCACCACTGCACTCCAGTCTGGGCAACACAGCAAGTCCCTGTCTCTACTAAAATTTTTTTAAAAGCTGGGCATGACCGCGAGTGGTGGCTCACATCTGTAATCCCAACACTTTGGGAGGCCAAGGCAGGTGGGTCACTTGAGGTCAGGAGTTCAAGACCAGCCTGGCCAACATAGTGAAACCCTGTCTCTACAAAAATACAAAAATTAGCCAGGCACGGTGGTGGGAGCCTGTAATCCCAGCTACTTGGGAGGCTGAGGCAGGAGAATCGCTTGAACCTGGGAGGCAGAGGTTGCAGTGAGCTGAGATCACGCCACTGCACTCCAACCTAGGTGACAGAGCAAGACTCCATCTCAAAAAAAAAAAAAAAAGAAAAACCCCCATCTCTACAAAACATAAAGAAAATAGCCAGACATGGTAGTGTGCACCTGTAGTCCCAACTACTCAGGGGGCTGAGGCTGGAGGATCGCTTTGAACCCAGGAGGTTGAGGCTGCAGTGAGCTCAGATTGCACCACTGTACTCCAGCCTGAGTGACAGAGTGAGGCCCTGTCTCAAAATAAATAAAATAAAATCATGATAAAAAGGGAGACACTGTTTTGTGGGTAGGAATGGTCCAGGAGACAGGCAAGTTTGCAGACGGCATCCTTGGCACCTTCTCACATAGGCTGTGCTGCTCGCAGCTTCCCAGGAGACCATGAATAAGTGATTAAACGTCAGCATCGATCCACAGACCTAAGGCCCATTTATTGCTGACTCTTGTCTTTTCCAGGGGGTGCTCTAAATAGATGCTGAGGTGGCAACCCTTGGACCCTAACAAAAACAGCAGACTCCCTATGCTTGTGAAACTCATTAAACCCTTTTTCCAGCTGAGAGCTCTTCTCCCCCTTGCAATGGCCTGTTACACCTGTGAATCACAGGGCCTGATGAGGTTTAGAAGGACACACTTTGGACGCAGGGCAGGCGAGCCCCAAGTTGGGACTCAGCCTGAGAGGATTCTTGGCTTCACGCAGGAAACAATTCAAGGCCAGCTCTCTCCAGTCCAGGCCTCCAAGATGACAAAGAAAAGAAGGAACAACGATTATGCCCAAAAGGGCCGTGAGCACGTGCAGTCTATTCACTGCATGAACTGTGCCTGACATGTGCCCAAAGACAAGGCCATTAGGAAATTCATCATTGGGGCCAGGCGTGGTGGCTCACACCTGTAATCCCAACACTTTGGAAGGCCAAGGCGGGTGGATCACCTGAGGTCAGGAATTCAAGACCAGCCTGACCAACATGTTGAAACCCCATCTCTACTAAAAAATACAAAAATTAGTGGGGCATGGTGGCGGGCATCTGTCATCCAAGCTACTCGGGAGGCTGAGGCAGGAGAATCGCTTGAACCCGGGAGGCGGAGGTTGCAGTGAGCCGAGATCGCGCCACTGCACTCCAGCCTGGGTGACAGAGCAAGACTCAATCTCAAAAAAAAAAAAAAAAAAAGAGAAAGAAAGAAAGACATCATTCTAAACATAGCAGAGGCCACAGCAGTCAGGGACATTTCTGAAGCGAGCGTCTTCAATGCCTATGTGCTTCCCAAGCTATATCTGAAGCTGTGTTACTGTGTGGGTTGTGCCATTCACAGCAAAGTAGTCAGGAATTGATCTCGTGAAGCCCTCAAGGACCAAACACCCCCACCCCGATTTAGACCTGGGGGTGCTGCCCCATGACCCCCACCAAAGCCCATATAAGGAGCTGAGTCCTTCAAGACTGAAGACAGACTATTATCTGGAGAAAAATAAAATGGAAATTGTACTTTTAAAAAAAAGGAGAATTCAGGGGCAAGCCAGTGGTAGGGTAGAAGAAAACAGCTTTACTGAGGCTGCAGGGTTACAGCTCCATGACTGCTCCTGGGAGCAGCACTGTCCCATAGGCAGAGAACAGTAGCTCAAGGCAGCTTTGCAGCCACATTCACACCTACTTTTAATTACATATAGATTAAGGAAGTGGCCTATGAGAAAATTTTTTTTTTTGTTTTGTTTTTGAGACAGGGTCTCACTCTGTTGCCCAGGCTGGAGTGCAGTTGGCACAATCTCAGCTCACTGCAACCTCCGCCTGCTGGGTTCAAGCAATCCTCCCACCTCAGCCTTCTGAGTAGCTGGGACTACAGGCTTGTGCCACCACATCCAGCTAATTTTTGTATTTTTTGTAGAGACGGGGTTTCACCATGTTGGCCAGGCTGGTCTCAAAATTCTGACCTCAGGTGATCCACCTGCTTTGACCTCCCAAAGTGCTGGGATTACAGGTGTGTACTGCGCCGGCCTATGCAGAAGTTTCTAGAGAAGGGGTAGTAACTTTTGGGTCGTCGAGTCATTGCCATGGAAAGGGGCAGAAACGCCCAGGTGTTACCATGGCAGTGGTAAACTGACATGATGCACTGGGGGGTGTGTCTTATGGAAAGCTGCTTCTACCCTGTCCCTGTTTTTTGTTTTGGTTTTTTGTTTGTTTTTTGTTTTTGTTTGTTTGTTTGAGACAGAGTCTCACTCTGTCACCCAGGCTGGAGTGCAGGGGTGAGATCTCAGCTCACTGCAACCTCTGCCTCCCGGGTTCAAGCGATTTTTCCACCTCAGCCTCCCAAGTAGCTGGGATTACAGGCACACGCCACCATGCCCAGCTAATTTTTGTATTTTTAGTAGAGACGGGGTTTCATCATGTTGGCCAGGCTGGTCTCAAACTCCTGACCTCTGGTGATGCACCCGCCTTGGCCTCCCAAAGCAATGGGATTACAGGCGTGAGCCACGGCACCCGGCCCCCGGCCCTGTTTTAACTAGTCCTCAGTTTGGTCCAGTGTCCAAGCCCCACCTCTGGAGTCAAGTCCTGCCTTCTACCTCCCTTTGAGAAGGGGGGGCAATGGCCTGTCCCCAAAACAGCCCTAATTATGGCTGGCAAGATCTTGCAGGGTGCAAAGGGAGGGACAGAGGAGGGTGGAGTTGCACGGAGAGAGTTTCTGTTACAGCCATAAATCCTTTGTCTCTCGGAAACATGGACACTCTTCCCGATAACAGGCATTTTTGCGGAAAAGCATTTCTTCAAGAAGGTTTCTTTTCACAAGTCCAAGGCATGTCTCAGATGCTCTTTCCCCAGGCACTACAAGTTTCTAGTCTCCTCTCCCACTCTGTGAATTATAGCCTCTTCCTGCTCATTTATTATTCATGATTGCGGTGACATATCCAGCCATCTAATTCATTGTCTCCAAACGCTGACTTCATCTCCTTCCTTAAATGCTCATCCAGCTAGAATTTCTTCTGAGAAACTCCTGGGCCTCACACTGGTGTTATCTTTCCCCAAACAGGCATGATCCGCTTAGAACTTTATTGGAGATCTCGTAAAAGAGCCCTTAGGAAACAATCAGTGCCTCCATGTGTCACCAATCACTTAGCACGCAGAGAGGACAAACGAGTGCTAAATGCAATTGCCAGTTCCCGTGGCACTGCAGAGAAAATTCAAGGTGTCATCCTGCAGCTTTCCCGGGGTCAAGAAAGCTCCAAACACACCCCCCCCCCACCCATGATCCTAAGAGTCCATCCTGACCACCAAGGTCATCGACTACCTGGGGACAGTGGAGGATGGGCCAACATCTTGAATCCCCACAGAGAGGCAAGAGGCTGTCCGCCAGCTGAGAAATGAGAGGGAGCAGGGACCTCTTTTTTAGGTGCCTGTGGACCTCACAGCATGGAAATTAAGGAAAATTCTGGTTCTTACAAGGGAAATCCCAGGCATCTAGCTAGCCCCAGAAGTAAATAAGTCAATTGTTAAAACGAAAGGTAGCAATAGGGCCGGCACGGTGGCTCACACCTATAATCCCAGCACTTTGGGAAGCAAAGGCGGGTGGATCACCTGAGATCAGGAGTTTGAGACCAGCCTAGCCAACATGGTGAAACCCCGTCTCTATTAAAAATACAAAAATTAGCCAGGCGTGGTGGTGCATGCCTGTAATCCCAGCTACTCGGGAGGCTGAAGCAGGAGAATTGCTTGAACCCAGGAGGCGGAGGTTGCGGTGAGCCAAGATCGTGCCATTGCACTCCAGCCTGGGCAACAAGAGCAAAACTCTATCTCAAAAAAAAAGTAATAGTAGCTTAAAACAATAAGCCAAGAAAGTAAGAGTTCCAGAGATGTTTGCTTTCCCTATAGAAACTAAAGATAACATCTTACCATATGTCCCTGAGCTGTGTTTCAGAAACCTGGACCTCTACTGAAGGCCTGAGATAAGGGGGAACTGAAGACTGAATTCTGAGCACCATTCTTTGGTCTAAATTTCTTTCTGAGGGTCTTGGAGGGCATCACACCCCTGAGACAGTTAACATTTTTCTCTGCTGACCCCAAAGTTTTAAACAAAGCATCTCTTCCTTAACCAATTGAAAATCAGAAAATCTTTGAGTCTACCTATGACCACTAAGCCCTCGCTTCAAGATATCTCACCACCCTTTTAGGCCTAAACCAATGTGTAACCTTTGTGTACTCATTCACAATTTTGCCTGTAGCTTCTGCTTTTCTGAAATATATCTCTGCCTTTAAAAACTTTTGCCTGCAAAAGCCATCGGTGAGCCAGGATTCGAGCATTTTGCTACCTGGTCCTTCTTGCTTGGCAAGCTACAAATAAATGCCTCCCTCCCTCCCTCTCTCCCTCCCTCCCTTCCTTACTTCCTTCCTACCTTCCTTCCTTCCTTTCTTCCTTCTTTCCTTCCTTCCTTCCTCCCTCCCTTCTCTCCCTCCTTCCTTCCTTTTTTTCCTTCTTTCTTTTTCCTTCCTTCCTTTTCTCTCTTTATTTCTTTCCTTCTTTCTTCCCCCCTCTCTCTCTTTCTTTCTTTTCTTTGACAGGGTCTCACTCTGTTGCCCAGGTTGGAGTGCAGTGGTATGATCTCGGCTCACTGCAGACTCAACCTCTCCAGCTCGGGCAATCCTCTCACCTCAACCTCCCAGGTAGCTGGGTCTACAAGCACACACCACTACACTCAGCTAATTTTTTGTATTTTTTGTAGAAATGGGGTTTTGCCATGTTGCCCAGGCTGGTCTCAAACTCCTGATCTCAGGTGATCCACCCGCCTAGGCCTCCCAAAGTGCTGGGATTACAGGAGTGAGCCACCACACTTGGCCTATGTTTTTGTTTTGTTTTGTTTTTAAGACGGAGTCTCGCTCTGTCGCCCAGACTGGAGTGCAGTGGCGTGATCTCAGCTCATTGCAGCCTCTGCCTCCCAGGTTCAAGGAGTTCTCCTGCCTCAGCCTCCTGAGTAGCTGGGACTCCAGGCACAAACCACCACACCCAGCTAATTTTATTTTTTTTTTAGTAAAATTGGGGTTTCACCATGTTGGCCAGGCCGGTCTCCAATGCCTGACCTCAAGTGATCTGCCTGCCTCGGCCTCCCAAAGTGCTGGGATTGCAGACATGAGGCACCGCGCCCAGCCAATATATTTAGATACACGAATACTTACCATTGTGTTGCAATTGCCTGCAATATTCAGTACAGTCACATGCTGTGCAGGTTTGCAGTTTAGGAGCAACAGGCTACATCATCCAGCCTGGGTGTGTAGTAGGCCACACCACCTAGGTTTGCAGCAACACGCTCTGTGATTTCACACAACCATGAAATCGCCTAACAATGCATTTCTCAGAAAGTATCCTTGTCATTAAGCAACACATGACTCTCTATATGAATTACTAAATATGTTAAAACTGATCAAATTGTATACTTTTTTTTTTTTTTTGAGATGGAGTTTTGTTCTTATTGCCCAGGCTGGAGTGCAATGGTGAGATCTCAGCTCACTGCAACCTCCACCTCCTGGGTTCAAGAGATTTTCCTGCCTCAGCCTCCCAAGTAGCTGGGATTACAGGCGCCCCCCCCACCCCACCCCACCCCCACCACGCTCTGCTAATTTTTTTGTATTTTTAGTAGAGACAGGGTTTCACCATGTTAGCCAGGCTGGTCTGGAACTCCTGACCTCAGGCGATCCACCCATCTCGGCCTCCCAGAGTGCTGGGATTGCAGGCGTGAGCCACCACGCCCAGCCCAAATTGTATAGTTTAAATATGTGTGGCATAACATACTACAATTATACGTGAATCAAACTGGAAAAAAAAAAAAGTCAACTCAAGGAACTAAAATAAAACATTTTGAGGAGAGCTTCACCTCCCCACTGGCCCTGAATTTCCACGTCTTTTAACCCAACTTCTAATTTTAGATAGAAAAGAAAGGAAAGAAAAAGAAAAAAATGACACTAAAGTGAGACTTCACTTTAGAAAAGTATTGAAAATACATTAAACACTGAGGTGTTACCATAATAAATGAATAATTCCAGATCTGTCTTATGAAATATTTAAAAATATTTAAAATCAGCAAGTGCAGAGAAAATTAATGTTGAGTAAATAATGTTAATGAATAGATCCTATTATGTTCTAATGAGGGTTTTTCTTTTTAATTCTGATTTTATTTTTGTAACAGAAGCTTTTCTTTTCAAGTCTTCTTAAAGGGACTTAACTATTCCATATGTTTAAAGCACAATTTAAAGAGAATGAATCCGTTTTAAACTAGATAATGAAGACTACAGTGTACAGACAGTCTCATGTACAGTCCTCTTGCCTCGTCCTTTGGTTGATTCCCAGTCTGTTTCTTTTCTTTTCTTTTTTTTAAGAGACAGGGTCTCACTCCGTCACCCAGGCTGGAGTGCAGTGGCGCAATCACAGCTTACTGCAGCCCCCACCTCCCGGGCTCAAGTGATCCTCCCACCTTAACCTCCCAAGTAGATGGGACTACAGGCAGGTGCCACCATGTTCAGCTAATTTTTTGTATTTTTTGTAGAGACGGGGGTCTCACTATGTTGCCCAGGATGGTCTTGAACTCCTGAGCTCAAGCAATCCTCCTGCCCCAGCCTCCCAAAGTGCTGGGATTATAGGTGTGAGCCACCTCGTCTGGCCCTGTTTTTTTTCTGTTTTGAGGCCTTGCACAAGTCACGCTGCCACTCTGAGCCTCAGTTTCCCCATTTGTAACACTGAGACAATAATTCCTCAACCCCAAGTAGCCCGATGCATGGCACACACTATAGAGATGAAAGAGGGATTTCCTTCCTGTATAGCAATAGCTGATAATTATTTGATGTTATACTCAATTAGCCCTAAAACTGTTATCTCCCAAAAGGATTTCTGAAGGGAGAAAACGATCATGCTTGTTGCCTTCATTCAAGTCTGAGTGCTGTTTATACAATAAACTGGATACTTCTGGATGCAACATAAAACGTTCCTAAAATAATCCCACCTTTCATTCCTCAACCTGCCAGACAGCTGAACCACAGCTTTATGAAATATGAAGAGAGCCCACTTTTATGGCCAGGCATTCATCTTCAAGCTCCTTGGCATACGAGTCCCTCCGAGTTATTTTATTATTTCCAAGAAACTGTAACTGAGCCTTTTTATATACCTGCTGTTGTCGTAAGAGTGCTCACACATAAAGCATGTCAACCGAATCGGAGAAAGGCATCCTTCATCTGGTTTACTGTTTCCTTGAGACAGCTGGTCTCTGGGCTTGGTCGGCTGACAGCTTTGATAGGATTATTGAGCACAGCTTTTCATGCAAAAGAAACCTGGAGACCGGGGCAGTCTGCCCTTGGTTGGTCCATCCAGGGGGCTGGGGTTGACAGGAGGCTCCTCTCAGCAGACGAGGGTCCGGTGAGCCTGACCCAGAGCCCCCGCAGCTGCTCCTGGGTGCAGCCAACGTGCTGGGCTTGGAGTAAATGCTTAACTACAGAGACAGCAGCGAGGGTCTCAGGCACCCTTCCCTCTGTGTCTCCATCCTTCCTGTGGTTCCAGCCCAGCCTCGACTCCCTGTTGGGGCCAGCCATCTTGCCCCTTCTCCACCAAAGGACCAGGTAAGATGTGTCTGCATGAGCTACAAGTCAGGGTACAAGTCTGTGCCCTGTGGTAACTTAATTATATAATTATTCAAAACTGATTTGTTCTCTCTCGCTCGCTCTCTCTTTTTTTTTTTTCCACAGACAGGTTCTCCCTCTGTCACCCAGGCTGGAGTGCAGTGGCGCCATCTTGGCTCACTGCAACCTCTGCCTCCCGGGTTAGGTGATTCTCCTGCCTCAACCTCCTGAGTAACTGGGATTACAGACACGCGCCACCACACCCAGCTAATTTTTTCTTTTGTAGAGACAGGGCTCCACTATGTTGCCCAAGCTGGTCTCAAACTCCTGGGCTCAAGCAATCCTCCTGCCTCCCAAAGTGCTGGGATAACAGGCATGAGCCACAGCACCTGGCCTTGTTCTCTTTAAATTGTGCTTTAAACATATGGGATAGTAAAGTCCCTTTAAGAAGACGTGGAAATAAGAGCTTCTGTTACAACAATAAAATCAAATTTTAAAAACCCCCTCATTGGAACATAAGAGGATACATTCTTTAAAATTATTTACTCAACATTCATTTTCTCTGTACTTGCTAGTTTTAAATATGTTTATCTGACAAGACAGATCTGAAATGAGGCAGATCTAGCTCCAACTCGCCTCCCTGGGCCTCAGTTTCGCAGTCTTTAAGATGGGGACAGAAAAAAATGCTTCAGAAAAAAAAAAAAAGGATCAAATGAGACGGTGGCGGTGAACATGCTTTGTAAATTAGCCCGAGGCCTTGGTGGCTCACGCCTGTAATCTTAGCACTTTGGGAGGCCGAGGCGGGCGGATCACTTCAGGTTAGGAGGTCCAGACCAGCCTCACCAACATGGTGAAACCCCGTCTATACTAAAAATTCAAAAATTAGCTGGGCGTGATGGCGCATGCCTGTAATCCCAGCTACTTGGGAGGCTGAGGCAGGAGAATCGCTTGAACCCGGGAGGCGGAGGTTGTAGTGAACTGAGATCGCGCCACTGCACTCCAACTTGGGGGACAAGAGCGAAACTCCGTCTCAAAATAAATAAATAAATAAATAAATAAATAAATAAATAAATAAATAAATAAAATCAATTAGCCTGAGGCGAGCTGTTGTTGCCATCATTATTCCTTCTTTGCATTAGAAAGACGTTCACCCTCCTCCCGCAGGCCCTGAGGCTTGCAGATAAACAGTAAATGTTTGCGGACTGTAATCCCTGCAGAAGCGCTCCTCCCGAGAGCCAGCTCAGCCTGGCAACCCTGAAGAAATCACTTATCAAATCGAGGAGCGCCAGCCTTCCCTCAAGGCACCCCCTACTACCTAAAGGGAAGTCTCTAAATACCCCTAAAAAAAAATCTCAAAAATAATTTTAGTCTCATTAATTCTGGAAACAAACAAATGCAGAGGAAAGACGACGACCCGAATTAAAGGACAAGGGAAAAGGGGACGCGAGGTCCCTGGGGGGCGGGGGCGCGGCGACCCCACACTTGGCCACACGTACCTGGACCTGCAGAGGGACGGAAGCACGGGGCGGGGCCTTGACGAGGTAGGGCCTGAGGTGGGCGGAGTCTGGACGGGGCCACTGGATGGGGCGTGGCCCGCAGTTGGGGGCGTGGCGGGTCGTGGTCCACGGGCCGGGGACAGGACTCGAGAGGCTGGAGAGGGGCGGGGCCAGAGAAATAAAAGGAGGGGGGCGGGACGGAGAGGGGGCGTGACGTTGCCGCCTCTCGGGCATTGCGGGTGCAGGGAAGCGGGAATCCCGGCCGCGTGGCCCTGCAGGTGACGTGCGTGGTGAAGAGGACCCCAGGCTGGGGCGACGGAGCAGTGAAGACAGCTTTCCCCTCTCTAGGGTTGAAGGTACTTGAGCACCACAGGCTTGAGGGAGCCTCTGCCTCGCAAAATAGGGGGACCCCAAGAGGAGGAGGAGAAGAGACACCCCCAGAGTATTAGGAAATTCCTGGCTCCTCATTAGCACCCTGAAGTCTTTCCAAAGAGAGACCTGCACACCCTCTTAGGAAGTGAAACCCCTCCCCTAAACTGCCTTGGCCCCTGAGCTCATATTTCAGTAGTCACAGTGTGGCCCTAGGAGCTATCGCCTTCCCTGTCTCCCCTCCCCTCCCTCAACTCTGCAGGCAGGCAGCTGTGAGCACTGGTGCTGGAGGAGCTAGAGGAGATAGTCAGGACCCCTGCCTCAATACCCTGGATCTAATGTGGAGGGGGTAAAAGAAATCTTTATAGGCCGGGCACAGTGGCTCATGCCTGTAATCCCAGCATTTTGGGAGGCTGAAGTGGGCAGATCACCTGAGATCGAGAGTTCGAGACCAGCCTGGCCAACATGGTGAAACGCTGTCTCTACTAAAAATATAAAACTTAGTTGGGCATGGTGGCGCGTGCCTGTAGTCCCAGCCACTCTCGGGGCTGAAGCAGGAGAATCACTTGAATCCAGGAGGCGGAGGTTGCAGTGATCGAGATTGTGCCACTGCACTCCAGCCTGGGTGACAGAGCGAGACTCGGTCTCAAAAAAAATGAAAAGAAAAAAAGAAACCTTTATAGGGTGGTATGATGGGGTCACTTTCCAGCAAGTTCTCAGAACCTTTCTTTCCAAGTTGGTTATGCCCTTTTTTGTTTGTTTGTTTGTCTGAAACCTGAAGTTTGCAAAATCCTTGAAGGATCTACATTGCAAACCTAGGTTTATGTTTTAAGCCTGTGGTTCCCCAAAGTAAGGTGCAGGGAATGTGTTCTGTGGACATGTTCACATCCACAGGGCCCAGGGCTTCTTTGCTTTTTGGTTACTTTTCTTAAGAGAAGGACCAGGAGTGGGCAGGTGGGCATCCACTATGTTATTTTCTATTAGCAGACATGATGCATGCCAGGTCCAAATGGAAAGTTGCATCCACCGCTTCTGCCCTCTGCTTTGAGAATAGGAGAGTTCCACGAGGAAGCAGTTCCTTCTGCCTGGGTTCCAGAATCAGACACATGGAGCTGGCCCACAGCCACAGGCTCACACCATGAGGGAAAATAAATGTTTGTTGTGGCAAGCCACTGAAATGTGTGTGATGTTTGTTATTGCAGCAAATCTGACTCATACAATCTGCAAACTAAAAACAAACAGCAGGAAGGGGCATGGGTGTTGAAAAATGTCTGAGCAAATGTATTCTATGTACTTTGGGTAAACAGAAGATTTCTTGCAGAAAGGGTTTGGAATGGGGGTGAGAGGAAGCCTTCTCCACTCCTTTGTTAATGTAGAGATCACCTCATTGTTTGAAGACCCTGTTTTCTGGTCTCTTGAGAGGTTCTGAGGAGGCCATATATGTACGAAGCTGGCACACACCAAGCCTTCAGGACAGATTAACTCCCTTTCTTCCCTCCACCTCATTCCAGACTCCACTGTGGCCAGCTGGGCATGAGGTAAGCAGTGCCGACACAGAGCAGGTGAGGCTCCTGGCTGAACCCTCCAGAGCCCAGCATCTTGAGAGATGGGTCCAAAAGCATCCACAGAGGCTGGGCCAAGGCCACCCCAGGAATGACCCCATTAGTGTGCCCTGAATTTGAAATAACCAATTCCTCAGAATACCCACCCCGTAAGATCCCACCGTGCTTAATGTGGACCAAGAACCCAGCTCTGCCCTTGTTTTAGTCCATTTTCACACTGCTATAAAGAACTACCTGAGGCCGGGCACAGTGGCTCACACCTGTAATCCCAGCACTTTGGGAGGCTGAGGCAGGCAAATCACCTGAGGTCAGGAGTTCAAGACTAGCCTGGCCAATATGGTGAAACCCCAGCTCTACTAAAAATACAAAAATTAGCTGGGCGTGGTGGCATGTGCCTGTAATCCCAGCTACTCAGGAAGCTGAGGCAGGAGAACGCTTGAACCCAGGAGGCAGAAGTTGCAGTGAGCCGAGATGGCACCACTGCCCTCCAGCCTGGGTGACAGAGGGAGACTATGTTAAAAAAAAAAAAAAAAAAAAGAAAAGAAAAGAAAAACTACCTGAGACTGGGTAATTTATAAAGGAAAGAGTTTTAATTGACTCACAGTTCTGCATGGCTGGGAGGCCTCAGGAAACTTAAAATCATGATGGAAGGCAAAAGAGAAGCAAGTACCTTCTTCACAAGGCAGCAGAGAGAAAGAGCGCGCAGGGGAAACTGCCACTTTTAAGCCATCAGATCTTGGGGGAGCTCCCTCAGTATTATGAGAACAGCATGAAGGAAACCTCCCCCATGATCCAGTCACCTCCTACCAGGTCCCTCCCTCACCACGTGGGGATTATAATCCAATGAGATTTGGGTGGGGACACAGAGCCAAACCATATGAGTCCTCCAGCAACTTCCCCAAAATAGGGTCATAGCGGACATCCCACAGGCAGTCCAGGAAAGAGAACAGACTCATAGAAGGGGTTGGACTCAAAATCCCCCCAAGTGGGTTCAGCTTTGGAATACAAAATAAGAAAGCCCCTATGTTTCAAATGCCCCTTTCTCAATATCAGGATCAGAGTGTGGGGTTTCAGGTGCACATACATGTAACATGGACTCCTGTCCCCTTAAGATGTGTGCTTCCCTTTTGTGCTGCTCAACCAGGGACAACATCTCCCAACCTCCCCTGCAGGTGGGCGTGGCCACATAGGGTCATATGACTGAGTTCCAACCAGTGGAATGAGAGGACCTGGTCCATGCAAACCTCCCCGTCCATCCTCCCATCTCTGACACATTATCAGGTGGGTAGTGATGCCCATGGTGCCCTTGGAGCCAGCTGGTGACATTGGCAGAGACTCAGGAGCCCGAACCAAACACCTGCACCCCACCTCTAATTCGAGAAAGAAAAATACTTCTACTTCTATTGTGTTTGGCCAGAGAGCCTGTGAGGTTTATCTGTTACAGCAACTAATGTTACTTTAACTAACTCACCTCTCAATGTCCTTAGCCCAGGGCTAGGCTTTCTGGTCCTGCCCTCAAGGGGCTCCCAGTCTAGTGTCAACAGCAGTTGGCCATTCAGTGACAACAGTGAAGCACTTAAGAAGGCGAATTCGGCCTCTTTCAGGACAACAAAGAGTTATCAGGGCAGTGGGAGGGGATTGGGGTGAGGGACAAGAAGAAGAGCATGGGCCAGGTGCGGTGGCTCAGCCTGTAATCCCAGCACTTTGGGAGGCCGAGACGGGCAGATCACCTGAGGTCAGGAGTTTGAGACCAGCCTGGCCAACATGGTGAAACCCCGACTCCACTAAAAACACAAAAGTTAGCCAGGTGCAGTGGCAGGCATCTGTAATCCCAGCTACTTGGGAGGCTGAGGCAGAAGAATCACTTGAACCAGGGAGGTCAAGGTTGCAGTGAGGTGGGATCATGCCACTGCACTCCAGCCTGGGTGACAGAGCAAGACTCTGAAAAAAGAAGGAAAGGAAAGGGAAAGGGAAAGGGGAGGAAAGAAGGAAAGAAAAGAAGGAAAGAAGGAAAGAAGGAAGGAGCATGCCAGATGGAGGGAACAGCATATGCCAAGGGTTTCCCCCCAGAACGTGTCCCCCTAAAATGCCTGTAATCCCAACAGTTTGGGAGGCCGAGGCAGGTGGATCACCTGAGGTCAGGGGTTTGAGACCAGCCTGGCCAACGTGGTGAAACCCTGTCTCTACCAAAAATACAAAAATTAGCCATGTGCGGTGGCTCGTGCCTATAATCCCAGCTACTTGGGAGGCTGAGGCAGGAGAATCACTTGAACCTGGGAGGCGGAAGTTGCAGTGAGCCGAGATCGTGCCACTCCACTCCAGCCTGGGTAACAGAGTGAGACTCTGTCTCAAAAAATAAAATAAATAAAATAGCTGCGTCCAGCCCGCAGAAGGAACCAACCCTGCTGACACCTTGATCTTGGACTTTTGGTCTCCTGAACTTTGAGAGAATAAATTTCTATTGTTGAAGCCACCCAGCCCGAGGTCCTTCGTTACAGCAGCCCTGGTAAATGAATTCACCAAGTAAGTTACGGAGGTTGAAGCTGCATGCAGGTTGGGGGTGTGGGGTGGTGGGAGGGACTGCAGACAATCTGTAGCAAAGTAGGAGGTGGGAGTGAGAGCAGATGAGGTAGGGAGGAGGGGAGTTCAGTGCCATGTTCAGGAGTTTGAGGTTTGTCTTTGGTTAATGGGGAGGCAGAGAGGTCTTCGAGCCAGGAGGGAAGGTGATTGGTTTGAGCTTTATAAAAACCCACCTGGACCAGGTGCAGTGGCTCACACCTGTAATCCCAACACTTCGGGAAGCCAAGACAGGAGTATCTCTTGGGCCCAGGAATTCAAGACCAGTCTGGGCAACACAGTGAGGCCCTATCTCTACAAAAATGTTTTAAAAATTAGCCGACCGGGCGCAGTGGCTCACACCTGTAATCCCAGCAGTTTGGGAGGCCGAGGCAGGTGGATCACAAGGTCAAGAGATTGTGATCCTCCTGGCCAACATGGTGAAACCCATCGCTATTAAAAACACAAAAATTAGCTGGGCGTGGTGGCACGTGCCTGTAATTCCAGCTACTCAGGAGGCTGAGGCAGGAGAATGAATTGCTTGAACCAGGGAGTTGGAGGTTGCAGTGAGCCCAGCTCGTGCCACTGCACTCCAGCCTGGTGACAGAGCAAGACTCCGTTTAAAAAAAAAAAAAAATTAGCCAGGTGTGGTGGTGCACCTGTAGTCCCAACTACTCAGGAGGATGAGGATTGCTCGAGCCAGAGAAGTTGAGGGTACACTGAGCTGTGATCGCACCACTGCACTCCAGCCTGGGCAACAGAGCAAGACCCTGTATCAAAAAAAAAAAAGAGAGAGAGAAAGAGAGAAAAGAGAAGAAACCCAACCAGGCTTCAGAGTGAAGGAAGCTGCTATGGCCATCTAGGCAAGAGAGAGTTCTAGGGCAAAGGGATGGAGAGAAGAGGGCAGTTCTGGGGTATTTAGGCAGTGGCATTAACAGGATTCCACAGCAGTCAGTGGAGGCTGAAGGTGATACCCACCCACGCTTCTGTTGCTCACTGTGATCCATCAGAGAGAACCCAGCACGGGCCGGCTGCTCCCCCAGCCTAGCCCGAGCAAGGCGACCATTTCCTTGGGAACCCGCTACTGTCTGAGCCCAGCCCTCCCCAGCAAACTCAGAAATCTAATTTTCATTCATTCCGGTGATATTTATTGAGCGCTGGCTGTGCACCAGACATTGATTTTCTGGGCACAGTGAAATGGTTCCATCTCTCTTGGAGGTGACCTGGCATGAACCAGGTTCAAAGAAATGGATGAATAAAACCACAATGCCAATTTAGTGACTTGCCCTGAGAGACACAGTTATCAGGCATACAAGGTGACAGACCAGTACCCTCTGTTCCTCAGGCAAGCTCCCAAGAGAGCCAGATTAATATTGTCTGGCTGCTTCGGATGGACAGACCTCCTTGCAAACTGGCTTTAATTTCTTGTCCAATAAGCAGGTCTCCTAGAGAAAGACACCAATGCCCGCCCCTGCCCACATTTGCCTGTTTAACCCAGAATCAGAACAAGGAGAGGGAGGTAAACTTGGGCAGGGGCTCTGGGCTAGGGCAGCCTGAGGCTTTCTCTCCCACATGAAGGACCAGCCCTGGCAAGAAAACCTCGATACCTTAGCCAAGATGCCTCTTGCCTGACCCCAGCTGAATGGCTGTCTGCCCACAGCTGTCTCCAGGCCCTGTGCTCACCAGCCTGCCTCCCTGTGCTCACCAGCCTCTGCCTCCCTATGCTTGGGCTCTTTGCAGAGTATGATTCAATTGGCCAGATTTCCATGAACCGAAATTACAAACCCAGGCCAGGCTGCCTTCCGGCAACTGCCCCCAGATCCCAGAGCACAGGCATTCTGGATTTTTCTAAATCCTCCAGCCTCCTACTCACAGACCCTGAATCCCACTGAAAGCAAATCCCAGTCAGGGCAGAGAGCTGGCTTTTCTGGGCACCCTCATTTCCAGAGACAGATTCTGGGTAAAGCTAATGATACCCCAATGTCAGGACCCTTCGCTTGCTTGGGCCCCTGCAAGAGTTGGGAGATGCTGGGAGCCATAGAGTGTTCTGGGTGGAGAGAGAAATCAGGATGGAGTCTGCAAACATCTCTAGTAAGTTACCTAAACGGGTGGCAGAAGAAAGGGACCTGAATATACAGGGTGCCTATACTTTGTAGTGATTTCTTTTCTCATTTTAAATAAACATTCACTTTCGTACCTAAGCTTATATTGTATTTACATATTCTTTCCCTCAACGGGAATCCCCTGAAGTGTCTAAGCTTCAGGCCTCACAAAGCCTGGATCCACTCTTGCGGGTTTCCCTGGAGTTCTCATCCCAGCTCTTCTCCCACAAGGAAAAACAGCCACCGCCCCTCCAACCCTCCCCAAGGAGACGCTGCTGTCAGGAGCATCCACGTGGCTGGTGCAATGATGTTTTTCCTTCATTTCATTGAAGGGAGAGACTTTCATCTTTTCATAACACTTGTCTTCATGTTCCTTTCCAGGGACATTTTTCAAGCTTTAAATTTTTTTTTTAAACTTTGAACATTGCTTTCAAAGTTGAATCACGAATTTTGGTGCCTCCCCCTCAAAATCAGAGTACTGTATTTTTGCAAACGACGGAAACATCAGCTGTCTTCCCTCAGTCATCTGTCTGTCTGACTGACACATTTTAGGGACAGACGGTCTCAGTGCTTAATTTATGCCTTTGGATATTTGAACGAGCTTCATGCAATCATTTCGATTTGGGAGTTGCTGTATAGCCGTCTGCACATCTCTTGTTAGTCTGGTCTCTGGTTTGCTGTCTCTTCAGCCATGGAGATTTTTGCACCCCCTCCACCTGCCCCCTCCCCAACCCAGTGCTTTGTTTTGTGTCTGTTGGTTCCCTCCCCACCCCACTCCCGTGTCAGCTGGACTCCACATGGGACTGCTTCAGGTGCCAAATTCTCCATTCAGGATAAAGCCTGTTACATATGGACATATGCAGGAGGTGTTACAGCCAGGGTGCCGTTGCCATGTGAACAGGTGGCAGGGCTCTGGACTCTGCAAGCTTCCCCTCCAGGAGCCTACATCCATCACCCCCTGACAAGGTCTGCTTCTTCCCGTTCCCCATCCCCACCCCAGCCAGAGTCCCTGACCCTTCGTCTCCTGCAGCATCTAAAAATTCACTTTGTACCCCTCCCTTTGCAAGAGTTGCCACTCTGTGAACAGCAATAACAGGAACAAATGCATGATTCATAGGACGCTCTTGGCCTGGGAGTGGGTGCCGAGGGAGGGGACCATGAGGCCCACGGAAGCACTTTGGTTCAGGGAACATTCATTCATTGATGCACATCTGTGCTGCCTGGAAGTGCATTAAAGAGAATCAGATGTGCTGCTACTTCTGAAACAGCTTTTGAATGTGCAAAGTGCTCGGGGAGGACAGGGAATGGCAATGGGGCTGACGAGGAGCTGGGCTGCTAGGGCTTCATTCCAGCTCTGTCCTTGAAGCACAAAGCCTTGAGCACCCTGTAGCGGCCCTCCTGAGTGCCTGGGGAGGAGATGAGCCTGTCTCAGCAAAAGCAGGGCCACTGAGACCTCCAAGGGCCAGCACTCCACTCTGTCACCAAACAAAGAGAAGATTCTTTCAGCTCTATGGCCATTTTAGAGACAGGAACAGCCGGGCCCAGTGGCTCATGCTTGTAATCCCAGGGCTTTGAGAGGCTGAGGTGGTAGGATTACTTGAGCCCAGGAGTTCGAGACCAGCCTGGGCAACAAAGTGAGACTATCTCTACAAAAAATTTAAAAACTAGCCAGACATAGTTGTGTGCAACAGTGGTCCTAGCCACTTGGAGGCTGAGGCAGGAAGATCTCCTGAGCCTAGGAGTTGAAGTCTGCAGTGAGCTACAATTGTGCCACTCTACTCTAGGCTGGGCGACTTAGTGAGACCCCATCTTTTAAATAAATTAATAATAACAATAACAATAATAAAAGAAACAGGAACAGCTCTGTCATCCTGGTCTAACAAGGATGTCCCCCGCAGCCTTCACCAGGCTCCCAAGTGTGGACAAAACAACCAAGTGGCCCCACAGCCTGACTCAGTCTCAGCTCCATCACTCACCATCCAGGGTACCACAGGCAAGTCACCAAGTCTAAGAATCAGCAAAGGTGCATCCTTCCGACTCAAAAACTCTCAGCTGGCCTCCCACCAACTTCTGATCTGCTTGTCTCTGTGCAAATCAAGGAAGTACTGCGGCGTATTCAGAGGGACCACCTGTCTGGAAGACCAGACTTCCCGAACTGCAACACGAGGAATACAGAATCAAGAAGGCGCGCAAAGGCCAGGGCTTGGGCCCCGAGGCACATGCATCAGTCATGACCTCTAGTGACAACTGACTGAAATCCCAACCCAACTAGGCCCTGAAAAAAGAGGGAACTTGTGAATGCCCACAGGTGAGAGGTGGCTTTAGGCATAGCTGTATCCAGGCACAGAAACACAGTCAAGACTCCCTGCTTCTGCAATCCTGGACTTTGTTTTCCTTCTGTTGGCCTTATTCTTAGGCAGGCCAGCTCCCTGCAGTACTGCCTTCTCAGCCCAGCCTTGCCATCCTGTTACAGGCAAGGGCCCAGATCCAGACCCCAAGAGGAGAGGGTTCTTAGATCTCGCATGAGAAAGAGTTCCGGGTGAGTCTGTAAAGTGAAAACAAGTTTATTAAGAAAACAAAAAAATAAAAGATGGCTGGGGGCAGTGGCTCACAACTGTAATCCCAACACTTTTGGAGGCCAAGGTGGGGTGATCACTTGAGGCCAGGAGTTCAAGACCACCCTGACGAACACAGGGAAAACCCGTCTCTACTGAAAATATAAAAATTAGCCAGGAATGGTGGTGTGCACCTATAATCCCAGGTATTCACGAGGCTGAGGCACAAGCCTCACTTGAACCTGGGAAGCAGAGGTTGCAGTGAGCCGAAATCGCGCCACTGCACTCCAGCCTCGGCAACAGAGTGAGATTCTGTCTCAAAACAAAAAAGCAAACAAACAAAACACTGGAAGTCTTGTGCGCTGCTAGTGGGAGTGCAAAATGGTGCAGCTGCTGTGGAAAACAGCATGGCGCTTCCTCAGTAAATTAAAGCAGAATTGCCATATGATCCAGCAATTCCACTTCTGGGTATATAACCAAAAGAATGCAAGCAGGGTCTCAAAGAGATATTTGTATACCACATGTGTTTCGGCATTATTTACAATAGCCAAAAGGTAGAAGCATTCACGTGTTCATTGATGAATGAATGAATGAATGAATGAATGAATGAATGAAATGTGGTCTCATCCATACAATGGAAGATGATTTGGCCTTAAAAAGGAAGGAAGCTGGACATGGTGGCACTCACCTGTAATCCCAGCTACTCAGGAGGCTGAGGCAGGAGGACCCCTACAGCCCAGGGATTCAAGGCTTTAGTGAGCTATGACTGTACCACTGCACTCCAACCGGCACAACAGAGCAAGACCTCATCTCTAAGACAAACAAAAAAAAAAAGGAAGGAAGGAAGGACATCCTGATACATGCTACGATATGGATGAACCTTGAAGACATTATGCTAAATAAAATAGGTCAATCGCACACAAAGAAATACTGTATAATTCTATTTGTTTATCTATTCGTTTATTTATTTTGAGACAGTCTCGCTCTGTTGCCCACGCTGGAGTGCAGGCGCGTGATCTCAGCTCACTGCAACCTCAGCCTCCTGGGTTACAGAGATTCTCCTGCCTCAGTCTCCTGAGTAGCTGCGATTACAGGTCCACGCCACCATGCCCGGCTAATTTTTGTATTTTTAGTTGAGATGGGGTTTCGCCATGTTGGTCAGGCTGGTCTCAAACACATGACCTCAGGTGATCCACCCACCTCGGCCTCCCAAAGTGCTGGGATTACAGGCATGAGCCACTGCGACCAGCCTGTATAGTTCAATTTATATGAGGTATCTAGAGCAGTCAGACTCATAGAGACAGAAAGTTGAATGGTAGTTGCCAGGGGCTGGGGGAGGAGGAATGGGGAGTTGTTGTTTAATGGGGACAAAGTTTCAGTGTGGCCAGATGACAAAGCTCTGGAGATGGGTGGTGGTGATGGTTGCACAACAATGTGAATATGTTTAACGCGACTGAACTGTACACTTAAAAGTGGAGCTGGTCAGGTGCAGTGGCTCCCACCTGTAATCCCAGCATTTTGGGAGGCCAAGGCAGGAGGATCGCTTAAGGACAATTCAAGACCAGCCTAGACAACATAGCAAGACTCCATCTCTACATATCATTTAAAAATTAGTGAGGCATGGTGCCACGTGCCTGTAGTCCCACCTACTCAGGAGGCTGAGGTGGGAGAATCGCTTGAGCTCAGGAATTGGAGGCTTCAGTGAGCTATGATTGCACCACTGCACTCCAGCCTGGGCAACAGAGTGAGACCCTGCCTTAAAATAAATAAATAAATATAATAAATAAATAAATAAAATATTTATTATTTTTATTTATTATATTTTTTATGGTGCAGATGATAAACTTCCTGTTATGTGTCTTTTACTACAGTTTTAAAGAAAAGACTAGAAGATGGGGTAAAGGGAGAAACCAGGGAATTTCTCCTGCTCTCTCTTCCTCTGGGTAAAGCCTCTGGTGGTGGCTCCTCCACAGTCACAGCCCCTGCTGCACAGTCCCTCCCTCCGTGGTCCCAGCTCCCTATGGTCAGCCCCTGCCACGGCTCCGCCCCCAACCCCATGGCCCAGATCCTTGGCTCCAGGAAATCCACATCCCCCTGGGTCTTACCAACCCTAGGGGTGGTTGCAGCTCTCTGCGTTGCTAATCTCTGGCTTGCCTCATTTTACCCTTTCTGTTTCTTAACTCCCTACTATACCTGGGTAACCAACAAGTTCACTCTGAAATACCCAGAGTGGTTTCTCTTTTCCTGACTGGGCCTTGTGTGTTACACACCTTCATGAATGGCTCTCGGGCAGAAGCCCAACTCAGCCCAGTGCCCAGTGTGGACAAAGGGGTCCCCGGTAGCCCTGACTGGCTGGGGAACACGGTGCGGGGCCCAGCAGAAGCCTCAATACTTGGCTACCTCTGATGCAGTCTGCTTAACTCAGAACCAAGCTGCTGTCCTCGCTCAAACCCGAAGCAGCCAGCCAGGCCTCTCAGCTTCCCTGGCAGGTGCGGACACACATAGCGGGCACTCCACAGGTGCAGAGGAGAAAACAAAGAGAATTCACAAGCACCCTTCGAATGGTGTGGTTCTGTCAGTAGTTACAGCGTTTCGTTATTTATACCTGCCAGGGGTAGCTGTTCACCGAGCCTGGGCTGAGCCCTCATCCCCGGTTTTGCCCTAGGCTGGTCTTGGGAACTCCCTGGGAGGTTGTCTCACGACTCTTTAAATTCTCCTACTTTTCCTCAGATTGCCTGAAGATCTGCAGTACGGAGCTCATCTCCCTCCTGCCTCCGGAACCCCCCAAGCTGTCTCCCATCGGGGACAGCCTTTCGCCAAAGCCTGGAAAGAGAAAATAAAATAAAACTTGCTTGCTCCCCAGGTGGGCCGAGGCCTGGCCTGATTCCCGAGGCTTTGGACTGATAGGCAGATAGCACCCAGAGCCGCCAGCCACCACAGCACAGCCCAAATGCAGAGACAGAGAGGCAAAGGCGAGGAGGGGGCCCCCTGGAGATTACCAACGCCAGCTCCCAGCCCATACAGGAGGAGCCAAGCTCAGAGAGGGAAGGCGGTGGCCCAAGGTCACACAGCCTGTTGGATAGTCGGGGCAGGATGGTATTGGGGACTGACAGTTTTGCTTTCACCGGGCTGTGCAGTGAATCTGTCATTGTCCTCCCTCACTTCAGGGGACCCCTACATTTGACCCAGGATCCTCTCCTGGCTGCCCTGTCCTGGGGTGTCCAGCCCTGCTCCCTGGACCCCCTTCGACATCCCCAGGCTGACTTTGGTGGGCTGCATTCCCTTTCGTATCAGCCAGCTTATGAGTCGCAAGCAACAGAGTTGGATTGTTAATTAGACAGAAGGGAACTGATGGGCAGGGTACTAGAGAGTCCACACATTTGAATTTGGGAAAGGCATGGCTGCCCCGAGACAACATGGTCCACGTGACCACCACCACCGGAAGGAGTGCCCAGGAAGAGCAGACGTCTCTGATTGGCTGAGCTCAGGTCACATGCTCAGGCTGCAAGACATGCTGGGAATGGAAGACCTCGTGTTTTCAGTTCCTAGAGTGGGAGGTGTCCCCACTGCTCACCAAGATGCTTAAGGAGGGGCTTTGGGAATGCCTAGGACAGGGCTTCAGATGTCAGACTGCAAAAACAGATGATCTGTGTCCTCCAAGCTTGGGATTCAAAATCCAGGCTGCCTCCTCATATACACTGGGTCCCACCCCTCATTCATTCTGCACCCCCAACCTTGTGAGCCCACAGCTCAGAAATTCAGGGGTATCTCCACCATCGCCCTGCACCAGCGCCTTCTTGGGAAGAAGATGGCTATCACTGATGTCCTTCTCTGAGTCCCCAGCTCAGCATCTGTGCTGCAGAGGGGCAGCTGGCCCCAAGGTGGCTCTGATCATTCCAGGAGCAGGAGTCCCCTATGGTGTTTAGTAGGGGCAGAGCCAGGAAAATAAGCCAGCCTTAGGCTGGGTGCGGTGGCTCACGCCTGTAATCCCAGCACTTTGGGAGGCCGAGGCAGGTGGATTACTTGAGGTCAGGAGCTCGAGATCAGCCTGGCTCACATGCTGAAACCCCATCTCTACTAAAAATATAAAAATTAGTCAAGCATGGTGGCGGGCATCTGTAATCCCAGCTACTCGGGAGGCTGAGGCAGAAGAATCCCTTGAACTCCAGAAGTGGAGGTTGCAGTGAGCTGAGATCGCGCCGCTGCACACCAGCCTGGGTGACAGAGTGAAACTCCGTCTCCAAAAAAAAAAAAAAATCCTGCTGCTACTGGGGCTGAGTCCTCTAGAACCCAAAGGCCACAGATCCAAACTCAGCAGGTGTCTGAACCTTGCTGGTCCCCGTCCATGGTCATTACTGTCTGCCAGGTGGATCTCAGGACTCACCCTTGACATCTTGGGCCAGAGTGTCTCCCTGTTTACCCAGGTGGTGTGGAAGAGATGATGTGGACCCAGGAAGAGGAGCCGTCCTGGGGATAAAGCTTTCATCACAGAAAGCAAAGCAGAGATAGGAAGAAACCCTCATGACACTGGACTCACTAAATGAAACCCATGCTGGCACCCACTCTGCCTCTGGCCTTTCAGTCACATAAGCCAGGAAATCTCCTCTAATGTCTGAGCCAGAGTGAATGCAAACAGCTGAACATATTTTGATGAATGTGGCTGTGTCTTTGCGGTTCCTATCAAATGTCATTCCCATGCACCGCCATGCTCCCTGGGGAGGTATCGGGCCAATGGTCATAGGCGAACAGCTGTTCCACCCCCTTGGGCTTCTTTCTTAGAAACTCATCATATCCCAATGGACATTCAAAACGTTATCTTTTTACAAATCTATATCGAGCTTCTCTGGGTGTCCTTTGGAATTTACACAGTAGGATGTCCTGGAGAAATGGCCACTAGGCCTTTATTCCCTTGTATAACCTGAATATATTTGGCTGTTCTCATGGACCAGTCCTTGCAATGTATACTCATGTAAATCTTTCATATCGGCTTCGTCAAAAGGTAGGCCCAGGGGCTTTAGACAAATCTTTTCATGGAAATTTTCTGAAAATCCTCACCGGACATCTCTTTCTCTCTCCAAATTTCCCACTACTGGCATCTACTAAAATAGGTCTATAGCTTATTCACGCAGCACCCTGGCTACCATTTATTTCTCCCTCCTCCTCCCTGAGCCCCTCAATCCATCCTGGATTTCTGAATTTCTGCCCTGTGACTCTCCTTCTAATATGTCCTCCTTCCATTGTTCTTATTCTTGAGAATTAGCTCTTTCTTAAAGAATAGTAAATCAGGATCTCACGCATGCTCTCAATCCATGCACACCACCTCACACATTCAAACACACACTCACACATATACACATACTTACAAATGCACACATTCAAAGCTCACATACACATATATTTATATATCCTACGCATTCACTCATGCACTTACACAGACTCACACAAATGTACACACACATATACACAATGCACATTCAAACATATGTGTGCCCATTATGTGTACATATTCAAACATACATGTATCCATTATATGCATGAATTCAAACATACACGTACCCATTATATGCACACATTCAAACATACATGCTATTCATTGCAAGGACTGGTGCATAAGAACAGCCAGATAGATTATGTGTGGTTTGAATGTGTGCATTCCATTATAGCAGCCGCCTTGGACTAAGACACACACTCACAGTTATGTATCCTTACACTCACATAGACACATACACCCTACTCACTCCCAGACACACACACACACACACACACACACACACACACACACACACATTTTCCCTTCCTCTCAGGGGCTTCTAGCAATGCCACCAAACCCCATCAGGCTGGCTTCATATATCACACACTTTCACTCATGCTCTCACACAGACTCACACAAATGCACACACATGTACTCACAACGCATACATTCAAACACATATGTACTCATTATGAGCATATTTTCAAACATACCTGTATCCATTATATGCATTTCCTCCCAGAAGTTGGGGAGTTTGGCATCTCAGTGTGGCCAGCCCCTAGGTGTCAACACTCCTTCTCCAGCCCCTGGGATCTGTGCCCAGTTAAGGAGGAAGATGCTGCATACAGCTGTCCTTTCCCTGGTGGGGGCTGTCAGCCCATGGGGTGTTTCTTGCTTTCAGACCTGAAAAAGGTACAGGGTCATCCCTGCTCCTAGATTTCTGAAAAGTCCCTGAGTGGTCATGAAATCTGTCCCATTCATGGTGAGTCTGTGAAACGCCAGAGGATGGAAGAAGAGGCCATCCAGTGATGCTGCTGCTGATGCCCCTGCTACCCTGGTAGCATACTGGGGACATGGCGACTCCCTCTAGCCCCAACAGGCTCCTGGAGGATGTCTGTCTGCCTCCTCCCACTGGCACTGGCTTGTAGAGGTTGCCTTCAGAGCTTGGATACACCTGCATCATTCCCAGCTCCCCAGGCCTGCCCACTTCATTTTAGTCATTGATCCTGGGGGCTGCTGGAAGGGTTCCCCAGCTGGTGACTCTAACAGTGAGAATTCAGGACCAACTCCATTCTGCAACAAAATCCTGGTTTACTCAGCCATTCTTGCTTCCAAGGGGTTCTAACAAGCACCTGGCCCACCATGTCTGAATGTCCAGACTTAGCTCAACCACTACCAATTGGTGGGCCTCCAGACTTAGCTGAACCACCTCCAATGGGTGGGCCCCCTTCTGTTGAGATGCTCTTTAACAAATGAAGGCCAGCCAGACACTCCTCTGGGCAGTGAGACTGTCCACCTCAGAAATGGAGGCATTGGCCAGACATGGTGGCTCATGCCTGTAATCCCAACACTTTGGGAGGCCCAGGAGGGAGGATCCTCGCTTGAGACCAGGAGTTTGAGAACAGACCGGGCAACAAAGCCATATCCCATCTCTACAAATAATAATAATAAATTAACCAAGCATGGAGGCACACACCTCTAGTCCCGGCTACTCAGGAGTTTGAGGCAGGAGGATCGCTTGAGGTCAGGAGTTCGAGGCTGCTGCAATGAGCTATGATTGTGCCACTGAACTCCAGCCTGGGTGACAGAGTGAGACCCTATTTCTTGAAAAAGAGAGAGAGAAGCTTTGCAGACACTGCCGCCACCAGGAACTCTGTACTATCAGCCATGGTCAACCCCACCGTGTTCTTCGACATTGCTGTTATCGACGAGCCCTTGGGCCGCGTCTCCTTCAAGCTGTTTGCAGACAAGTTTCCAAAGACAACAGAAAACTTTCATGCTCTGAGCACTGGAGAGAAAGGATATGGTTATAAAGGTTCCTGCTTTCACAGCATTATTCCAGGGTTTATGTGTCAGGGCGGTGACTTCACACTCCTTAATGGCACTGGTGGCAAGTCCATCTACAGGGAGAAATTTGATGATGAGAACTTCATTCTAAAGCATACAGGTCCTGGCATCTTGTCCATGGCAAATGCTGGACTCAACACAAATGGTTCCCAGTTCTTCATCTGCACGGCCAAGACTGAGTGGTGGATGGCAGGCATGTGGTCTTTGGCAAGGTGAAAGAAGGCATGAAGATTGTGGAGGCCATGGAGCACTTTCGGTCCAGGAATGGCAAGACCAGCAAGAAGATCACCATTGCTGACTGCGGACAACTCTAATAAGTTTGACTTCTGTTTTATCTTAACCACCGGACCATTCCTTCTGTAGCTCAGGAGAGCACCCTTCCGGCCCATTTGCTCGCAGTATCCTAGAATCTTTGTGGTCTCGCTGCAGTTCCCTTTGGTTCCATGTTCTCCTTGTTCCCTTCCATGCCTAGCTGGATTACGGAGTTAAGTTTATGATTGTGAAATAAAAACTAAATAACAAAAAAAATATAAAGAGAGAGAAATGGAGGTGTTGGCCCCCAGGACAGGAAAACCCCCAATATGGGATCATATGGGAGCTTTTTTTTTTTTTTTTTTTTTGTGACGGAGTCTGACTCTGTTGCCCAGGCTGGAGTGCAGTGGCGCAATCTCGGCTCACTGCAAGCTCCGCCTCCCGGGTTCACGCCATTCTCCTGCCTCAGCCTCCCGAGTAGCTGGGACTACAGGTGCCCGCCACCATGCCTGGCTAATTTTTTGTATTTTTAGTAGAGACAGGGTTTCACCGTGTTAGCCAAGATGGTCTTGATCTCCTGACCTCGTGATCTGCCTGCCTCGGCTTCCCAAAGTGCTGGGATTACAGACATGAGCCACTGCTCCCAGCCCCAATATGGGATCTTACAGACATTCATCTACTAGTGCTTCTCTGTCATGGGCCCACCCATCCACATGAGGACTCAAAGAGACCTCAAGCCCTTCCTCCTGCTCTTGGTACACTATGCCTGGTGCACTTCTCAAGTCCTTGCTAACAGTGGTCTCAAACATTTCCCCCAGCAAACTCACCACAACTGGCACATCCCAAGGAGAGCTCATGGATAGGACCACAGTGTCTGCCACCGGAATCCTTTCTCCATCAAGAAATGACTCCAAGTTCTTAAGAAATGGGACACCTCTTAAGGTAATGCTAAAAATTCCTTTCCAGCCTTTAACTTCATGAAGCTTTTTGACTTCCTTGGTTTAATGAATGTATGGGAAAATCTGGTCCTCCAAATCTGTGCATCCTCCCAAAAATAGTAATTCCGATCACGGCATGCTTTTCACAGTGTCGTCCCTTTGACACAGGTGCTATTTTAAGCCTGATGAATTCCTTCAGTAACATAACATTCAACAGTTAGGTGGTACCTGTGGCACCCACCACCAGGCCTGGCACAAAATAAGCCCTCGAGAGATCATTTCTTGGCTGACAAAATGAAATACGGTGTGGCGTTCTCTTGGCTCTGCAATTACTGCGATGCAATTCTGACGCCAGGCACTTGGAGTTAACATCTGACTCCACAGGTTTAAGAGCATGGTTCCCAGCAACACCGCCCTCATTTCAGAGGCCAGTTCAGGGGTCACCAAGACACATGCACTTCTGACCAACTGGCCACCAATCTGGGAGGGGAAGAGGTTTCATGATCCTCCTCGGGATCAATAATTTACTAAAATGACTCAGAATTCAGGTAAGTTCTATATTTGCAATTACAGTTTTATTATAAAGAGTACAAATCAGGACAAGCTAAACAAAGAGACACATAGGGCAAGGCCTGAGGGTGGTGGGAGGGGGCAGGGTCTCAAATGCATGGTCTCTAGGCCCTCTCCCCATAGAATCTGGCACACCTCTATGTTCATCAACAAGGGTGCTCCCCCAAGCCTCAGTGTCCACAGTTTTTACTAGGGTTTCATCATAGACATTATTAATTGAATAACTGGCCATGTGACTGAACTCAGTCTCCAGCCTCCCACCCTACCCCACCCCACAGACTGGGCTGATATCATCTGGCTCAAAGCCCCAACCCTGTAATCACACGATTGGACTTCCTGGCATGGCCAGCTCCCATCCCAAGTCACCTCATTAACATAAACTCAGGTATGGGCAGTCTGTGTGAATAACACACACTCCTATCACTCAGGAAATTCCAAGAACTTAGACGCTCCCTTTCAGAAACCAGGGAAATTCTTTATTCTAGAACAAAATTTTAATTATACAACAGCTCAGATCTTGGGTGATTATTTTATTTTGTTGAGTTGGGGTCTTGCTCTGTTGCCCAGGCTGGAGTGCAGCTGTGTAATCGTGGCTTACTGCAGCCTTGACCTTCCAGACTCCAGCCATCCTCCCGCCTCAGCCTCCTGCATAGCTGGGACTACAGATGTAAGCCACACGCCCGGACTGGCTAATTTTTTTTTTTTTTTGGTAGAGATGGGGTCTCACTATGTTGCTCAGGCTGGTGTCTAGCTCCTGGGCTCAAACCATCTTTCTGCCTTGGCCTCCCAAAGTGCTGAGATTATACGTGTGAGCCACTGCACCCAGCTTTGGGTGATTACGTTAATAAGTGACTCAACTGAACACAACAGCTGAGTTCCAAAATTCTGATGGTCACTCCCTAAAGGTAATCCAAATTAATCCCATGGGACCCGTTTCCAATGTGGCATCACCTTCAAAGACATATACCCATTAAATAAAAACTACCAAATGATATCTGATGAACGAATGCTTGTGGCTCTCAATTAAGATTACATATTAGGCTGGGTGCGGTGGCCCATGCTGTAATCCCAGCACTTTGGGAGGCCAAGGAGGGAGGATTGCCAGAGCTCAAGAGTTCCAGACCAGCCTGAACAACATGGTGAAACCCCATCTCTACTAAAAATACAAAAATTAGCCAGGCATGGTGGCATGCACCTATAGTCCCACCTACTAGGTAGGCTGAGGTGGGAGGATCACTTGAACCCAAGAAATGGAGGTTGCAGTGATGCCACTGCACTCTGGCCTGGGTGACAGAGCGAGACTCCATCTCAAAAAAAAAAAACGAAATAGGGGCAGGGTGAGGTGGTTCATGCTTGTAGTCCCAGCACTTTGGGAGGCCAAGACAGGAGAATTGCTTGAGGCCAGCAGTTCAACACCAGCCTGGGCAATCATAGAGATAGTGAGACCCCTATCTCTATGAAAAATTTAAAAATTAGCTGGGCATGGTGGTGCACACCTGTAGTCCCAGCTACTTGGGAGGCTGAGGTGGGAGGATTGCTTGAACCCAGGAGGTCAAGGCTGCAGTGAGCTGTGTACTGCTGCACTCCAGCCTGGGTGACAGAACAAGACCCTGTCTCAAAAAAAAAAAAAAAAAAAAAAAAAAGAAAGAAAGAAAGAATGTCTTTTCCAGCAACTTGGATGAAACTGGAGGCCATTATCCTTAGTGAAGTAACTCAGGAACAGAAAACCAAATACTGCATGTACTCACCAATAAGTGGGAGCTAAGCTATGGGTATGCAAAGACATGCAGAGTGGGGACATTGGAGACTCAGAAAGGGGATGATGGTAGTGGGTGACGATGAAAAACTACTTATTGGATACAAAGTACACTACTCAGGTGACAGAGGCTCTAAAATCCTAGGCTTCACCACCATACAATTCTTCCACATCCCAAAACCCACTTGTACCCCTCAAGCTACTGAAATGAAAAAAAACTTAAAAATAAATTTTTGGCTGGGTTCTGTGGCTCACGCCTGTAATCCTAGCACTTTGGGAGGCCAAGGCTGGCAGATCACCTGGGGTCAGGAGTTTGAGACCAGCCTGGCCAACATGGTGAAACCCTGCCTCTACTAAAAATACAAAACTTAGCCAGGCATGGTGGCACATGTCTGTAATTTCAGCTACTGTGGAGGCTGAGACAGGAGAATCGCTTGAACTTGGGAGGCGGAGGTTGCAGTGAGCCAAGATTGTGCCACTGCACTCCCGCCTGGTCAACAGAGTGAGATTCCGTCTCAAAAATAAATAAATAAATTTTGTTTGAGACAGAGTCTTGCTCTGTTTCCTAAATTGAAGGGCAGCAGTGCTATCATGGCTCACTGCAGCCTCAACCTCCTGTGCTCAAGTGATCCTCCCACCTCAGCCTCCTGAATAGCTTGGACTACAGGCTCATGCCATCACATCTGGCTAATTTTTGTAATTTTTCCAGGGATGGGGTCTTATTATGTTGCCTAGGCTGGTCTTGAACTCCAGGCTCAAGTGACCCTGCTGCCTCGGCCTCCCAGGTAGCTGGGACTACAGGCACGCACTACCACACCTGGCTAATTTTTTATTTGTTATAGAGATGGGGTGTCACTATATTGCCCAGGCTGGTCTCAAACTCCTGGCCTCAATCAGTCCTCCCACCTCTGTCTCCCAAAGGGCTGGGATTACAGGCATGAGCCACCATGCCCAGCCACTATTTTTTCTTTTTAAAAAAATTTTTGGCTGGGCATGGTGGCTCACGCCTGTAATCCCAGCCCTTTGGGAGGCCGAGGCAGGTGGATCATCTGAGCTCAGGAGTTCAAGACCAGCCTGGCCAACATTGTAAAACCCCGTCTCTACTAAAAATGCAAAAATTAGCCGGGTGTGGTGGCACGTGCCTATAATCCGAGCTACTCGGGAGGCTGAGGCAGCAGAATCACTTGAACCTAGGGGCAGAGGTTGCAGTGAGCTGAGATCATGTCACTGCACTCCAGCCTGAGGGTCAGAGTGAGACTCTCAAAAAATAAATAAATAAATAAATAAAATAAAATAAAAAAGAAAAGAAAAAATAAATTGACAGAGCCACACCGAGTGTAAGAAACTAATCAGATCTATTCAGCTAGAAAACCAATTTTGCACAACTGTGTCCATTTTCCTCCCAAGGAGTTTTACACCTTGATGCAAATCGGGAGATTGTTGGAAAGTGGAATTTCATGTTAATTTGCATTTCTGACCGTGGAGGGGTAGGTGAAATGTGACTTCTTTTCTATGGCACAGATAAGAGTGGCACTCTGAGAGGCTCAAAAGGAAGCTTCCTCCCCCAAATGCCATCCTCAACATAACCGTGAAACAAAAATGGCGCATCTCAGAAGGACCTTGGTGGTGTCGTTGGAAGGTAGATTAACAAGAATGATACCTGCAAGCTGTAATTGTGCTTGCTTTCCCTGACATACAGTAGGTGCCCCATAAACCTCTGATGGCTGGATGAATTAACAAGTGAATGAGCTCTTTATTCAAGGGTCCTACCCCAAACCAGCATCCCTCAACCAGTCCTTCCATCACCATCTAGGTGATTGGGGGTTGTTGATGGAAAAAGGCAAGAACCAAATTTGCAAACTCCCCTGCTGGCTTCACAATAATTCATGCTCATCTGCGTCTAATAAAATATAGAAGCAATTTTACAGGAACATTTTGTGCTTTAGCGATTCATTTAACTCTTTCCTCCAGGGGGCAAGTCGTATATCCTCATCCAGATATGTGGGAAGTTCCGTGAATAAATCTGCAAATATCTTAAGATGAAATGTTCCTCTCCCCACCGGGAGCCCTGACTCTAGCGAAGGAAAGCTTGTAAGTGAACACCAACCGGGCTTATCCTGGCCTCCTCTCCTACCCATAGTTTCCTGCCCCTGTGTCTGTCCCACTGCCCAAGTGACCTGAAATTGCTAGAGGAGGTGAGTGCTGAAGTCAGCGTCCTCAGAGCCAAGGACATTGTCTTCTAGAACCAAGTTCACCCCTTTACTTGGCAGGACCTCCAAGAGATGAGCTGCTGTCCACCCCATCAGCCCTCAACACCAGACCACCAGGAAGGACAGACGCTCAGGAGCCACAGCCGCTGCCACCATCCCCTCAGACACCACGAACAGCCCCTTCACTGTTCCTGGCTGTGTCTGCCTCTATGAGCTGCCCCCAAACTCCTTGCAGATTTAGGAACTGATGAATAAAAATGAGTAACACCTGCCCCAAGCTGCCTATTGCTCCATTCACGTCCTGATTTTCTGGGTCACCAATTTTTTTTAATTAAACTTTTCATTTTCAGATGATTGTAGATTCACATGCGGTTGTAAGAAATAATACAGAGAGAGCTCTTGAACTCCCTTACCTGGTTTCCCCCAGTGGTAGCATCTTGCAAAACTATAGTACAATATTGGGTCACCAATTTTCTTTTTTCTTTTTCTTTTTCTTTTTTTTTTTTTTTTGAGCCGGAGTCTCACTCTGTCACCCAGGCTGGAGTGCAGTAGTGCAATCTCAGCTCACTGCAACCTCCACCTCCCAGGTTCAAGCAATTCTCCTGCCTCAGCCTCCCAGGTAGCTGGGATTACAGGTGCCTGCTCCCATGCCCAGCTAATGTTTTTGTATTTTTAGCAGAGATGGGGTTTCACCACGTTAGCCAGGCAGGTTTCAAACTCCTGACCTCAGGTGATCTGCCCGCCTTGGCCTTCCGAAGTGCTAGGATTACAGGCATGAGTCACCGCGCCTGGCCCAATTTTTTTTTTCTTTTTTAGGAGGCAGGGCCTCGCTCTGTCACCCACACTGGAGTGCAGTGGCACAACCATAGCTCGCTGCAACCCCTACCTCCTGGGCTCAAGCAATCGTCCCCAGCTTCAGCCTTCCAGGTAGCTGGGACTACAGGTGCACACCACCATGCTCAGCTAATTTTTTAAAATTTTTTGTAGAGATGGGGTCTTGCTATATTGCCCAGGCTGGTCTCAAACTCCTGGCCTCAAACGATCCTCCCACCTTGGCTTTCCAAAGTGTTGGGATTACAGGCATGAGCCACCATGCCTGGCTGGTCAGCAATTTTTTAAATGTAATATCCCGTCCCTATTTTATAAAATTTGATAGGAAGTTTATTTTCACCAAACTGAAATTCTTGACCCCATCTGCCCACTCCAAAATCCACTTGACTTGTTTACCCGATATTTCCCATCTGGAAAAAGGGTACTCATTCCCCAGGTCCCAGCCCCACATTCAGGAGTGATTCCTCCCTCTTCCCTGCATCCTCCCACCCAAATCCAAAACATCAGCCAGTCTTACAGATTCTAGCCAAAAAGTCCTGAATTCACCCATTTCTCACATCCTCTTCCACGACCACCCTGACGTTACCCACCAGCCCTGACCTTCAGCAGAACTGCCTGTGTAACTTCTGGGGCTCAGTAAAAAATGAACACAGGGAGCCCCCTGCTCCAAAAGACCAGCCTGGGCAACAGAGCGAGACCCCATCTCTACAAAAAAAAAATATTTTAATTGACTGGGCTTGGTGGCCGCACCTGTAGTCCCAGCTACTCAGGAGGCTGAGGCAGGAGGATCGCTTGAGCCCATGAGCTTGAGCCTGCAGTGAGCTGTGATCACGCCACTGCAGTCCAGCCTGGGCAACAGAGAAAGAGACCCCATCTCTAAAAAAAAATTAAAATAAAAGAATTCAATATGGTAGCACCCAAGCATGAATCCAGTCCAGGGATTAATGCTTCTTAAGTGCAGGGCTCTGTGGATTGCACAGGCCCCACACACATGAAGCCGGCCCTGCCCCTCCAAGACCACCAGGAACACACTGACAGCTGAACAAAGTGGGTTTATTGATGCGATGCAAGAAGCGTGCACAGATCGTGGAAAACCCTAGGACATCTCTGTAAGGATGTATTTAGGATTCATGCTGGGGTTGTATGTTTTGGAGAATAGCTCAAGGAAGCAAGGCTTTGTTCTGGATTGCATGCTGCTAAGAACCAGGTCATTCCACAATTGAGCATCTTTTTTTACTTGATGTATTATTATTATTATTTTTGATATGGAGTCTCACTCTGTCACCCAGGCTAGAATGCAGTGGCTCAGTCTCAGCTCACTGCAACCTCTGCCTCCTGGGTTCAAGCGATTATCCTGCCTCAGCCTCCCGAGTAGCTATGACTACAGGCGCCCGCCACCACACCCAGCTAATTTTTTGTATTTTTAGTAGAGACGGGGTTTCACCATGTTAGCCAGGATGGTCTCAATCTCCTGACCTCGTGATCCACCCACCTCAGCCTCCCAAAATACTGAGATTACAGGTGTGAGCTACCGCACCCAGCCTTTTTTCTTTTTCTTTTTTTAAATTTAATTTTATTCTACGTTCCGGGATACATGTGCAGAAAGTGCATGTTTGTTACATAGGTAAACATGTGCCATAGTGGTTTGCTGCACCTATCAACCCATAGGTATTAAGCCCCGCATGCATTAGCTGTCTATCCTGGTGCTCTCCCATCCCCGCCCGCCCCTGCAACAGGTCCCAGTGTGTGATGTTCCCCTCCCTGTGTCCATGTGTTCTCATTGTTCAACTCCCACTTATAAGTCAGAAATGCGGTGTCTGGTTTTCTGTTCCTGCATTAGTTTGCCGAGGATAATGGCTTCCAGCTTCATCCATGTCCCTGCAAAGGACAGGATCTCATTCCTTTTTATGGCTGTGTAGTATTCCATGGTGTATATGTACCACATTTTCTTTATCCAGTCTACCATTGATGGGCATTTGGGCTGATTCCATGTCTTTGCTATTGTGAATAGTGCTGCAATGAACACATGTGTGCATGTATCTTTATAATAGAATGATTTCTATTTCTGTGGGAATATACCCAGTAATGGGATTGCTGGGTCAAATGCTATTTCTGGTTCTAGGTCTTTGAGGAATCTCCACCCTTCTTCCACAATGGTTGAACTAATTTACATTCCCACCAACAGTGTAAAAGCATTCCTATTTCTCCACAGCCTCGCCACCATCTGTTGTTTCTTTACTTTTTTTTTTTGTTTGTTTTCCTAAGA
Source organism: Homo sapiens (assembly GCF_000001405.40). NCBI lineage: Eukaryota > Metazoa > Chordata > Mammalia > Primates > Hominidae > Homo > Homo sapiens. The sequence continues at coordinate 98,445,603 of NC_000007.14, read as the reverse complement.
CGGAGTTTCATGCTTGTTGCCCAGGCTGGAGTGCAATGGCACGATCTTGGCTCACTGCAACCTCCACCTCCTGGGTTCAAGTGATTCTCCTGCCTCAGCCCCCCAAGTAGCTGGGATTACAGGCATGCACCACCACGCCTGGCTAATTTTTGTATTTTTAGTAGAGACGGGGTTTCTCCATGTTGGTCAGGCTGGTCTCTAACTACTGACCTCAGGTGATCCTCCTGCCTTGGCCTCCCAAAGTGCTGGGATTACAGGTGTGAGCCACCATGACCGACCGTTTCTTCACTTTTTAATAATCGCCATTCTGACTGGCGTGAGATGGTATCCACAATTGAGTAACTTGATCTTTTTTTTTTGAGACTGGGTCTTCCTTTGTTGCCCAGTCTGGAATGCAGTGACACAATTATAGCTCACGGCAGGCTCAACCTCCTGGGCTCAAGCGACCCTCCTGCCCCGGCCTCCCAGAGCACTAGGATTATAGTCGTGAGCTACCACACCTGACTATCTTGATTATTCTCATCTAGAAGGTGAGAAGAATGGAGCAAGGCTAGAATTGTGATTTTTTTTTATTTTTTTATTTTTTGAGACAGAGTCTCACTCTGTTGCTCAGACTGGAGTGCAGTGGCAGGATCTCAGCTCACTGCAACCTCCACCTCCTTGGTTCAAGTGATTCTCCCACCTCAGCCTCCCGAGTAGCAGGGATTACAGGTGTGCACCACTATGCCAGGCTAATTTTTGTATTTTTAGTAGAAACAGGGTTTCACCATGTTGGCCAGGCTGGTCTCGAGCTCCTGACCTCAAGTGATCCACCCTACTCGGCCTCCCAAAGTGCTGGGATTACAGGCATGAGCCACTGCACCCGGCTCATTTTTACTTTTTTGAGACAGGGTCTCATTCTGTCACCCAGGATGGAGTGCAGAGGCATGATCACGGCTCACCACAGCCCCTTGACTTCCTGGGCTCAAGCAGTCCTCCCACCTCAGCCTCCCGAGTAGCTGGGACTATAGGCACACGCCGCCATGCCCAGCTAATTTTTTGTATTTTTTGTAGAGATGGGTCTCACCATGTTGCTTAGGCTTGATTGATTTTTTAAAAAAAGAAAAATTCAAAGGCTCAGTCTCTCCTGTCAGCCACGATGGAGCATGTTTGGTTAATACTATGGTTCAGACACTGTCCCCATGTTATCGGTTTTCAGACATGATTTAAGGGGGGCGTCTGACTACTGTTTTGATTTGTCATGGCCACAGAGCGGCCTTTTGCCCGATGTCGATGATCTGCGAAATCATTTACATCTAACAGGAGAATACCCAGGCCCAGCCGTGAAAGTCCACAAGCCTGTGACACTTTTTTCTTTTTTACCATCATCCCTGGCCCAGCTTCCTGCAGTGGCCCCGTACCCCACCTCCCAACTTTGGCCTAATCTCCATAGAGCAGCCAGCGTGATCTGTTCTATCAGCAATGAGATCGTGCAGTCCTCTTCATAAACTACCAGTACCTTCTGTTGCAGATTGAATTGTGCCTCCCAGAAAGATACGGCCAAGTCCTGACCTCTAATATCTGTGAATGCGACATTATTTGGAAATAGGGTCTTTGCAGAGATAATTAAATTAAAGATCATGAGATGATATCATATTGGATTTCAGCCCTACATCCAAGGATCGGTGTTTTTGTTGTTGTTGTTGTTGTTGTTGTTTGGGGGGTTTTTTGGTTTTGTTTTGTTTTTTTGACAGAGTCTTGCTGTGTCACCCTGGCTGAGGAGTGTAGCAGCGTGATCTTGGCTCACTGCAACCTCCGCCTCCTGGGTTCAAGCAATTCTCCTGCCTCAACCTCCCGAGTAGCTGGGATTACAGGCACCTGCCACCACACCCAGATAATTTTTTTTTATTTTTAGTAGAGATGGGGTTTTGCCAAGTTGGCCAGGCTGGTCTCGAACTCCTGGCCTCAGGTGATCCACCCACCTCAGCCTCCCAAAGTGCTGGGATTACAGGCATGAGCCCACCGCGCCTGGCCTAGTGTCTTTTAAGAAGAGAAAATGGTCCGGGCACAGGACCTGCGCTGCCCCTGACACCAGGCACCCACAGGGGCCTTCTGGGGCCAGCCTTGGGCCACAGTCCACCTTCCTGCAGCCACAGACCCTGGGGCTGCTGAGTGCAGGGGACAAGGGATATTTTTCTCTGTTTTCTGGCATCTTTGCTATAACATTAGCATTTCATTGTGTCAGTAAACAATCCCAGGATGCAAAAGTGAAGAGAGTGGATCAAGAAATCCACTTTCTAAGCCAGGTGTTGCGTCTTGCACCTGTGGTCCCAGCTATGCGGGAGGCTGAGGTGGGAGGATCGCTTGAGCCCAGGAGGTTGAGGCTGCAGTGAGCTAGGATCACACCACTGCACTCCAGCCTGAGTGACAGAGTGAGACCCTATTAAAAAAAATTTTTTTTATTTACAAATTACAAAAAGGAGGCTGGGCACAGAGGCTCATGCCTGTAATTCTTGCACTTTGGGAGGCCAAGGCGGGAGGATCTCTTGAGCCCAGGAATTTGAGACCAGCCTGGGCAATATAGCAAGACCCCATCTCTACCCCCCAAAATACAAAAATTAGCCAGGCATGATGGCACACACCTATAGTCCCAGCTACTCAGGAGGCTGAGGTGGGAGGATCACCTGAGCCCAGGAAATCAAGCCTGCGGTGAGCCGTGGTCGTGCGACTACACTCTAGCCTGGTTGACACAGCAAGACCCTGTCGAAAATAAATAAATAAAAATAAAATTTTAAAAGGAAATTAAATTTCTAAAAAGGAAAGGGAGTGATTATAGTGAATTAGAATCAGAAAAGAGGGCAGGGTGCGACAGCTCACAACCCGTAATCTCAGCACTTTGGGAGGCTGAGACAGGAGGATCACTTGAGGCCAGGAGTTCAAGATCAGCCTGGGCAACATTGCAAGACCCTATCTCTACAATTAAAAAAAAATAGGCATGGTGGTGCACACCTGTAGTCCTAGCTACTTGGGAGGCTGAAGTGGGAGGATCATTTGAGCCCAGGAAGTGGAGACTGCAGTGAGCCGTGACCGTGCCACTGGGCGACAGAGCCTCCTGAGTAGCTGTCTCAAAAAAAAAAAAAAAAAGCATCAGGAATGAAAACATGAGCGGCTGAGCATGGTGGCTCATGTCTGTAATCCCAGCACTTTGGGAGGCAGAGGCAGGTGGATCACCTGAGGTCAGGAGTTCGAGACCAGCCTGGCCAACATGGTGAGACCCCATCTCTACTAAAATTACAAAATTAGCTGGGTGTGGTGGCGGACACCTGTAATCCCAGCTACTTGGGAGGCTGAGGCAGAAGAATTGCTTGAACTCGGGAGGCGGAGGTTGCAGTGAGCTGAGATCACGCCACTGCACTCCAGCCTGGGCGACAAGAGTGAAACTCCGTCTCAAAAAAAAGAAAAAAGAGAGAGAGAACATGAGCAACGCCCAGGAAGAAAGAAACTGGAGATGGGCAAGGTTGAAAATGAGTGAGAAAAGGGAAAATAAACTTCTCCACCAAGTGAGCCGGAGCCCGGGCCTGGAAGGGAAACTGCCCATAAGGGCCCCGCGACCTCCAATCCTCCCCTCTCCTCCTCCTGGTGGAAGACAGGACCTTGTGGTCAGTACAGGCTTAGGATTCAGACATCAGCAGTGATTTTCTATTTTCAAGTTCAAAAAAGGAAAAGAAAATAGAATAACTCTGGTTTCTTTGGCAACCCTCTTCTCCTCCATGGTCCTCTCGGCCCCTAGAATGCTGTAAATGGAGTTTAGGGCTGCAACTGGACCTCTCTTTCAAGCCTTAGGAGATTGTGTTTGCGTTTGTTGCTAGGTAGCGCTGAAGGTGAGATTTTGGGTCGAGAGCAGCCTCTGCCCCCAGAGGCATCAGATGCAGCTGGTTCGATGCCAATGGGAGGAACTTTTAGATAAATGATTCCATCTGCCCGGTCCATAGAAACAACGATTTGGGAAAAACATCTACCAGCTTGCTGTAGATGTGAATGAAGTTCTTTCTCAAATCTCACAATTAGGCCAGGCGCGGTGGCTCACGTCTGTAATCCCAGCACTTTGGGAGGCTGAAGCGGGCAAATCAGCTGAGGTCAGGAGTTTAAGACCAGCCTGGCCAACCTGGTGAAACTCCATCTCTACTAAAAATACAAAAATTAGCTGGGTGTGGTGGCAGGTGCCTGTAATCCCAGCTATTCAGGAGGCTGAGACAGGAGAATCACTTGAACCTGGGAGGCGGACATTGCAGTGAGCCAAGATCACACCACTGCACTCCAGCCTGGGTGACAGAGCAAGACTCTCTCTCAAAAAAAAAAAAAAAAAAAACACAAAGAAAAGAAAAGAAAAGATCTCACAATTAGCACCTGCCCTAAGAAGTCAGCATCCAGGAAAGCAAGATATGACTCACGAACCCTTCCTGGGGTTAGAATTGAGGGCCCTCCTCCCACCTCTTTTATTTTTTTTACTTTTATTTTTTAAGTTCAGGGGTACAAGTGCAAGTTTGTTATGTAGGTAAACTTGTGTCATGGGAGTTTGTTGTACAGATTATTTTATCACCCAGGTATTAAGCCTAGTACCCATTAGTTATTTTTCCTGATCCTGTCCCTCCTCCCACCCTCCACCCACCAGTGGACCCCAGTGTGTGTTGTTCTCCACTTTGTGTCCCTGTGTTCTTATCATTTAGCTCCCACTTATAAGTGAGAACATGTGGTATTTGGTTTTCTTTCCCTTAGTTTGCTGAGGATAATGGCCTCCAGCTCCATCCATGTCCCTGCAAAGGACATGATCTCATGATTTTTTATGACTGCATAGTATTCCACGATGTATATATACCACATTTCCTTTATCCAGTCTATCATTGATGGGTGTTTAGGTTGATTCTATCACATAAGAGATGTTTTACTATTTTTTTTTTTCTTTTTGAAACACAATCTCACTCTGTAACCCAGGCTGGAGTGCAGTGGTGCGATCTTGGCTCACTGCAAGCTCCACCTCCTGGGTTCAAGTGATTCTCCCACCTCAGCCTCCCGAGTAGCTCATATTACAGGCGTGCACCACCACGCCCAGCTAATTTTTGTATTTTTAGTAGAGACGGGGTTTCCCCATGTTGGCCAGGCTGGTCTTGAACTCCTGACCTCAGGTAATCTGCCCACCTCAGCCTCCCAAAGTGTTGGGATTACAGGTGTGAGCCACTGCACCCAGGTGGATGTTTTACTATTTATAAAACCGTTTTTGCAAACTTGGCTTTCACTACAGTCTCTAGGGTGAAAACTCACTCATGAATCTCTCTTCACATGACCCCAGCCCTGTGTGTGCAAGGGAAGAGGTTGCTGCATGGAGTTGGTCTGGTTTGGGGCCTGTTTGCTAGTACCTAGGTCCCTGTGCCTCAGAGGGCTCAAGTGTTTTTTGTATGTTCTGCTCTCCTTTGACCTAAGTTTCTACTGTACTTAGGCAGCAAGTTGGGACAATGTAGGGAGAATGGTACACAGGCCACACATGCCATTCCTCCTTGTTGGCCTCTGGGGCCAGCCCCTCCACTCTGGTCTCTTTTCTCTCAAGGGGCAGCCAGGCTGGCAGACCAGGCCATCAGGTCTTAGGCACTGGGTGCCAGTATTGTTCCATCTCGCTCTCTTCCTCTCTGCTTGCATCCTCTGGGGCAGGTTTATTTGAACCATGAGCCTTTTGTCCCCAATCCCTGGACCTGAGGAAGAAGGGGGCTCTGCAGGATCAAGCCTGCATCACAGACTTTCACCACTGGGATCTGGGACTCAAGGCCAGAGACACTTTCTTCCTTAGGGGCTGTATCCGGGAGTGGAGATTCATGAGGCCAGATGAGGGCATTGCTGGATTTCCTAATGTATCAGTCAGGAAAGGTTAGGTTATGCTGCAGTAACAAATAGCCCCAAAAATCTCAGTGGAGGGAAGGAAGTGGGAAAGGAAAGAAGAAGAGGAGAAGAAAGGAAAGAAGGAAGGAAGAAAGGGAGGGAAGGAGGAAGGAGGAGGGAGGAAGGAAAAAAGTAAGGCGGGAAGGAGGGAGGAATAGAAGTAGGAAATAAAGAAAGGAAAGAAAAAATAAAGGAGGAAAGAAAGGAAAGAAAGAAAGAAAGAAAGAAAGAAAGAAAGAAAGAAAGAAAGAAAGAAAGAAAGAAAGAAAGAAGAAAGAAAGAAGAAAGAAAGAAAGAAAAAGAAAGAAAGAAAGAAAAGAGAGAGAAAGAAAGACAGAAGGAGGGAGGGAAGGAAAGGAAGGAAGGGAGGGAGGGAGGGAGGGGAGGAGAGGAGGAAGGAAGGTAGAGGGGAGGAAGAGAGGGAGGAAGGTGGGTTTCTTGCCACCATCATTGTCAACTGCAGATCAGCAGTGGTTTTTCTCCCTGTCCTCCTTATTCTAGGATCAGGACTAAAGGGGCGGCCCCAATCTGGAATGTGATGGTCTCATGGCAGAGGGGAAGGGGTATGGTAGGATGAGAAAATGGCTCGTGAATTTTCTGCTGTAACACAGTGTGGATCACCTCTGCTCCCATCTCACAGCTGAGCCTGACGTCAGTGGGCTGGGAGGTACACCTCTCAGCAACAGGCCTGTAGGGAGGTGACATTGTGACGATCAAACAACCTGAGACATAGGACAAACAGACCTCCATTCTTTCCAGGCACTGAGAGCCTAACACATCCCGGAGACCCAGGAAATCAGGTCACATAGCTGGGCAGTGGTGATGCTGGGAGGGGACACCACCCCGGTGTCCCAGTGTGAGTTCCCCCAACAGCAGAGCCTGTGACAAGGATCGGGTGTGATTAATTCATCTGCAAGGAAAGAGAGTTGTGATAGGCATTCTTTGCATTGCTCTAAAGGAATACCTGAGGCAGGGTCATTAATAAAGAAAAGCAGTTTAATGGGCTTATGATTCTGCAGGCTGTACAGGAAGCATGTCAGGAGTATCTGCTTCTTGGGGGGCCTTGGGAAGCTTCCAATCATGGCAGAAGGCAACAGGGAGCCAGAGGGTTCCATGGCGAGAGTGGGAGCAAGTGAGAGAGAAGGGGAAGGTCCCAGACTTTGGGGTTTTTTTTTTGTTTTTTGTTTTTTTTGAGATGGAGTCTCAAAAAAATGGAGTCAGGAGTTCGAGACTAGCCTGGCCAACATGGTGAAACCCCATCTCTACTAAAAATACAAAAATTAGTCGGCCATGTAGGCAGGCACCTGTAATCCCAGCTACTCAGAAGGCTGAGGCAGGAGAATCGCTTGAACCCAGGAGGGAGAGGTTGCAGTGAGCCGAGATGGCACCATTGCACTCCAGCCTGGGCGACAGAGCGAGACAAAAAAAAGTTAAAAGGGACAGAATTTCTAGAAGGTTCTAGAAGGATCCACCGCCTCCACACCCCCGGTCTTCCTCTTCAGCCACTCAAGGCCGCCTGCCCACCTTCAGCACAAAGCTGCCACTTAACATTCATGTCTGCTCCTTTTTAAGGCCAATTCACATCTTGTCTCACTTAGCAGGCATAATTTCCTTTTTGTGACTAAAAATTCCTCTTTTTTTACGAGATTTTTTTCCTCCTTCCTCTCAGCTTGTCATCAGTATTCTGTAAATAGCCCAAGACAGAAAGCAATTAATTCACCTGCAAGAAACAGGGAATTCCTATTCAGAGATTAGACTTTTGCCCTCTTTTTTAACTAGAAAGTTCTATAGAGAGAACCACCTGGGCTTCATTTGTATAAAAATGACAGTGATTTTCCAAATTTCAGATTCATCCCATGAAAAGGTCTGACATTTGTGCCCTGGCTGTGAAAACGAAAGTTCTCACCTGCAAATGGAAGCCTGTCCTGTTTAAACTACAGTCTAATGAGAATGCCACATCCCAGTGGATTTTTCTACACAAAAAGGAGAGAAAACCTCAACTTTCCTCATGAGAGCCTGAGAATACAGCTTTTTCTCTCTAAGCATTTTCCTCCAGTCTAGCTTTTCTTTTTTTCTTTTAGAGTTGGGTGTCTGGCTATGTTGCTCAGGCTGGTCTTGAACACCTGGCCTCAAGTGACCCTCAAGTCCTGGGATTACAGGCATGAGCCACTGCGACCAGATTTTTTTGTTTGTTTTTGAGACAGGGTCTTCTTCTGTTCACCCCGGTTGGAGTGCAGTGGCGCCATCATAGCTCGCTGCAGCCTCGAACTCCTGGGCTCAAGCAATCCTCCCACCTCAGTCTCCCCAAGTGCTGGGACCACAGGTGTAAGCCACCACGCCCAGCCAGGTGTAGCTTAAATGAGAGTCACTCTGCCAAGAAATGGCCTGGCCAGAGCACTGACTCCTCTGCTTCTGAGGAGGTGCAGCCCACCTCTCCTTTCCCAACCGTCCCATACCCAACCCTCCTGTCACCTTCAGCAGGTCATGGGCGGGGCAGGTAGCCCACCAATACCCCAAAAGCCAACTGCATGCATCTCTTCCCAGATGCCCATTCAGTGACACCATGTGGATGGCTTGGAGCCAGTGCGATGGGAGAATTCACGAGGCAGAGTCAGCGGGCCGGGCGCAGTGGCTCAGGCCTATAATCTCAGCACTTTGGGAGGCCAAGGAGGGCAGATCACTTGAGGTCAGAAGTTCAAGACCAGCCTGGCCAACATGGTGAAACCCTGTCTCTACTAAAAATACAAAACCAGCCGAGGTGGTGGGCGCCTGTATTCCCAGTTACTCAGGAGACTGAGGCAGGAGAATCACTTGAACTTGGGAGGTGGAGGTTGCAGTGAACAGGCCACTGCACTCTAGCCTGGGCGACAGAGGGAGACTATCTCAAAAAAAAAAAAAAAAAAAGTCAGCAGAATGCTACAAGTCGCCATTTTTGGAGTGAGAAGCGGGTACGGGTTTACCAGTAGATCACTCTTCTGGGGAAGCTCTTTGGTGCAGACCACAAAGGACCACCTCTAAGGTTCAAGTGATCCTCCTGCCTCAGCCTCCCAAGTAGCTGGAATTACAGGTGCAAGCCACCGCACCCTGCTAATTTTTGTATTTTTGTAGAGATGGGGTCTCATGGTATTGGCCAGGCTGGTCTTGAACTCCTGACCTCAGGTAATCCTCCCACCTCGGCTGTCCAAAGTCCTGGGATTACAGTCATGAGCCACGGCACCTGGCCCCTTGCTAATTTTTAAACTTTTTTGTAGAGATGGAGTCTCACTATGTTGCCCAGGCTGGTCTTGAGCTCTTGGCCTCAAGCAGTCCTCCCGCCTCAGCCTCCCAAAGTGCTGGGATTACAGGCATGAGCCACCATATCCAGCCCCAGAAGGGCAATTATTACACAGTGACAGTGGAAGGAACAGACACAGCCGGTGGGTGGTGGGAAGATAAGAGCATTCACTCTGATGGCTTCTAATAACATTAGAGATGTAAGCTTCAGCTGAGCAGAAGGGAGGGAGGGGAGGAAGCACAGGAAGTTTGAGGAGAGAGACAGGAAGTATGAAATCGCTGTTGCAAACTTCCTGGGGGAATGTAGAGGGGTTGCCGGGCAGCCCATTTGAAGTCTGTGAAATTAAAGTGAAAGCCCAGCCAGGCCGAGCACGGTGGCTCACGCCTGTAATCCCAGCACTATGAGAGGCCGAAGTGGGTGGATCACCTGGGGTCAGTAGTTCGAGACCAGCCTGGCCAACATGGTGAAACCCCATCTCTACTTAAAATATAAAAATTAGCCAGGCGTGGTGGCGGGCACCTGTAATCACAGCTACTCAGGAGGCTGAGGCAGGAGAATGGCTTGAACCCTTAAATGGTTCCCCCCAGCAAGAGTGACATGAACGAGCTGGATCTATTGCATCTGCATCTGGACAGCCAAGCCCCACTGGGAAAGCACACACTCAGCTAAACTTTCACTTTATTTATTCATCTATGTATTCATTGCAGTGAGCCAAGATCGTACCACTGCACTCCAGCCTGGGTGACAAGAGCGAAACTCTGTCTCAAAAAAAAAAGTGAAAGTGCAGCCAGATATTGTGGCTCACACCTGTAATCCCAGCACTTTGGGGGCGTTGAGGTAAGGAGGATTGTTTGAGGCCAGGAGTTCAAGAGCAGCCTGGACAACATGGCAAGACCTCATCTCTACAGAAAATTAGAAAATTAGCTGGGCGCAGTGTGGTGCATGTCTGTGATCCCAGCTCACAGGGAGGCTGAGGTGGGAGGATCGCTTGAGCCCAAGAGGTGGAGGCTGCAATGAGCTCTGCTCACACCACTGAACTCCAGCCTGGGCAACAGAGTGAGACTCTGTCTCTAAAATAAATAAATAAATAAGTAAATGAATAAATAGACGAATAAATAAAGTGATGCTTGACTGTCCAGGTGCAGATGCAAGAGATCCGGCCCATTTGTGTCACCCTTGCTGAGGGGAACAATGTCAGGAGAAATACAAAGGAGTTTTTTTTTTGTTTGTTTGTTTGTTTTGAGACAGAGTCTTCCTCTGTGGCCCAGGTTGGAGTGCAGTGGTGTGATCTCGGCTCACTGCAACCTCCAACCTCCCAAATTCAAGCGAGTCTCCCTCCTCAGATTCCCGAGTAGCTGGGATTACAGGCGTCCGCCACCACACCTGGCTAATTTTTATATTTTCAGTAGAGATGGGGTTTTGCCATGTTGGCCAGGCTGGTCTCGAACTCCTGACCTCAAGTGATCCACCTGCCTCGGCCTCCCAAAGTGCTGCAATTACAGGTGTGAACCACCTCGCCCTGCAGGAGTTGATTTTAATTATGAACCACGATTAAGGAAGGCAATGACCATATAGAGAGTGGCAGTGAGGCGTTGAGGCCAAGCAGAGAGTTCTGGAACGAGAAAGGAGAGGTCAGCCGGGAGCTGTCTGAAGTCTCCTTTCCGGGTGATGAAGGGTCCCAGGTGTGACCGCGGGGAGGGGTAGCTGAGAGGCACATTGGAAAAGCTCACTGGAGCTGCAGCTGTCCTGGTGCCCAGAGAGACTGGGAGTAGCCTGGCCTGTCCACATGGGTGATGAACGCCCTCGGGCACAAGACGGCAAAAAGAATGGAGAACACGGTCAACCAGGAGACCAGGTCCTCAATGGATGAGGAGGTACAAGCGGAAGACCAGCAGACAGCAGTCACCGAGAGGGTCAGCAGGTGACTCTGCTGCCTTTGGAAGAGAAATATCTTGGATGTGACCACAGGAAGCATGGAGGATATGGACCCTACCTTAGCTTCTGTGGTACATGGGGTATAAAAGGAGAAAGAGTCCCTGCACCAGACAGTGCCGGGGGAAGTGGGGTCCTGAGGGACCAGCGTGGTCAGAGGGAGCGGACCCTCCTGCACGAGACTGAGTGGCGGCTCCAGAGCCGATGATGTCATCAGAGGAGCTGGGGCAGGATGGGGGGTGAGGAGGAGGGTCCAGTCACATTAGGCAATGCACAGATCTCGGGGGAGGGCCCATGGCACAGAGGCTCTGTCCTTTGAGGGTGACTGAACCAACAAGGGGAAAGCCAGGCATGATGAAAATAGCCGTGGATGGCCGGGCATGTTGGCTCACGCCTGTAATCCCAGCACTTTGGGAGGCCGAGGCTGGTGGATCACCTGAGGTCAAGAGTTTGAGACCAGCCTGGCCAACATGGGGAAACCCCGTCTCTACTAAAAATACAAAAATTAGCCAGGCATGGTGCCAGGTGCCTGTAATTCCAGCTACTTGGGAGGCTGAGGCAGGAAAATCGCTTGAACCTGGGAGGTGGAGGTTGCAGTGAGCTGAGATCCGGCCACTGCACTCCAGCCTGGGCAACAAGAGCGAAACTCTGTCAGGAAGGGAAGGGAAAGGGAGGGGAGGGGAGGGGAGGGAAGAAAGAAAGAGAGAGTGGAAGAAAAGAAGAAAGGAAGGAGGGAGGGAGGGAGGGAGGGAGGGAAAGAGAAAGAAAAGAGAAAGAAAGGAAAGAAAGAAAGAAAGAGAAAGAAAGAATGAAAGAAAGAAAGAAGGAAAGAAAGAAAGAAAGAAAGAAAGAAAGAAAGAAAGAAAGAAAGAAAGAAAGAAAGAAAGAAAGAAAGAAAGAAAATAACGATGGATGACCTCAGACGGCCACAGGTGACATTTCAAGCCGTGAGTTTGAAGAGTGTGGGTGCTCCAGGCAACTGTGGGGTGACTGCTCCTCCTGGTGGCCATATTTGGCTAAAGCAAGTACAAGTCGAGACACACCTGGTGCCATCTCCTGAAAGCAACAGTAACCACGACAACAAGGCCAGGTGCAGAACCCAGGTCTCCCCTCATTATTGGAACCTGTGGAGAGATCATGAACCTATTCCCCAATAAGTTAATTTTCAGGGGTAAAAAAAAAACCAACAATCTCCCACAGTGTCACTTTTCCCAGGAACATGTGTACATGAATGGCTTAAAAACTGTTGCCTTTGACAGAGAAATGTACCAACCCCCAATTGTAGAATATTTAATTGAGGAAAGATCTCATTAACAGATGTAAGTGTAGAGTCTCAGCTTCAGAATTTCCCTTCAGTGTTTTCTTATAAAAACTTTTGAGGTGTGGGGCTTACACCTGTAATCCTAACACTTTGGGAGGCCGAGGTGGGAGGATCGCTTGAGGACAAGAGTTTGAGACCAGCCTGGGTAATTAGCCAAATGTGGTGGAGCGCACCTGTAGTCCCAGCTTCCTGGGAGGCTGAGAAGGGAGCTTCCCTTGATCCCAGGAGTTCAAGGCTGCAGTGAACTAGGATCACATCGCTGCACTCCAGCCTGGGAGACAGAGAGAGACCCTGTCTCTAAAAAATAAATGAATTATGAGGCATGAGAATGGTATGAACCTGGGAACCAGAGCTTGCAGTGAGCAGAGATCACGCCACTGCACTCCAGCCTGGGCGACAGAGCGAGACTCTGTCTCAAAAAAAAAAAAAAAAGAATTAAAAATTTTTAGGAAATGTTCAAACTTAATGAAAAGTTGAAAGAATTTTGCAGTGAACATCCATATACCCACCCCTGAATTCTACAATTAACATTTCATTATGCTCAGTTTATCATATAATCTATTCAACCATCCATCCCTCAAACCATTCAATTTTGAGGCATTTCAAAATGAATTGTGGCAGTAGCACATTTCACCCCTAAACACTTCAGCACACATATTATAACAAGACTCTCATATTTATTTATAGTCCTTTTTTCTTTAGATATAAAATATGCATATAGGTCAGGCACGGTGGCTCACTCCTGTAATCCCAGCACTTTGGGAGGCCAAGGCGGGTGGATCACTTGAGTTCAGGAATTCGAGATCAGCCCGAGCAATATGGTGAAACCCTGTTTCTACTAAAAATACAAAAATTAGCTGGGCATGGTGGTACACACCTGTAATCCCAGCTACTCAGGAGGCTGAGGTGGGAGAATCACTTGAACCCGGGAGGCAGAGATTGCAGTGAGCCGAGATGGCACCACTACACTCAGAGCGAGACTGTCTCAGAAAAAAAGACAGAAAGCACATAAGTCTCTTCCTTTTTGCTTCGATGTGTTCCTGAAGATCATGTTGCAATATGGATCATATTTTTCCAATGAATAAACTTGCAATCCAGACCAGAGACAGAGCATCATCTAAATCATGGCTTTAAATAATAACATAGCATAAAAGAAAAGAATCAAATATTCTAGGCTAGGCATGGTGGCTCATGTAATCCCAGCACTTTGGGAGGCCAAGGCAGGAGGATCACTTGAGTTCAGGAGTTCAAGACCATCATGGGCAACACAGTGAAACCCCTGTCTCTACAAAAATAAAATTTGTAATGAATATAGTAAAATGTACAAATCTTATGTATACCACTCAATAAATTCTAACAAATGCATGCACCCATATAACCCATATTTCCATCAAGACAGGACATCACCATCATCCCACAACTTCCCCTGTATACCTTCTCAGTCGATCCACTCCCACCTGCCAATCAGGCAACCACCGATCTGATTATTCCTGTTATAAATTAGTTTCAGCCTGTTCTACAACTTAACATAAATTGAATCATAAAGTATGGACTCTGGTGTAGCAGCATCAGAATTCAAAAAGCTACCCAGAGGCCAGGTGCAGTGGCTCACACCTGTAATCCCAGCACTTTGGGAGGCTGAGGCAGACAGATCACTTGAGGTCAGGAGTTCAAGACCAACCTGGCCAACATGGCAAAACCCCGACTCAACTAAAAATACAAAAATTAGCCAGGTATAGTGGCGTGTGCCTGCAGTCCCAGCTACTTGGGAGATTGAGGTGGGAGAATCACCTGAACCCGGGAGGCAGAGGTTGTGGTGAGCTGAGATTGTACCACTGTACTCTAGCCTGGGTAACAAAGTGAGACCCTGTCTCAAAAAAGAAAGAAAAAGAAAAGAAAAAGGTACCCAGGTGATTCTAGGCTGGGAACTTTTGCTCAGACCCAAGCCTGTTCCCAGGTTCCAGGTGACAGCAATTTGGCTCTGGTCTGCGGTCACAGCTAATTGGCTACAGATCTGTGACTAGATCTCAGGTCTCCTTGCTGTTCACCCTCTGTTTACTGTGCAACAACAGGGTTTCTTCTAGAAGAGTAGTTCTCAACGTTAGCACCCATTATATTCTCTGGAGGTCCATACCTCTGGGATAGGGCTCAAGAATCTGCATTTTTGGTCAGGCACAGTGGCTCACACCTGTAATCCCAGCACTTTGGGAGGCCGAGGTGGGAGGATCGCTTGAACCCAGAAGTTCAAGACCAGCCTGGGCAACATGGCGAGACCCCGTCTCTACAAAAAAAATACAAAAATTAGCTGGGCGTGGTAGTGCGCGCCTGGAGTCCCAGCTACTTGGGAAGCTGAGGTAGGAGGATCACTTGAGCCCAGCGGGTGGAGTTTGCAGTGGGCTGAGATTGCACTACTACACTCCAGCCTGGGCAACAGAGCAAGACTCTGTCTCAAAAAATAAAAACGAATTTGCATTTCTAATCAGCTCCCAGGTGATGATGAATCTACAGATTCAGGGTTTGCAGCTGAGAACCACTGTTCTAAAAGCCAGTTATGTAAAATTAGCTGGGCGTGGTGGCGGGCACCTGTAATTCCAGCTACTCGGGAGGCTGAGGCGGGAGAATCACTTAAATTTGGGAGGCAGAGGTTGCAGTGAGCCGAGATCGTGCCTCTACATTCCAGCTTGGGAGACAGAGCAAGACTCTGTCTCAAAAAATAATAATAAATAATAATAATAAAATAAAAGCCAATTGCAATTACTGTTGGATTTCCATTGGAAAGACTGTTGGAAACCAACCTGTCATTTCTTTTTTTTTTCTTTTTTTTGAGACAGAGTCTCTCTCTGTCCCTAGGCTGGAGTGCAGTGGCACGATCTCAGCTCATTGCAAGCTCCGCCTCCCAGGTTCACGCCATTCTCCTGCCTCAGCCTCCCGAGTAGCTGGGACTACAGGTGCCCACCACCACACCCGGCTAATTTTTTGTGTTTTTAGTAGAGACAGTGTTTCACCGTGTTAGCCAGGATGATCTCGATCTCCTGACCTTGTGATCCGCCCGCCTCGGCCTCCCAAAGTCCTGGGATTAAAGGCGTGAGCCACGTGCCTGGCCAAACCAACCTGTCATTTCTACATCACAACAAGAAAGAGTTGGGGTGAGCTAGTCTCTAATGGTGACCACGTGACTGTGATGAGTCCTGACCCCACGCTTCCTGAAGATCTTTCTTAACATCCCTGCTCGGCAACCATTCATCAAGACTTCCTTGCGTGTGTTTCAGCAAAAGTATTCCCACCTCGCTTCATTGTCTCTTTATTTTTTTAATTTTTATTTATTTATTTATTTTTTGAGACGAGTTTTGCTCTTGTTGGCCAGGCTGGAGTGCAATGGCATGATCTCGGCTCACTGCAACCTCCACCTCCTAGGTTCAAGCGATTCTCCTGCCTCAGCCTCCCGCGTAGCTACAATTACAGGCACCCACCACCACGCCCGGCTAATTTTTGTATTTTTAGTAGAGACAGGGTTTCACCATGTTGTCCAGGCTGGTCTCAAACACATGACCTCAGGTGATCCGCCTGCCTTAGCCTCCCAAAGTGCTGGGATTACAGGCGTGACCCACCGCGCCCCGCCAGCCTCATTTTCTCTTTAACTGGGGGGAGTCTTCCTCTTCTCTCTGCTGACTCATTGACATGCGTATCTCACTGTGGCTGGGGCTCCTCCTCCATTCAGCCTAGTTAATCTACTTCCAAGGGCTGGGAGCAGCCCAGTGCAGAACTATCCCCCAGGACAGAGCCCCCCACCACTGCTCCATAGGCAACATGGGGTGAAAGAGATAGTTTTAGGGCAACATACTATACCTTTTTTTTTTTTTTTTTGAGATGGAGTCTGGCTCTGTTGCCCAGGCTAGAGTGCAGAGATGTGATCTCGGCTCACTGCAATCTCCGCCTCCCAGGTTCAAGTGATTCTCCTGCCTCGGCCTCCCAAGTAGCTGAGATTACAGGCACCCACCACCTTGCTCAGCTAGTTTTTGTATTTTTAGTAGAGATGGGGTTTCACCATGTTGGCCAGGCTGATCTCGAACTCCTGACCTCTGGTGGTCCTCCCACCTCGGCCTCCCAAAATGCTGGGATTACAGGCGTGAGCCACCATGCCCGGCCCCATCCTATTTTTTTAAATACTTCTGAATTGATTTTAGTGTACCTTAGGAAAATAGCGAACCCATGAATTCACACACACTATACATTATTTAAACTGTTTCCCCTCTAAATAAATTTAAGTTTAAAAAAGAAATTGATTGGAAAGACCAATATTGATGGACTTATAAAAACAGGAGCCTGGCTGGGCGCAGTGGCTCACACCTATAATCCCAGCACTTTGGGAGGCTGAGGCAGGCAGATCACGAGGTCAGGAGATCAAGACCATCCTGGCTAACATGGTGAAACCCCGTCTCTACTAAAAATACAAAAAATTAGCCAGTCACGGTGGCGGGCACCTGTAGTCCCACCTAACCCGGAGGCTGAGGCAGGAGAATGGCATGAACCCAATAGGCAGAGCTTGCAGTGAGCCGAGATCGCGCCACTGCACTCCAGCCCGGGCGACAGAGCGAGACTCCGTCTCAAAAAAAAAAAAAAAAAAAATCAAAAACAAAACAGGAGCCTGAGCTGAGCCCAGTGGCTCACACCTGTAATCTAAGAGCTCTGAGAGGCTGAGACAGGAGGATTACTTGAGGCCAGGAGTTTGAGACCAGCCTGGGCAACAGAGCAAGACCCCATTTCTTCCAAAAGACATAAAAAAATTACCTGGGCATGGTGGCTTCTGTCTAGTCCCAGCTATTCAGGAGGCTGAGGAGGGAGGATTCCTTGAGCCCAGGAGGTTGAGGCTACAGTGACTTATGATTGCACCAACACACTTCAGCTTGAGCAACAGAGCAAGACCCTATCTCAAAAACAAATAATAACAACAACAAAAACAGGGACTTACAGGGATGTCAAAAAGGGAAAGGATAAGAGTTTGCCCATGATCTGAGAATTGCTGCTTCAGTGGATTCCAGGGAAAGGTAAACGTGGAGACTCAAAGTGTGGTGTCTCCTGTTAGGAAAACTCATGTTCTTTTCCTGCAAGCTTTAAGTCATTTCATGAAGACATAAAAGCAATTCTAGTTATTTTGCATTTGTATTTTGTGACTTCTTTTGCATATTATTCTCATAACTCACAATAGCATACTTATTTGCCTTAAAATATGTGAATTTACATAGATGCTGCAATTTTAAAGTGTAATTTTTATAACATTTTGGGACTAGAATTGTTTTTCCTGAAGGGATACATTTTCTGTTTTATAATGAAAGTCAGCTGGAATATAAGATTCTGCACATAATAGATTACTTTAGAGACAAATTTTCAATATCTTTTTACTTATAAATGAGTTGTGTTGTTATTAAAAAGCAACTTTATTCAATTATGTTTATTTCTTTGTTTTATATTCTGCCTCATTTTGTGTCGATCTGAGGCAACTTAGAGTGAGAATACATATGATAAAATGAAAATTAAAAAAACAAAAACTAGGAGTTAAAAGTAAGAAGTCAAGATAAATAAAACAAACACAAGCTCTCCAGACCCAAATGATTAAGAGTTGAGTTTCAGGCCAGGGGCATTGGCTCACGCCTGTAATCCCAGCACTTTGGGAGGCCGAGGTGGGCAGATCACGAGGTCAGGAGATCAAGACCATCCTGGCCAACATGGTGAAACCCTGTCTCTACTAAAAATACAAAACTTAGCTGGGCGTGGTGGTGCATGCCTGTAATCCCAGCTACTCGGGAGGCTGAGGCAGGAGAATCGCTTGAACCCAGGAGTCAGAGGTTGCAGTGAGCGGAGATCACGCCACTGCACTCCAGCCTGGCGACATAGTGAGACTCTGTCTCAAAAACAAACAAACAAACAAACAAAAATTTATCTTTATAAAGAGAACAATGGGGTTTTGGTTTTGGTTTGTTCTTTTTGAGACAGAGTTGCGCTCTTGCTGCCCAGGCTGGAGTGCAGTGGCTCGATCTCGGCTCACTGCAACCTCTGACTCCTGGGTTCAAGCGATTCTCCTCCCTCAGCCTCCGGAGTAGCTTTGCAGGTGCCCACCACCACACCCAGTTAATTTTTGTATTTTTGGTAGAGTCAGAGTTTCACCATGTTGGCCAGGCTGGTCTTGAACTCCTGACCTTAGATGATCCACCCACCTTGGCCTCCCAAAGTGCTGGGATTACAGACATAAGCTACCGTGCCCAACTAGGTTTTTAAATTTTATTTTATTCTATTTATTTATTTTGAGGCAGATTCTTGCTTTGTTGCCCAGGCTGGGATACAGCGACAAAATCAAGGCTCACTGCAGTCTCGACCTCCAAGCCATCTCTCACCTCAGCCCCTGCAAGTAGCTGGGACTACAGGTACGCGCCACCACGTCTGGCTAATTTTTATATTTTTTGTAGAGACAGGGTTGCACTATGTTGCCCAGGCTTGTCCTGAACTCCTGGGTTCAAGCGATCCTCCTGCCTCGGCCTCTCAAACTACCAGGATTACAGGCATGAGCCATCATGCGTGGCTTATTTTAAAGTTTGTTGTTGTTGTTGTTTTTTCTGAGACAGAGTGTCATTCTGTCACCCAGACTAAAGTGCAGTTGGTGGCACAATCATAGCTCATTGCAGCCTTCAACTCCTGGGCTCAAGGAATCCTCTCACCTCAGCTTTCCAAATAGCTGGGACTACAGGCACGGGCCACCACACTTGGCTAATTTTTTAATTTATTTTTATAGATAAGGTGTCACTATGTTATCCAGGCTTGTCTCGAACTTCTGGACTCCAGCGATCCTCCCACCTTGGCCTCCCAAAGTGCTAGGATTACAGGCATGAGCCACTGCACCTAGCCTAAACATTTTAAAATGACAATAATTGTACATATTCATGTGCCACATAGTTACGTTGTGATACATAGAATGTATAGCAATCAGAATGCAGTGGCTCAATCATAGCTCACTGCAGCCTCCACCTCCTGGGCTCAAGCAATCCTCCCACCTCAGCCTCCCAAGTAGCTGGGACTACAGGTTCATGCCAGGTAGCCCAGCTAATTTTTTAATTTTTTTGTAGAGATGAGGTCTCGCTATGTTGCCCAGTCTGTTCTCAGAGTAATTAGCAAATCCTTCATCTCAAACATGTATCATTTCCTTGTGTTGGAAAGGTTCCATCTCCTCCTTCTAGCTATTTGGAATTATATATTATTGTGAACTATAGTCATCCTACAGTGGTATGAAACACTAGGACTTATTCCTCCCATCTAGCGGTAATTTTTTTTTTTTTTTTTTTTTTTGAGACGGAGTCTTGCTCTATCACCCAGCTGGAGTGCAGAGGCACAATCTCGGCTCACTGCAACCTCCGCCTCCCGGGTTCAAGTGATTCTTCTGCCTCAGCCTCCCGAGCAGCTGGGTCTACAGGTGCGCCACCACGCCCAGCTAATTTTTCATTTTTAGTAGAGACAGGATTTCACCATATTGACCAGGCTGGTCTCGAACTCCTGACCTCGTGATCCGC
The DNA here is from genome assembly GCF_000001405.40 of Homo sapiens. Lineage (NCBI taxonomy): Eukaryota > Metazoa > Chordata > Mammalia > Primates > Hominidae > Homo > Homo sapiens. The sequence goes on along the minus strand of NC_000007.14, from coordinate 98,425,613 downwards.
CCAGCTCAGCCTCCCAAAGTGCTGGGATTACAGGCATGAGCCACCGTGCCTGGCCCCTAGCTGTAATTTTTAAACAAATTTAACAAATCTCTCTCTTTCCCCTACCCTTCCCAGACTCGAGTATTCTCTCTTCTACTTTCTACTTCTACAAGATCAACTTTTTTTAGCTTTCAGAGTGAGAACATGCGGTGTTTAACTTTCTGTTCCTGGCTTATAGAGAAGAGTGTTTTAAGACATTAAACTGTTGATACCATCTTTCCATCAACAACTCCCAAATTTATATTCTCCTGACTCCAGACTCATACATCCAACAGCCACCCACATGCCTCCACTTGGGGTCCAATAGACATTTTAAACTCAACACGGCCAAAACCAACTCTGATCTTCCCCCCATGAAACCCACTCCATCTGTAACCTCCCCCACGCTTCAGTTGACAGCAATTTCATCCTTCTTGGAAGGATGGGGCCAAAAGCCTTGAATCTCTCCCATCCTTCATTGAATCTATCATGAAATAGTATTGGTTCTATCTTGAAATTATAAGGCCAGGTGTGGTAGCTCAAGCGTATAATTCCAGTGCTTTGGGAGGCTAAGGTGGGAGGATCCCTTGAGGCCAGGATTTTGAGACCAGCCTGGGCAACATAGTGAGACTCCCCTCTCATCTCTACAAGAAAATTTAGAAATTAGCCAGGCATGGTGGCGTGTGCCTGTGGTCCCAGCTACTGGGGAGGCTGAAGTGGGAGGATCGCTTGAGCCAAGGAGGTCGAGACTGCAGTGAGCTGTGATTGCCCCACCTGCACTCCAGCCTGGGTGACAGGGAGAGACCCTGCCTTGGAAATAAACAAATGAAATAAACAAAATAAAATATCCAGGATCTGTCCACCTGGACACTTGTCCCCACCTCTGCTGTCACTGCCCAGTGTGAGCCACAGATTGCTGTCTCCTGAAATATACAAGTGCCCCCCAACTTCCATCCTTCCATCCTGCCCCACCCCTGCATGCTGTCTATCTCTCCCCAGATGTCAGAGAGATCCTTTACAAACATAAATCATATGTCAGGCTAGGCGCAGTGGCTCACACCTGTAATCCCAGCACTTTGGGAGGCCGAGGCGGGTGCATCACCTGAGGTCGGGAGTTCAAGAGCAGCCTGACCAACACGGAGAAACCCCATCTCTACTAAAAATATAAAATTAGCCGGTCATGGTGGCGCATGCCTGTAATCCCAGCTACTTGGGAGGCTGAAGCAGGAGAATGGCTTGAACCCGGGAGGAGAAGGTTGCAGTGAGCCAAGATCATGCCATTGTACTCCAGCCTGGGCAAAAAAAGCGAAACTCTGTCTCAGGATGAATAAATAAATAAATCATATCATGTCATGTTTGGGTTCCAATCCCTACCATGGTTCCCAAGTTCACGCCGAAAACATGGTGACATCCTCCCGTGGCCATGAGGCTCCACATGACCTGGCCCCTCTTATTTCTCTGACCTCACTTCTCACCTGGTTCACCCACCACCCGCTTGATCTTCCTGGAATACATCAGACACACCTCCAACCTTTGGTGTATCCCTGGCTGCTCCCCTGCCTGGGACCCCCTTCACGCCAGGTACCTGCACAGCTTACTGCCTTCTTCCTTTTCAAATATTACTTTCTCAAAGAAGCCCACCTTGATCACATCTTCACCATTCCATCTTCCTTCCCCTCCACCCTTTCCGTCCCTTTTTTTTTTTTTTTTGAGACAGGGTCTTGCTCTGTTGCCCAGGCTGGAGTGCAGTGGCTCAAACACAGCTTACTGCAGCCTCAGCCTTCCTGGCTCAAGCCGTCCTCCTACCTCAGGCTCCTGAGTAGCTGGGACCACAGGTGCACACCACCATGCCCGGTTATTTTTGGGTTTTGTTAGAGATGGGGCCTTGCTATGTTGTCCAGGCTGGTCTTGAATTCCTGAGCTCAAGCAATCCTCCTGCCTCAGCCTCCCAAAGTGCTGGGATTACAGGCATGAGCCACCACACCTAGTCCCCAGCAATACCATTGATCCTGCTCAACATTTTCTTTTCTCCATTGCTCTAATCTCCTAGCAATCTATAAAATTCTATGATCTTCTTATTGTTGCATCAGTCAGAACAGGCCAGGTTATACTGCTGTAACATACACTGCAAACCCCAAAATCTCAGTGATGTAAAAAAATGTTTATTTCTCACTCATGCTTCATGACTCAGGGATCTATACTGATTAAACAGACTTCATTTTAAATATTTCCAGTTCTCATGCCTGGGGCAGAGGGAAAGCTCTAGGGGGCCTCTCACCAGCAATTAAACGCTCAGCCCTGAAGTATGGCATCACCACTCCTCACAATTCATTGGCCAGAACTGGTCACATGATTTCAGCCAACCATAAGAGAAGCAGGAAGTAAAATTGTACCATGACTGGGCTCCATGGCTCAAGCCTGTAATCCCAGAATTTTGGGAGGCCAAGGTAGGAGGATCGCTTGGGCTCAGGAATTCAAGACTAGCCTGAGCAACATAGCAAGGCCTCACCACTACTTAAAAAAAAAAAAAAAAAAAGAAAAGAAAATTTAAAAATTTGTGGGTTTTTTTGTTTGGTGTTTTTTTTTGTTGTTGTTTGCAGTTTTTTTGTTTGTTTGTTTGTTTTTTGTTTTTTTAGGTGGAGTCTCGCTGCAGTGCCCAGGCTGGAGTGCAATGGCACAATCTTGGCTCACTGCAACCTCCGCTTCCCAGGTTCAAGTGATCCTCCTGCCTAAGCCTCCCAAGTAGCTGGGACTAAAGGTCCATGCCCAGCTATTTTTTTGTGTGTTTTTAGTCTACCATATTGACCAGGCTAGTCTCGAACTCCTGACCTCAGGTGGCCCACCTGCCTTGGCCTCCCAAAGTGCTGGGATTACAGGCATGAGCTGAGCCACCATGCCCAGCCAAAAAAAATTTTCTACTAATTAAAGAAAAATTAAAAATCCTACCATGTACCAAGAAGGGGGAGTATTTGAAATATTTAGAGAACAGCACTAATGACTACTACAGTTTGTCCATTTTTATCACTTGTCTTCCCCCTTTAAAAGGTAAACTACACAAAAGCAAGTATCCCCAGCACCTAGAACAGTGCCTAGCACATAGGAGGTGCTCAGTAAATATTTTTTTTAGTAAGTGGATGGATTACATTATTATATTCACATCTGGAATTGAAAGTTAAGAGCTAATGTAAACTCCTTTTTTTTTTCTTTTTGAGACAAGGTCTCGCTCTGTCACCCAGGTTGGAGTGTAGTGGTGTGATCATGGCTCACTGCAACCTCAGCCTCTTGGGCTCAGTGGATCCTCCCACCTCAGCCTCCTGAGTAGCTGGGACTACAGGCACGCACCACCACACCTGGCTAATTTTGGGTGGGGGGCGGGGCGGGGGTTGTTAGAGACAGGGTCTTGCTATGTTGCCCAGGCTGATCTCAATCTGCTGGGTTCAAGCGATCCTCCTGCCTTAGCTTCCCAAAGTGCTGGGATTACAGGCGTGAGCCACTGCCTCTGGCCAAAGCCCAATTAAACATATACACTGCAAACATGAAGGACATGTTCTTAATCTATTCCTGTGGTGTTCTTGAAGCCCATGAAATTGATTTCAAAAAAATTTTTAAGAAGGGGTCTTGTAACGTTCACCAGGCTCTCAAAGATACCTCTAAAACAGATCAGAAACAAGTGATCCACTTTGGGAGGCCAAGATGAGTGGATCACTTGAGGCCAGAAGTTCAAGACCAGCCTGGCCAACGTGGTGAAACCTTGTCTCTACTAAAAATACAAAAATTAGCTGGGTGTGGTGGCTCATGCCTGCAGTCTCAGCACTTTGGGAGGCCATGGCGGGAGGCTCAGTTGAGGCCAGGAGCTCAAGACCATCCTGGCCAACATGGTGAAACCCCATCTCTATTAAAAATACAAAAATTCGCCGGGGTTGGTGGTGCACGCCTGTAATCCCAGTACTTGAGAGACTGAGGCACGAGAATCGTTTGAACCGGGAGGCGGAGGCTGCAGCGAGCCGAGATCGTGCCCCTGCACTCCAGCAACAGAGATCCTGTCTGGAAAAAAAAAAAAGTGTTTAATTAGTTGGGTATGATGATGCACACCTATGATCCCACCTACTCGAGAGGCCGAGGTGGGAGGATTGCTTGAGCCCAGGAGGATGAGGCCGTAGTGAGTTGTGATTGCGTTACAGTACCCTAGCCTCGGAAACAGGGTGAGACTCTGTCTCAGAAAAAAAAAAAAAAGATAACAGTTGAGTCATTTCACCTGTTCGTGCCTCAGTCTCCTCGTCTATGCAGCAGACCTGGGGCGGGGATCAGCTAACAGGTGCTGGCTATACCGGCAGGTGATTCCCGAAAGCTGGACCCACTCAGGGAAGGTGCGACGCGCTTACCTGTGCAGCCAGCGCGCCATCTAGTGGACGCAGTGGGCAGTCAGCGCAGCTCCCCACACACCTGCCCCTCCTGACTCCCAGGCTACCGCTAGGGCTCAGGAAGGTTTGACGGACTCCAGTTCTATGAAACCGTAGCGCAAGGCAGGCCCCTTAGCCTTCCCTGCAGGGGAGAGTGGAACTCCAGGGCTGCTGCCTGTCACGATCCTCTCCTTTCGTCCATCCACAACTCTGATATAGCACACTCAGGAAGAATAAGACTGGACAGGTGTGGAGAGGGAGAAATTGACTTAGCACACTATTTATTTATTTATTTTGAGACAGTGTTCGAGATCAGCCTGGGCAATATGATGAAACCCTGTTTCTACTAAAAATACAAAGATTAGCCGGGCGTGGTGGTGCACACCTGTAATCCCAGCTACTCAGGAGACTGAGGCAGGAGAATCGCTTTAACCTGGGAGGCAGAGGTGGCAGTGAGCCGAGATCACACCATTGCATTCCAGCCTGGGTTACAGAGTGAGACTCCATCTCAATAAATAAATAAATAAATAAAATTATATATATACACATATACACATATATACATATATACATATATATACATATATATATACACATATATACATATATACATATATATATACACATATATATAGAAAGAGAGAGAGAGAGAGAATAAAATGTACAATTCAGCCAGGTAAGGTGGCTCACGCCTGTAATCCCAGCACATTGGGAGACCAAGGCAGAAGGATTGCTTGAGTCAAGGCATTTGAGACCAGCTTGGGCAACACAGTGAGACCTCATGTCTACAAAGAATCAAAAAATTAGCCAGGCACAGTAGTGTGCACCTGTGGTCCTAGGTACTAGAGAGGCTGAGGTGAGAGGATCGCTTGAACCTAGGAGTTTAAGACCAGCCTGGGCAACATAGCAAGACCTCAGATTTGCAAAATATTTTTAAAATGAGCTGGGCACAGTGCTGCACACTTGTGGTCCCAGCTACTCTGGAGGCTGAGGCAGGAGGATCACTTGAGCCCAGGAGGTTGAGGTTGCAGTGAGCTATGATCACACCGCTGCACTCCAACCTGGGCGACAGAGTGAGACTCTGTCTCAAAAAATAAATAAACAGATAGATAAGTAAATCAGTAAAATAAAATGTACAATTCAGGGAGATCCAGTACATTCACAATGTTGTACAATCCTCACCTCTGACTAGTTCAAAACCTTTTCACCACCCTAGAAGGAAATCCCATCACCTCTCTTGTTGTATAACCAAGAGTTACATGACCCCGAAGAAAATGACAAAATCCAGGCCCCATGGGGGCCCTGGGTTTACATGGGGGAGACTGGTTTCAGTTTGCTATCCAGCGAGGGAGGCAGGCACAGGGCTAGGGGTTGAATGAGCTCTCCGGGGCTAAAAAGCCGCCCCTACCTTCCCCGGGTAGGGTATGTCTATTTTTTTTTTTTTTTTTATGAGACAGAGTTTCACTCTTGTCGCCCAGGCTGGAGTACAGTGGTGCGATCCTGGCTCACTGCAACCTCCGCCTCCTGGGTTCAAGAGATTCTCCTGCCTCAGCCTCCTGAGTAGCTGGGATTACAGGCATGTACCACCCACACCTGGCTAATTTTTATGTTTTTAGTAGAGATGGAGTTTCACCATGTTAGCCAGGCTGGTTTCGAATGCCTGACCTCAAGTGATCCACTCGCCTCGGCCTCCCAGAGTGTGGGATTACAGGTGTGAGCCACCACGCCTGGCCAGTAGGATATGTCTTTTAGCTGAGACATACAGTAATAGGAGGCAGAGTATTTATTAGAAGATCCTCTGGTTGGATTATAAAAGTTAGAGACATGGAGGAGATAAGAACACAACCTCAAAGTAAGGGCAACCTTTCCCTACAGTAGCCAAGGACACACCTTCCTCCGCTACAGAACAATCCCCAGCGATTTTCTCACCCTGAGATTCTCCGGTCCCTCCACAAACATGTCATCATAGGAAGTTAATACCTATGATCCTGGTGTCCTTCACCTTTTCCACAAAGCCCAGCCTGGGTGGTGGAGTTTATCTCCAAGACAAACAGAGCTGCCCCTGTGTCTATGACTGCTTGTATTTGCTGATGACGTCACATCCGTCCTGGGCTGCCTGATCCAAGTGACTCAAGGGTGAGTCTCTGGTCATAGTGAGTCATGCCTCAACCCACCCTGGCAGACAAGGACGTGGCTCCAGGGGAGACCTGGTCCTCAGAGAGCTAAGCTAGGGTGAAACCCTACAGAGGAGGTGTGGCTGCTGATATAAAGGCTGCTGATGAAGGGACATCTCAGATCCCCAGACCCATACCCAGTACCCTGCAGGCTCTGTCTATACCATGTGGGTAAAACTCACAGTGTCTCATTCCCATTTTGCCAATAAGCAGGGGGAAAGGCTCAATGTGGAGAAACATCTTACCAGGACACACAGCAAGAAAGTGACAGCAGGGTTTGCTTACCGTCTGGTAGCAGAGGCAGCAAAATCAGACCAACAGCAATAATTTCAAAAGACCAGTGGAGGAAGGGTGTTCCATGGGAGAGGTGGGCAAAGCCAGCTTGTAAAGCATCGATCAGAACACTGAGGTTTCGGAAGTGTGAGTCCAGATTCCAGCAGCCTGACCCGGGATTCCTCCGAAGCAACGATCTCCAAATGGTAGCCTGGGAGCTTGGGTGGCCTGTGGGGTTTCTTCCAAGCTTCCCTGGTCACCTAGCCTATCTGTGACTCAGGCATTTCTCTACCATTGTGAGGCAGAGAAATGGGCCAGCAGAAATAAATCAAAGTCAGGGGTGGTGGCATGCAGCTGTGGTTCCAGCTACTCAGGAGGATCGCTTGAGCCCAGGAGTTCAAAGCCGCTGGGAGTTATGATGGTGCCATAGTACTCCAGCCTGGGCAACAGAGTAAGACTGCATGTATCATAAAATAAAATAAAATAATTAAATAAATTAAATAGTAAGAAAATTCATTCAAGAAAGTTTACTCTGCTGGCTGGGAGCGGTGGTGCATGCCTATAATCCCAGCACTTTGGGAGGCCAAGGTGGGCGGATCACCCGAGGTCAAGAGTTCGAGACCAGACTGGCCAATATGGTGAAACCCCGTCTCTACTAAAAATACAGAAAAATTAGCTGGGTGTGGAGGCAGGCGCCTGTAATCCCAGCTACTTAGGAGGCTGAGGCAGGAGAATCGCTTGAACCCAGGAGGCGGAGGTTGCAGAGAGCCAAAATCATGCCACTGCACTCCAGCCTGTGTGACAGAGTGAGACTCTGTCTCAAAAATAAAAAAAGAAAGAAAGTTCACTCTGTTTAAAAAAAAAAAAAGGTAGCTAAACTTGAAATGCATTTGCATGGTAGTTGCACAACCTTTGAGGGGGTGTGGAAATTACACGTGACTTGACCAACCAGACTGAATGTGGGGGGTGAAAGACCAGGCCAGAAAACTTCAGCATGAGCTGCAATTTCTGTTGACAGCAGAGATCAAAGGCAGCCTTGAAGGGGAAGGAGGGGACAGCCGATGCAGGCAGTGACTTTCCCTCGACCTCCACTCAGGCAGCCCTGGCTGCTACTCCGACTCACCTGAAGTCACACCTGGTAGGTGGCAGCCACATCTTTGGGGAAATGCCCCCAAGGAAAACCGTGGCCTCTCACCACTCCCACAAGGTCATCTGGAGCACTGCTCCCTCCAACTCCTATTGACCAGGACAGAGGGAGCTGGGGACATGACCGTGATGTGACTTACTCCAAGTCACAGGGGATGTTATCACTGAGACATGAAGTGAATTCCCCAGACCTACTGTTTTCCCACCAGGATGAGGACACTGTCTTTGCATTTCTGTCCCGTTTCAAGGAGTCCTCAGGAACCGAGGCCACAGCCTCCAGCTGCTCAGAATTGGGAAGGGGGTTTCCTGTTGTAGCCAATGTCAGGCTTATCAGGGCCTGGAAACATCTCCAGGCAAAAATATGACCTCTTTGTCCTAGCTGCTGTGCCTATGAGGAGGAAGAATCCATTGATTCTAGACTCAGGAGTCTATTCAACAAGCAAACAGCAGTCAGAGCTGAGGGGAAAATGCACACGCCCACATATTTCACCTGTTAGTGTCAATATCCAAATGTTTCAAAACCAAATAAGATCTAAATGACTTTCTGGCCGGGCGCAGTGGCTCACGCCTGTAATCCCAGCACTTTGGGAGGCTGAGGCGGGCGGATCACGAGGTCAGGAGATCGAGACCATCCGGGCTAACACAGTGAAACCCCGTCTCTACTAAAAATACACACAAAAAAATTAGCTGGGTGTGGTGGCGGGCGCCTGTAGTCCCAGCTACTCCAGAGGCTGAGGCAGGAGAATGGCGTGAACCCGGGAGGCGGAGCTTGCAGTGAGCCGAGATCGTGCCACTGCACTCCAGCCTGGGCAACAGAGCGAGACTCTGTCTCAAAAAAAAAAAAAAAGATCTAAATGACTTTCTGTCATTTTGCCATGAGTAAACAGCCAAAATCTCAGCTCCTTTTGTGTTCAGAAGAAAGCCTTTGCTAGAAGAAAAAGAATCTTGGCCAGGGACAGTGGCTTACGTCTGTATTCTCAGCACTATGGGAGGCCAAGGTGGGAGGATCGCTGGAGTTCAAGACCAGCATGGCCAACATAGTGAAACCCCGTCTCTACTAAAAATACAAAAATTACCCAGGCATGGTGGCACGCGCCTGTAATCCCAGCTACTCGGGAGGCTGAGGCAAGAGAATTGCTTGAACACGGGAGGTGGAGATTGTGGTGAGCTAAGATCACATTACTGCACTCCAGCCTGGGCGACAGAGTGAGACTGTGTCTCAAAAAAATATATACATATATATTTTACATATAAAAAATATATACATATACACATATATATACACACACACACATATATATATGACCAACTCTTGATGTCAGAAAAATATATTATTATTATGCATTTATGTATTTTGAGACAAAGTCTTGCTCTGTTGCCCAGGCTGGAGTGCAGTGGTGGGATCCTGGCTTACTGCAGCCTCAACCTCCTGGGCTCAGTGAATCCTCCCACCTCAGCCTCCCAAGTAGCTGGGACTACAGGCATGTGCTACCCCATCTAGCTAATTTTTGTAGAGACAGGCTTTCACTGTGTTGCCCAGGCTGGTCTTAAACTCCTAGGCTTAAGCAATCCACCCTCCTCGGCCTCCCAAAGTGCTGGGATTACAGGCATGAGCTACCACAACAGGTTAAGAATTTTTTGAAAAAGAGAAATGATCTAAGAATTATTTGCTCCATTGCAAGCCCAAAGATAATCATCATTTTAGCTGATAATAATGCATGAATACTATTCAAGGATTTCTGAGGATATTGTCAATGTTATTTTGTGGGAAGTCTTGCAGTAACAGTGACTCAAAAGCAAAGTGATTTCTCTAGACAAGGTTCCTATTTTCCAACCTTGAAAAATGATTCTGAAATTTATTTCTTAGAAGAGTGGGTGTAAAATGATGTTCTTTGATTACGTTGAAACGAAAGTGCTTTTGGAAAGTGGCCTAAGGACATAAATTCACAGACAATAGGTTTTTCAAGAGCACCCCAATTTTAATAACATTTCCCTCCTTTGGTCTCCATAATCATACTGGAATTTGGCAGCCCGTGATCTTTCATTTTATCTCAAAATATGGTCATCCCCAAAATGAAAAAATTTAAATGTATGAAAAGTCTCAGGAGAACATTTCTCACCATTTGAATTTTTTTCACTTGAAGATTTGTTCTGTGTGTATATGTTGAATTCAACACAATGGCAAATTCTCCCAGGTTTTAAGAACAGTATAGGTCATTTGGGAATGTTTTAGATGAAAGGAACAGAAAACTCCATGCTCACAGATGCTGTGAGAGGCTCAGGATGTGTCTCTCCACTCGGCCAATCTCAACTTGATGATGCTTGGTCTTGTTTGTTGCTCAGAGCAGCTTACAAGATGTTGGTTACTTCTTGCATGATATCATCATATCTGCTTACTCGCCCTCCTCTCTCTCCCCCTCCCTCTCCTTCATTCCTTCATTCCTTCCTCTCCTTTCTTTCTTTCCTTTTTTTTTTTTTTCGAGACAGAGACAGAGTCTCACTCTGTTGCCAGGCTGGAGTGCAATGGCGTGATTTCGGCTCATTGCAACCTCTGCCTCCCAGGTTCAAACGATTCTCCTGCCTCAGCCTCCCAAGTAGCTGGGATTACAGGCACACACCACCACACCCAGCTAATTTTTGTATTTTTAGTAGAGACGGGGTTGGCCAGGATGGTCTTGATCTCTTGACCTCGTGATCCGCCCACCTCGGCCTCCCAAAGTGCTGAGATTACAGGCCTGAGCCACTGTGCCCAGGCTTTCTTTCTTTTTCTTTCCTTTCATTCCCTCTCCTTCCTTCCTTTTTTCTCTCTCCCTTCCTCCCTCCCTCCCTTCCTTCATTCCTTCCTCGCTTTTCTTCCTTTTCTTTCTTTCCTTTCTTTCTCTCTTTCTTCCTTGCTTCTTCTTTCCCTTCCTTCCTCCCTTTCCTTTCCTTTCCCTTCCCTTCCCTTCTCTTTTCTTCCTTCCTTCCTTCCTCTCTCTCTCTTTCTCTCTTTCTTTCTTTCTGACATAGTCTCGTTCTGTTGCCCAGGATGCAGTACAGCAGCACAATCACAGCTCACTGCAGCCTCGAACTCCTGAACTCAAGCAATCTTCCTGCCTCATCTTTCCAAGTAGCTGTGACTACAGGTGCTTGCCACCACACCTGCCTATTTTTTTTTCTTTGTAGAGATGGGGTCTTGCTATGTTGCCCAGGCTGGTCTCAGACTCCTGGGCTCAAGCGATCCTCCTGCCTCAGCCTCCCAAAGCATAGGGATTGCAGGCGTGAACCCCTGCACCCAGCCCACATGTGCTTTCTAGGAAGTTATGAGGAGGGCAAAAAAAAACAAAGACTTCCTGAAAAAAAAAAAGAGAGAAAGAAAGAGAGAGAGGAAGGAAGGAAGGAAGGAAGGAAGGAAGGAAGGAAGGAAGGAAAAGCCTTCCAGAACCTCCACTATTTCACTTTTCAGCCTTCTCAGTAGACCTTTGTCTCCTTGTCTCCTTCGTTTCCTTTGTCTCTGGCCAGAATGTGTCTGTTTTGCTGCTCCTGCCTGCAAGGAAACCAGAAAACCAGGGTTCTATCTCTCTGCCCCCTGTTGTAGAAAAAAGGGGCAGAGGCCGGGCACAGTGGCTCATGCCTGTAATCCCAGCGCTTTGGGAGGCTGAGGCAGGTGGATCACCTGAGGTCAGGAGTTCAAGACCAGCCTGGCCAACATGGTGAAACCCTGTCTCTACTAAATTAACAAAAATTAGCTGGACCTGTTGGTGGCGCCTGTAGTCCCAGCTACATGGGAGGCTGAGGCAGAAGAACCACTTGAATCCAGGAAGCAGAGGTTGCAGTGAGCCAAGATCGCACCATTGCACTCCAGCCTTGCGACAGAGCAAGACTCCAACTCAAAAAAAAAAAAGTAAAAAGTGTCTGCCCCTATCTGCCTGCATATTGCCTTACCAACGCTAGAGCAAATATAGATTTTAAAATCTCTAAATACAATAACTAATGCATATAATGCATCCTTTTAGTTGGTGAGGGCGTCTTAGTGATGAGTATTAAAATAGAAAAGCTCTTTCCACCATGAATTTGCGACTCCTTTTTCTGGGCCCACAGTACTTCCTGACATTATGGCCAAATTCATGCTAAAACTTTTATAGTGATCAGATACTGACGGGACATCACAATGGGCTTAATTGGCGAAGCCTGCCTTTCGTACTCAGCAAAATTTCCATTGATTCTTAAGCATTCCTGCACTTCTTGGTCAATGTCAATATGCTGGGGACATAGTTACAGAAATGCGTAAATTACCACTCAAGGTTTTGCTTAATAATTTATCATTGTGTACATTTGTCTAATGGAAATTTTTGTTTTATGCTGAATTCCAAGATCCACAAGGCTAATACGTCCCCTTTTCGTGAAACGGTTGCATTCTCTCCTTGTTCACAGTACTCATTGATTTGGGAAAATTCCAAGCCAGAGATGAGGCACAATGATGAATACAGTGAAAAGTGGCAGAAGTCCTGGGCTGTTGTGGAAATAAAGTTGCTATAAACGTCAATAAGAGGCCAGTGTGGTGAGGTGGTACCTGGCCATCTGAACAGAGCCACAGGTGTGTAGTCAGGTGGGATGCAGACAAAAAGGACCATCAGAGGCAACCTTGTGTCACCAAACTTTGCTCTCCCTGAAAGAGAAAGTGTTAAAAGACAAGTAGAGGCTGGTGTGGTGGCTCATGCCTGTAATCCCAGCACTTTGGGAGCCCAAGGCAGGTGGATCACCTGAGGTCAGGAGTTCAAGACCAGCCTGGCCAACATGGTTGTGAAACCCTGTGTCTTTATTAAAAATACAAAAAAAAAAAGGCTGGGTGCAGTGGCTTACGCCTGTAATTCCACCAATTTGGGAGCCCAAGGCGGGTGGATCAGGAGGTCAGGAGATTGAGATCATCCTGGCTAACACGGTGAAACCCCGTCTCTACTAAAAATACAAAAACAAAATTAGCCGGGTGTGGTGGCGGGCACCTATAGTCCCAACTACTCGGGAGGCTGAGGCAGGAGAATGGCGTGAACCCGGGATGGGGAGCTTGCAGTGAGCCGAGATCATGCCACCACACTCCAGCCTGGGAGACACAGCGAGACTCCATCTCAAAAAATAAAATAAAATAAAGTAAAATAAAATAAAATAAAAAATTAGATGGGCATCGTGGCATATGCCTGTAGTCCCAGCTACTTGGGAAGCTGAGGCAGGAGAATTGCTTGAACTTGGGAGGTGGAGTTTGTAGTGAGCCAACATTGTGCCACTGCACTCCAGCTTGGTTGACAGAACAAGACTCTGTCTCAAAAAAAAAAAAAAAAAAAAAAGACAAGTAGGCCTCATGGAAAAGAATATTCCATTATATTCCATCCTCTTGGCATCCCCTGCTGTCCCCTTTGGGGAACTGCTTAGCAGTCCAGGTGTTTTTCTTACCTTATTTATTTATTTTTTTTTGAGACGGAGTCTCACTCCGTCACGCAGGCTGGAGTCAGTGGCGTGATCTCAGCTCACTGCAACCTAAGCCTCCTGGGTTCAAGCAATTCTTCTGTCTCAGCCTCCCGAGTAGCTGGGACTACAGGCGCCCACCACCATGCCCGGCTAATTTTTGTATTTTTAGCAGAGATGGGGTTTCACTATATTGGTCAGGCTGGTCTCGAACTCCTGACCTCAGGTCACCCGCCCACCTCAGCCTTCCAAAGTGCTGGGATTACAGGCGTGAGCCACCGCGTCTGGCCCCCACAATTACTTTTGCACTAACCTTTTGGTTCCATAGATTTCTGTAACAGTACTTCCAAGTCTTGCCTCTCAGAAAAAGCCCCAAGTGAAGGGAAAATTGTTCCAGAACTGACTGCATTTGTTGATCAAGGAAAAATACTGGGCATGCCTGCAAGGATTTAAGTCTTACTAAGAGGACATTAGGAACAGTTGTCAATATTTGGAGTTTGGTCAATACATAAAACAAATTTGCTTAGGAAAGGAAAGTCTGGAACTTTCTCTGCTAATGTTTTCCTATGGAAAAAAAAAAAAGAAAGAAAGAAAAAATCAAGACAAGGAAAATGAAGGTAAGCCAGGCAGATCAACTTCCACAAATCCGGTTGGGCCATCTCCCCAAGAAGCCGAATCCTCAAGGAGTTTTCAGGACAACAGATCAGCGTCTCTCCCTTTCTGCCCTTGGAAGAGTAAAGAATGTTCAGGTTATCTCAGCCTTAGGCAAATCAATAGCCTCTTCTCACAGAAGCCAACCTGCACCTAGAGAAAGAGATTTCAGAATCAAGGCTGTGGATAGAAGTTTAAAAAAGAATACAGAGAGGCCGGGCATGGTGGCTCACACCTGTAATCCCAGCACTTTGGGAGGCCAAGGTGGGTGGATCACTTGAGGTCAGGAGTTTAAGACCAGGCTGGCCAACATGGTGAAACCCCGTCTGTATTAAAAATCCAAAATATTAGCTGGGCATGGTGGCAAGTGTCTGTAATCCCAGCTACTCGGGAGGCTGAGGCAGGAGAATCGCTTGAACCTGGGAGGCGGAGGTTGCAGTGAGCCAAGATCATATCACTGCACTCCAGCCTGGGCGACAGAGCGAGACTCCATCTTAAAAAAAAAAAAAAAAAAAGAAAAGAAAAGAAAAGAAAATCCTTTTTGGAGCTGGAAGAAATGACTCATGCCTCTAATCCCAGTACATTGGGAGGCTGAGGTAGGAGGGTTGCTTGAGCTCAGGAGTTTGAGACCAGCCTGGGTACCATAGAGAGACTCCGTCTCTACTAAACATCAAGAAAATTATGCAGGTGTGGTGGCATGCACCTGCAGTCCCAGCTACTTGGGAGGCTAAAGTGGGAGGATCGCTTGAGCCTGGGAGATGAAGGCTGCAGTGAGCTATGATTCCACCACTGCGCTCCAGCCTGGGCAATGAATTGAGACCCTGTCTCAAAAAACTTAAAAAAAGAAAATATTTATTGGCATTGGTGGAGGACAAGGGAGCTTGACTTAACTGGGTAGAAAAAAACAATATCCTAAGAGAAATTATCCCACCAAGCCTGTGAGACGGAGCAGGTTCAGAAGCTGAATCTCGTGGTGAACTTCTTGGAGTGCATGGTAGAGACAAATGTAAAACTTTTCTGGAGGAATATTTTACAAATCGGGCCACAAGCGATTCTTATAGAAAAAATGGTTCTTGGCCGGGCACAGTGGCTCACGCCTGTAATCCCAGCACTTTGGGAGGCCGAGGCAAGTGGATCACTTGAGGTCAGAAGTTGGAGACCAGCCTGGCCAACATGGTGAAACCCCATTTCTACTAAAAATACAAAAATCAGCCGGGCATAGTGGCAGGCACCTGTAGTCCCAGCTACTCAGGAGGCTGAGGAAGGAGAATCGCTTGAACCTGGGAGGCAGAGGTTGTAGTGAGCCAAGATTGTGCCACTGCACTCCAGCCTAGGAGACAGAATGAGACTTCCTCTCAAAAAAAAAAAAAGGTTCTTCCCCCCTCCACCCCAAAGATGACCTCATAATAAAAAATTACCGAAACAAATAAGGAAAAACTCCACTGTGATAGGGAACCAGCAGACGCAACAATGGCTGAGTAAGAATAAAAACCAAACCAAACCAAACAAAACAAAGCAAACAAAAGCACACAGAACTATCCTGGTAGAGACTATAAAATAATATTGTATGTGATTAAAGAGATGCAGGAATAGAAGCTATAAGGAAGTAACATTCTGAAAAAGAAATTGAAAGATCTAATCCAGTAAAAAGACTGCAATACTAATTTTTTTTTTTTTTTGAGACAGAGTCTCGCACCTTTGTCTGGGCTGAAGTGCAGTGGCGCGATCTCAGCTCACTGCAACCTCCACCTGCCGGGTTCAAGCAGTTCTCCTGCCTCAGCCTCCCGAGTAGCTGGGACTACAGACACCCACCATCACACCCAGCTAATTTTTGTATTTTTAGTAGAGATGGGGTTTCACTATGTTGGCCAGGCTGATCTTGAACTCCTGACCTCGTGATCTGCCCTCCTCAGCTTTCCAGAGTGCTGGGATTACAGGTGTGAGCCACTGCCCCCAGCTGCATTACTAATTTTTAAACAACCCAAAAGCAAGGCTCAGGCCCACCTGGTGTCACTGGTGAATTCCATCAAACATTTAAATAAAGTAAATACTAATTCTTCATAAACTCTTCCAAGACATAGAAAATGAGAAAAAACAGGTTAGCAGTTCCTAAAAATGTTAAGTATAAAATGATCATGTGATCACTTGTGAACACGTAATCATGTTAAGTATAAAATGATCAGAGACTTTTTTTGCTATATAAGGTGAACTGTATTAGTCCATTTTCACACTGCTAATAAAGAATACCCGAGACTGGGCAATCTACAAAACAAAGAGGTTTCTTGGACTTAACAGTTCCACATGGCTGGGGAGGCCTCACAATCATGGTGGAAGTCAAGGAGGAGCAAACCATATCTTATGTGGATGGCAGCAGGCAAAGAGAGAGCTTGTGCAGAAAAACTCCCATTTTTTATTTGTTTTGTTTTTGTTTTGTTTTGAGACAGACTCTTGCTCTATTGCCCAGGCTAGAGTGTAGTGGCAGCATCTCGGCTCACTGCAACCTCCACCTCCCAGGTTCAAGCGATTCTTTTGCCTCAGCCTCCCTAGTAGCTGGGACTACAGGTACATGCCACCATATCCAGCTAATTTTTGCATTTTTAGTAGAGATGGGGTTTCACCATATTGGCCAGGCTGGTCTCGAACTCCTGACCTTGTGATCCACCCACCTCGGCCTCCCAAAGTGCTGGGATTACAGGTGTGAGCCACCGTGCCCAGGCAAAACTCCCGTTTTTAAGATTATCAGATCTTGTGAGACTCATTTACTATCATGAGAACAGCCCAGGAAAGACCCACCCTTATAATTCAATCACCTCCCACTGGGTTCCTCTCACGACACATGGGAACTGTGGGAATTACAATTCAAGATGAGATTTGGGTGGGGACACAGCCAAACCATATCATGAACATTCACAGGTTCTGAGGATTCGGACTTGGGCATCTTTGGGGATCCCTTATTCAACGTGCCATAGCTAGCGCTAAGCACTATTAGAGTTAACATAGAATGCTGCTGGGTGCGGTGGCTCATGCCTATAATTTCAGCACTTTGGGAGGCCGAGGCAGGAGGATAGCTTGAGGCCAGGAGTTTGAGACCAGCCTGGACAACATAGCAAGATCCTATCTCTAAAACTATTTTTTTAAGTATAGACAAGGTTTCACTATGTGGCCCCGGCAGATCTTTAACTCCTGGGTTCAAGTGACCCTCCCACCTTGACCTCCTAAAGTGCTGAGATTACAGGTGTGAGCCACCACGCACAGCCAAAATTTTTTAAAAAATTAGCCAGGCATGGTAGCGCATGCCTGTAGTCCCAGCTACTCAGGAGGCTGAGGTGAAAGAATCATTTGAGCCCAGGAGTTCGAGGTTGCAGTGAGCTATGATTGCACCACTGCACTCCAGCCTAAGCAACATTGCAAGACCCTGTCTCAAAAAAAATAAAATAATACATTAAAATAAAATAAAGTAGAATGGTATGATAGAGAGGGCCTCAAATACGACTTCAGGTTGAGTGGTCAGGAAAGGCCTCTATGAGGCTGCATCTAAACTGAACTCCAAATGACAGGAAATACCTGGGTTGGGGTAGGGGGGCAGGGAGGAGAACATTCCAGGCAGAAGAAATAGCTAGTGAAAAACTCTAGGAGGCCGGGCGCGGTGGCTCACGCCTGTAATCCCAGCACTTTGGGAGGCTAAGGTGGGCAGATCACGAGGTCAGGAGATCAAGACCATCCTGGCTAACACGGTGAAACCCCGTCTCTACTAAAAATACAAAAAAAATTAGCCGGGTGTGGTGGCGGGCGCCTGTAGTCCCAGCTACTGGGGAGGCTGAGGCAAGAGAATGGCGTGAGCCCGGGAGGCAGAGCTTGCAGTGAGCCGAGATGGTGCCACTGCACTCCAGCCTGAGTGACAGAGCAAGATTCTGTCGCAGAAAAAGAAAAAAAAAAAGAAAAACTCGAGGGCAGAAATGAGCTTGGCATGCAGGAGAACTCAATGCTGTTGAGATTAGAAGAAAAGTACAGAAAAGTCAATGAGTTTTAAATTCACATCTGCCTTTCAGAACAAGAAAACTTAAAGCTCTGGCCGGGCGCGGTGGCTCACACCTGTAATCCCAGCACTTTGTGGGCCGAGATGGGCGGATCACTTGAGGTCAGGAGTTCGAGACCAGCCTGGCCAACATGGTGAAACCCTGTCTCTACTAATAATTCAAAAATCAGCCGGGCATGGTGGCACGTGCCTGTAATTCCAGCTACTCTGAAGGCTGCAGCAGGAGAATGACTTGAACTCGGGAGGCGAGGGTTGCAGTGAGCCGAGATCGGGCCATTGCACTTCCAGCCTGGGTGACAGAGTGACATCCTGTCTCAAAAAAAAAAAAAAGCTGGGTGTGGTGGCTGTAATCCCAGCACTTTGGGGGCCGAGATGGGCAGATCACTTGAGGTCAGGAATTTAAGACCAGCCTGACCAACATGGTGAAACCTCATTTTACTAATAACACACAAATCAGCCAGACGTGGTGGCACATACCTGTAATTCCAGCTACTCTGGAGGCCGAGGCAGGAGAACCCAGGAGGCGGAGGTTGCAGTGAGCCAAGCAAGATCAGGCCACTGCACTCCAGCCTGGGCAACAGAGTGAGACTCTGTCTCAAAAAAAAAAAAAACCCAAACGGGCCAGGCCCGGTGGCTCACGCCTGTAATCCCAGCACTTTGGGAGGCCGAGGCAGGTGGATCACGAGGTCAGGAGTTCAAGACCAGCCTGGCCAACGTGGTGAAACCCCCCGTCTCTATTAAAAGTACAAAAATTAGCCGGGTGTGGTGGCGCGTGCCTATAAGCCCAGCTACTCGGGAGGCTGAGACAGGAGAATCGATTGAACCCGGGAGGTGGAGGTTGCAGTGAGCCGAGATCGCACCACTGCACTCCAGCCTGGGCGACAGAGTAACAAAGGTTAAAGCTCCATCCTGCCTATTAGTATTTTTACAGGAATGTGCCCCAAACTACTGTTATCAGCAGGGACCTCTTTTGTCACAAAATACAGTGAGATCTTCATGGGTTCCCCTTGCTCAAGTACCCACCAGGGCAAAGGAAGCCACTGGCACACCACATAGTAAGTTTGAAAGAAGAGAGAAACCCCAAAAGAAGAACTTGTTTTAACTGTGGACTTCAAAATCTTACTGACGGCCAGGTGTGGTGGCTCATGCCTGTAACCCAAGCACTTCGGGAGGCCAAGGCAGGCGGATCAATTGAGGTCAGCAGTTCGAGACCAGCCTAGCCAACATGGCAAAACCCCGACTCTACTAAAAATTAAAAAAATTAGCCAGGCATGGTAGCGCATGCCTGTAGTCCCAGCTACTTAGGAGGCTGCAGCAGGAGAATCGCTTGAACCCAGGAGGCGGAGGTTGCAGTGAGCCAAGATCGCACCACTGCACTCCAGCCTGGGTGACAGAGTGAGACTCTGTCTCAAAACAAAAACAAAACAAAACAAAACTTATTGACATTGTCATCTGCCATTGTGTCTTACAAACTTTGTTGACATAAACAGGATTTTTTACTCCAATGCCCTATAAGTTACAATAGGGGTTACATCCCAATAAACCCATTGTAAGTTGAAAACATCATTAAGTTGAAAAATGCATGTAATACACCTAACCTCCAAAACATCATAGCTTAGCCTGTCCTACCTTACACATGCTCAGAACACCTACATTAGCCTACAGTAGGCAAAATCATCTGGTACCACAGTGCACTGCACAGTATCGGCTGTTTACCCTCATGATGCCACAGCTGACCTGGGAGCTCACTCCACCTGCCTAACATTGCTAGAAAGCATCCTACTGCCGGGCGCGGTGGCTCACACCTGTAATCCCAGCACTTTGGGAGGCCAAGGCAGGCGGATCCCGATGTCAGGAGCTCAAGACCAGCCTGGCCAATGTGGTGAAACCCCGTCTCTACTAAAAATTCAAAAATTAGCCGGGCGTGGTGGCACGCACCTGTAATCCCAGCTACTCAGGAGGCAGAGACAAAGAATCACTTGAACCTGGGAGGCAAAGTTTGCAGTGAGCAAAGATCACGCCACTGCACTCCAGCTTGGGTGACAAAACGAGACTCTGTCACAAAAAGAAAGAAAGAAAGAAAGAAAGAAAGAAAGAAAGAAAGAAAGAAAGAAAGAAAGAAAGAAAGAAAGCAAGCAAGCAAGCAAGCAAGCATCCTGATGTATATTCCTAGCCCAGGGAAAGATCATAATTCAAAATTCAAAAAAGTACAATTGCCGCTGAATGCATATTACTTTTGCACCATCATAAAGTCAAAACCGTCAAAGGTGAACCATCGTAAATTGGAGATAGTCTCTATTTAAGCTGAAGTAGGAGCTGAAGGAGGAGATCTTGGTTGCCTGTCTCTGGGAAGGCATTGGACTGATTTACAGAGAGGCCAGACCAGCTCTTCTGCAGCTCTTCTATGCAGGAGGAAAGAGACTGCAGGGAGTTCTCAGCAAAACAAGGGCTGCTATTCTCACCTTCTCCTGAGTCATCCCTTCCTATTGATTTGCCTTCTTTATCTCTGAGCATCATGAAGTCTCAGAATAACAGACTGTGGATTTTCAAGTTTAGATGAAACCAGCAAATGTACTTGAAGAGTCTAAAACAAATGGCCTTTTGAGATCACATCCACTTGTCCACCTATGGCATGATTGGCTGTACCTGGATGGCTTTCACTGTAGTCCTCAAATTCTACCTTCTGCACAGGCATGGTTCAAGCCCAGTTCATTCTGCACACTGCAGCCCCCAGCAGACTCCCTGCCTGCACAGCAGATCATCAATACTCATTTGTATTTTGTTCAGCCAAGACCTCCCAGGCATCTATGTGCCAAGCACTGAGCTGAGAACTGCACTACTGTTTGTTTGTTTGTTTGTTTGTTTGTTTGTGACAGAATCTCACTCTGTCGCCCGGGCTGGAGTGCAGTGGCACGATCTCGGCTCACTGCAACCTCCGCCACCCGAGTTCAAGTAATTATCCTGCCTCAGCTTCCCAAGTAGCTGGGACTACAGGCACATACTGCCACGCCCGGCTGATTTTTGTATTTTAGTAGAGACGGGGTTTCACCACGTTGACCAGGATGGTCTCGATCTCCTGACCTTGTGATCCACCCGCCTCGGCCTCCCAAAGTGCTGGGATTACAGGCGTGAGCCACCGCGCCCAGCCTATTTTCAAGTTTCAATAAAAACCAACAGACATACTTGCAGAGCCGAATACATAATGGTAGAAATTATAAAGTCATGAATGCATCTCCCATATGGGAAGTGAAACCCAGTTGGCAAACCTCATGAACTAAATACTGTAAATCTGTTAAAGAAGAAGGCACCTGCTTCCATTGCCAGAAACTTGGGACTGATGTGTTATTTCCCCCTAACATCAGGAAGACATAACATTTTGGTTCCCAAGAATGGTAAGTTTTTTTTGTTTGCTTGTTTGTTTTGAGACAGAGTCTCACTCTCTTGCCCAGGCTGCAGTGCAGTGGCATGAGATCCCGGCTCACTGTAACCTCCGCCTCCCGGGTTCAAGCGCTTCTCCTGTCTCAGCCTCCCGAGTAGCTGGGACTACAGGTGCCTGCCACCACACCCGGCTAATTTTTGTATTTTTAGTAGAGACGGGGCTTCACCATATTGGTGAGGCTGATCTCTAACTCCTGACCCCAAGTGATCCACCCACCTTGGCCTCCCAAAGTGCTGGGATTACAGGCGTGAGCCGCTGTGCCTAGCTGCATGATGTGTTTTATAGTTTGCAAAACCCAATAAAACAGTCCCCAAGTCCAGGTGGTGGTTTCTGTTCTAAGTCCAGTGGTACTCACCCTCTTGATGTTCCCATCTGGGCCACACAGTGCCTTCATTGTGTATATTTCCTAGTGAACTTTATCACAAGATTAGTTTAGAAGTCTCACATCTTTCTTTTTTCTTTTCTTTTCTTTTTCTTTTTTTTTTTTTTTTGAGACAAATTTTCGCTCTTGTTGCCCAGGCTGGAGTGCAATGGCGTGATCTCACTCACCACAACCTCAGCCTCCCAGGTTCAAGTGATTCTCCTGCCTCAGCCTGCTGAGTAGCTGGGATTTAGGCATGCACCATCAAACCTGGTCAATGTTGTATTTTTAGTATAGACGGGGTTTCTCCATGTTGGTCAGGCTGGTCTCAAACTCCTGACCTCAGGTGATCTGCCTGCCTCAGTCTCCTAAAGTGCTGGCATTACAGGCGTGAGCCACTGCGCCTGGCCAGAAGTCTCACATCTTAACAGCCCATAAAAGATGCAATTGCACTCACATAGACGTTTTGGCATTTTTGTTTGTTTTTTGAAACAGAGTCTCACTCTGTGGCCCAAGCTGGAATGCAGTGGCACCATCACAGCTCACTGCAACCTCTTGGGCTCAAGCCATCCTCCTACCTCAGCCTCCGGAATAGCTGGGACTACAGATGCACACTATCACACTTGGCTAATGTTTTTAATTATATTTTTTGCAGAGATGGGGGTGGGCTCCCTATATTGCCTAGGCTGGCCTCGAACTCCTAGACTCAACCAGTCCTCCTGCCTTGGTCTCCCGAAGTGCTCGGATTACAGGCATGAGCCATCCTGCCTGGCCCCCAGATAGAAGCTTTTTGTTTGTTTGTTTTTGAGACAGAGTTTCGCTCTTGTCCCTCAGGCTGGAGTGCAGTGGTGCTATCTCAGCTCACTGCAATCTCTGCCTCCCAGGTTTAAGCAATTCTCCTGCCTCAGCCTCCCGAGTAGCTGAGATTACAGGTGCACGTGCTACCATGCCTGGCTAATTTTTGTATTTTTAGTAGAGACGGGGGCAGGGCGGTTTCACCATGTTGGCTAGGCTGGTCTCGAACTCCTGACCTCAAGTGATCCGCCTGCCTTGGCCTCCCAAAGTGCTAGGATTACAGGCATGAGCCACCAAGCCCAGAGGTTTTAAAAAATCAGAATAAGACCTCTGCCCTTGTTGGGTGCGGGTCTCAGGTAGCTAAATGGTGGTTCTTACTGGGGAGAAGGCTGTCACCCAGCCCAAGGTACATAATCCTGGAAGAGAGGCCCAAAGAAGGCAGCTGCCTCACCCTTGGGCAGGGCTGAGGCCGGGATGGAGACAAAATAGGGAGCCCAGGAGCCACACACCTCCACAGAGTTTGAGTGATGACAAGAAGAGAGGCTTCCCTAACACTTCAGCTCAGGTGGTTTTCTAAACCCTACAACAATCTCGTGAGTAGCATGGTTACACTGCATTGAGTTAAAGGTCGTTGTTAATGTAAAGTTTAAAAATGTACTACTGGGCCGGGCGCGGTGGTTCAAGCCTGTAATCCCAGCACTTTGGGAGGCTGAGCAGGGCGGATCACCTGAGGTTAGGAGCTCGGGACCAACCTGGCCAACATGGTGAAACCCCGTCTCTACTAAAAATACAAAAAAATTAGCCTGGCTTGGTGGCACGTGCACCTGTAATCTCAGCTACTCGAGAGGCTGAGGCAGGAGAATTGCTTAAACCTGGGGGGCAGAGATTGCAGCAAGCTGAGAGAGCACCACTGCACTCCAGCCTGAGGGGACAAGAGTGAAACTCTGTCTCAAAAACAAACAAAAAGCTTCTATCTGGGGGCCAGGCAGGATGGCTCATGCCAGGCAGGAGAATCGCTTGAACCTGGGAAGCGGAGGTTGCAGCAAGCTGAGATCGCACCACTGCACTCCAGCCTAGGCGACAGAGTGAGACTCCATCTCAAAAAAAAAAAAGTACTAACATTTCGGTAACTAGACCCTGGCATTTATTAATTTTTTGATATATCAGGAGCTTTCAAAACTGCAAGTGGCAGCCCGTTTTCTCCACCTAGGAGGGCCGATGCCCCCACGGGTCCCTCTAACTTTTGGGGTCAGTGAGCGGCGGGGCAAGAAGAGATCAATCAGGGAAATCAATACAACTGGGGAATGTGGCCCCTTCCCTTGGTCCCCAAAACGCAGGGCTTGAAGGAAGCCCTCATGGAGGAAGTGGGCCTCGGGGTCCCCGGGGCCAGCACCACGCGAGGCAAACAAGGGCTCCAGGACCACAGTCTAAACACCCCCAGGCTGCCCTTGCCCTAGCAAAACAGCAAAGCGAGCAGCCCACTCCACACCGGTCCCCACTCCAGGGTCTCGGGCCCTACGTCGCCGGAGCTCTGGGAGAGCCGCGAGGGGGCGCACCGTGGCCTCGCTGCCCTGTCCGCCACAGGTGGGGTGACCCCGCCCACTCGGGGGGCCCGCTTCCCTCTGGCCACGCCCATTCCAGCTGCCTGGCCCCGCCTCCTCCCCGCCCACCCCGGCCGGGCCCCGCTCACCAGGCCGCCTCAGGTGGGTACGCCACGCCCCTCCGGCCCTGCGGCCCCGCCCCCGTCTGCCCCGCCCGCCTCAGGTGGGGCCGCCCGGCCCGCCCAGCTTCCTCTGGCGGCGTCCGGCCGCTTCTCCTCTGCTCCTCGAAGAAGGCCAGGGCGGCGCTGCCGCAAGTTTTGACATTTTCGCAGCGGAGACGCGCGCGGGCACTCTCGGGCCGACGGCTGCGGCGGCGGCCGACCCTCCAGAGCCCCTTAGTCGCGCCCCGGCCCTCCCGCTGCCCGGAGTCCGGCGGCCACGAGGCCCAGCCGCGTCCTCCCGCGCTTGCTCGCCCGGCGGCCGCAGCCATGTCCCGGGGGCCCGAGGAGGTGAACCGGCTCACGGAGAGCACCTACCGGGTAAGCCCAGGGCCCGGGGCTCAGGGAGGTCAGGGCTTTCCACCTCGGGGTTCAGAAGGGGACTTTACGCGGGAAGGTACTTTCCCTCCCTCCAGCTCCCCTCCCCCGCGTCCTTCCACCTCTCCCGGTCTCTCCCACTCCTCCCCTGGCCCTCCACAGCCCCTCTTCTTCCTCCCCTGGCCCTCTCCTTCCTCCCAGTCCCTCCCCATCCCCTCCCCCCTACTTTTCCTCCTCCTTCCCTCCCCTCCTCCCTGTGCTTCTTCCCTGTCTCTCTTTCCCGCCCCGCTGTACCTCTCCCTCTGCCCCTCCGCTCCCCGTTCACTCTCCCTCCTCCCCTGCCCCTCGACACTGTCCCTCCCCTCCTCCTGGTTCTTCCTTCTCCCCCGTGTGTCTCCCCCTCCTCCCCTGTCCCTTCTTCTCCCCAGTCTATCCCCCTCCCTCCCCCTCCCCCTCCCCCTCCTCTTGGTTCTTCCTCCTTCCCCGTGTGTCTCCCCCTCCTCTCCTGGCCCTTCTCCGCCTCCCCTGTCCCTTCTCCTCCCCGTCCCTTCTCCTCTTCCCTGACCCTCAGAGCTCTGGAGACCACCCCCCATCCCCTGACCAGCTACACATTTTACAACTAGTGCACTTAAGTTGGGGAGGGGTCTGTTGTGCGTCGGTGGGGCCCACGTCCTCCTCCCAACTTCTTGGAATCAGTGACCCGTGCTGTCCTGGCTGCCGGGCTTAAGCCCTCCGGGACCAAAGACACAAGCTCGAGTTTCCTCTAAGAAAAGAAAGCGCCCAAGAATGTGGGGGTGAAACTCCCCTGTAATTAGGATCGCCAGGTGAGCCGAGCTCTGGGCGTTCTCCCGGGAAACGCCCTCCTCCTTAGACCCTTCCTCTCCCACCTTTCAGTTGAACTTGGCTTTTATATATGGGTTATTTGGTGAGGTTCTTGAAGTCAAAGAACAACCGAGGTTTTAATGAAATTGACCTAACCTTAAGGAATGCGTTGATAGCCGGTCTCTTAACTTGCATGTATTAGGAGAGAATTTTTCCAGACACAGACAGAGACTTAGGATTAGTGGCCTGTTTAGTTTACATACTTACAAATGAATTCCAGGTGAAATAAGATATCTGTTAATCATCTGCTATTAATAGAACACAAAACAACTTTTGTTTTAATTCAGCCTAGGCGCTTCGAACCCTTGAAACTTTAACGTTCTCTAAGTTCATGTATAGGCATGTTTAAGGTTATAAATAAATGGTTGGTCGGTTGGTTGGTTGGTGTGTTTTATCTTTTTTCTGTCCCTGGTGCTTGAATCAGGAAGTTTAGTCATTTTGATAGACTTTTTTAAACCTAAAATTTTAGTTTCTGGGTTTTCAAGGTCTGAATTCCTAAAATCAGAGGAGTCTATTAACTTTTGTTGAATGAAAGTAAGAGAAGAACATGAACATTTTTGTTATGTATTGAAATCCAAGAGATCCGTTCCGTTTATCTTAACACACAAAGTGTATACTGTCACATATAAATTATGCCTTACAGGTAGGGAGAGTAGACACAGTTGACACAGCGTTTTTGATGCTCAGTCACTGTGACCAAAAACTCTTCTATTCGTGTGTTGCCTTCATAGAGGGCGATCTTTAGAAATTTGAGAAATTCGAAATTTGAGAAATTCCTACATTTGTATTGAGATTGCTACTATTTAAATGACCCGGAAGACGTTGCTGCATGAGGTGTGGGGTACTGACCAAGTGTGTAAATAAAACGTTCTTTCTGCCAGACTCAGACCTGGAAAGTAAGTAGTGGCTGCTCTGTTGACTGTCAGTGAAGGAAAAACTGTGTAATTGAGGAAGGCAGGCCATTGCAAATTTGAGGCAGAGTCTGATGTCCACTGGGGTGCAAAAATACAGAACACCACTGCCTTCCGCCCTTCTTCCAAGAACAGCCCTGTGTATCTTCCCAGTCTGAGCTGCGATTGCAACTTGAGACCAGCAGTCAGGTGTTCTGAGTTAAACCCTGCTTTTTTTCTCCCGCTTCTTCCTGACGTAGACTTTTAGTAATAACTCCTTAGAGGGACCGTACCAAGGCGAATTGCAGCGTCACAAATGCCAACCACTTGGGCATGTCTTATTACCCAAAGAACGGAAACGGCAGGGAAAAAGTGTGGATTTCATCATTTTGGTTATACGTATTTGTAGACGTAAGGCACTGTAAATGGAGATCAAAGACCAGTACCTGATAGTTTTCCATTGCCAGGTGTCTGAAAGCAAACTGGAAAGCTCACTAAATGTTTGTTCGTTTTAATTACTATTTCCTTGTTAGTGTTTTGGGACCTTTTTTTTTTTTAATGTCCAGGTGGTAGGATATTTACAGCATCAGACTACAAGTTTATGTAATCTATGAAATAGTGAAGGCTGCTAGCCCATGCTTTGGCTTTGGCAGTGCAAAGTGAAATTTTAATTCAGGAGTCTGAAAAACCTTTTCCCGCCCCTGTATTGGGTTCTTCCCCCTATCCAGCCCTGCCCCATGATGTTCAAGCTGAAAACAGTTTAAGCTTAATATGGCAAAAATCTGGCAGTGTTGATGAATCTAGTGCTTTTAAGAAGAGATGTCCTCTATATTACCTAACCATCTACCATATTTTACTAATAGAAATGCAACACAACCAGGTGTGTTTACAAAAGCCACCTGCAAATGATTTTTTAATGACTTGCTAGTATGGGTTTTAGTTTTTTGTTTTTAAATACTCAGGTTTCTCCAATTATGAAATAAAGGAATACTTTAGAGAAAAGGAGGAATTATAAAGTAGAATGATCCTCTGTAGCCAATATCAAATATCCTTAAATATATGCTGTGTACACATTTGCTGAAATGTCTAAAATGTATACGTAGGCAAATGATTATGGGAGATCCATGCTAACTCCCAGGAGGATGTGTGTATTTTACTACTTCATAAACGATGTTATAAGCCCCAAAATGTCCAGTAATGTTGCTGTTACTAATTAGAGTTCAGCCAAAAATCCCTCCCCACTCCACACTTTATAGCATGCCCATAATTTGCCCTCAAAAGCTTGCTGTGATTTTGCATGGTTTTCTGATGAGTATATGCTCTCATGGTAGAAGAAGTAGTTCAAAAAAACCCTTAATTAAGAGCAGCCACAGCCTTCCTAGAACTGTTAAAGACTTAGGAAGTAGGGCCCGGCGCGGTGGCTCACGCCTGTAATCCCAGCACTTTGGGAGGCCAAGGTGGGCAGGCAGATCATGAGGTCAGGAGATCGAGACCGTCCTGGCCAACATGGTGAAACCCTGTCTCTACTGAAAATACAAAAATTAGCTGGGTGTGGTGGCGCGTGCCTGTAGTCCCAGCTACTCGGGAGGCTGAGGCAGGATAATCGCTTGAACCAGGGAGTTAGAGGTTGCAGTGAGCCAAGATGGCGCCACTGCACTCCAGCCTGGGCGACAGAGCGAGACTCCATCTCAAAAAAAAAAAAAAAAAAAAAAAAGGGCTTAAGAAGTGGAGGAAGAACGGGTGTGGCAGCATCGAGGGATGTCCTACCTACAGGAATCTTGCTAACAGAGTCAAAGGGGAGATATCACAGAAGCCTTTCAGTGTCACCTCAAGGAAGTATGCTCAGACTCTCAGATTGCAGACGCCTCCATCCATCTCCCAGCCCCACCTTAGACTACATTACCTTCCCCCATAACACTACCTTAGAATAGGCTATGTGATGTATTTATTTATGTTTCTTTCCCTCTCTTCCCACCCCAACTAGAATGTGAGCTCTACAAGGCAATGAGCTTTGTTTTTGTTTTTGTATTCCAAGCACTTAAAACAGTTCCTGGCACATAGTAGGCATGCATATTTGTTGAATGAATGGACATTTATCCATTTAATGTGTGAAGCACCTGTCCTTTGCTAGGCTCCTGGCGCCCTCCGATGATACTTTTCATAGAGTGCTTAATTCTAAGTAAACATCAGCCATCCAGGTGAATGTGGATTGTGTTGGCTTAACTATTTTTATTTATTTATTTTTGAGACAGGGTCTTGCTTTGTTGCTCAGGCTGGAGTGCAGTGGTGCAATCGCAGCTCTCTGCAACCTCCACCTCCCACTTTCGAGCAATTCTCCCACCTCAGCCTCCCGAGTAGCTGGGACTACAGCCGCCACGCCTGGCAAATTTTTGCATTTTTTGATAGAAGCAGGGTTTCACCATGTTGGCCAGGATAGTTGTTAACCAGGTTGAGAAACTGAGTCCTAGAGTCTCTTAGTGACCGGCTGCCACATCCCACTTACCATGCCTTTGTTTGTATGGTAATTTAGTTTCCAGTGACCAAAGATGCACAAACCGAATACATTTTCATAATGTGGCGATCTAAGGTGTCACTGGAATTTTCTGTCATTCTGTTAATTCATCATCATTGGCATGTTTTGAACAAACTCTCTTAATAAAATGAGGCTAGGAGCGGTGGCTCATGCCTGTAATCCCAGCACTTTGGGGGGTCAAGATAGGTGGATTGCTTGAGCCCAGGAGTTCGAGGCCAGCCTGGGTAATGTAGTGAGACCCTACCTCTACAAAGATACAAAAATTAGCCGGGTGTGGTGGTACGTGCCTGGGGTCCCAGCTCCTCAGTAGGCTGAGGTGGGAGGATCACTTGAGGCCAGGAGGCAGAGGTTGCAGTACTGAAATGGTGCCACTGTACTCTGGCCTGGGCAACAGAGTGAGACCCCATCTCAAGAAAAAATGATTATTTTTTGACTAAAAACTGTGTGGAATGTTGAAGAAAATAAAAATCCAATTTGTTTTAATTCCATGCACATTAGGTTTCCCTTGGAGGTCTGTGCAAGACAAGAATTAATACCCAAAACTGAAATAGTGTCACAAATGTAAATCAAAAGCTACAGGCATGTAGCTGGGACCACATGCACCGCCATGCCCGGCTAATTTTTTATTTTTGGTAGAGATGGTGTCTCACTGTGTTGCCCAGGCTGGTCACGCACTCCTGAGCTCAAGTAATCTGCCTGCCTCGGCTTCCCAAAGTGCTGGGATTACAGGCCTGTATTCAAAGCTGTAATAATTCCAACTCAATATTCCAGCTTAAAAATAAGTTATAAAAGCTGCATAAAATTTAGTTTAACTTATCTGCTGACACATGCAAATATATTTTAAAATTTGTTTTTAAAACTTTTTATTGAATAGCAATATACATAAAGTTGTGCTTAAGTATACATAGCTCACTAAATTGTCACAAACTGAACACACCTGTGTAACCACCACCCAGATCAAGGAGCAAACCATGGCCACTCCCTGAAGTCCCCCTCGTGCCACCTCCCAGTCGCTGCACCCCTCCAAGGGTAGCCCCTCTCCTAACTTTTTTTTTTTTTTTTTGAGACAGTCTTGCTCTGTCGCCCAGGCTGGGGTGCAGTGGCTCAGTCTTGGCTCACTGCAACCTCCACCTCCCAGGTTCAAGCGATTCTCCTCCCTCAGACTCCTGAGTAGTTGGGATTACAGGCTTATGCCACCATGCCCAGCTAATTTTTGTATTTTTTAGTAGAGATCGGGTTTCACCATGTTGGTCAGGCTGGTCTCGAACTCCTGACCTCGTGATCCACCCACCTCGGCCTCCCAAAGTTCTGGGCTTACAGGCATGAGCCACCACACCTGGCTGGGATTATTTTCTTTCTTTCTTTGGTTTTGTTTTGTTTTGTTTTTTTGAGACGGAGTCTTGCTCTGTCACCCAGGCTCAAGTGCAGTGGTGTGATCTCGGCTCATTACAACCCTTGCCTCCCGGGTTCAA
This sequence comes from Homo sapiens, assembly GCF_000001405.40. NCBI lineage: Eukaryota > Metazoa > Chordata > Mammalia > Primates > Hominidae > Homo > Homo sapiens. The sequence goes on along the minus strand of NC_000007.14, from coordinate 98,395,027 downwards.
GCGATTCTCCTGTCTCAGCCTCCCGAGTAGCTGGGGTTACAGGTACCTGCCACCACGCTGGCTAATTTTTGTATTTTTAGTGGAGACAGGGTTTCACCATGTTGGCCAGGCTGGTCTCGAACTCCCGACCTCAGGTGATCCGCCTGCCTCGGCTTCCCAAAGTGCTGGGATTGCAGGCGTGAGCCACTGTGCCCAGCTGGGATTATGTTCAGACTATTCCAAGATATTATGAGTCGTGCTTTATGAATGTTCTGGCTCACGTCTGATGGCCATAGGCCCTCATTTCTCTTGGATAGAGACACAGGAGCAGACTGGCTGAGTATTAGACATTCAAATATTTTGCTTTAGGAGAAACTGCTGATTGATTTTCCACAGTGACGCACCAGTTGCCATTCCACCAGCAGAGTATGAGAGTTCCAGTTGCTCTTCATCCTTGCCAGCTGCTGCTATTTCCCATCCTTTTAATTTTTGCCATTCCTGTGGGTATGTGCAAAAAAATTTTAAAGTAAACACAAACAAAATCGTTTGTTCCAGGCCTGCTGATGATCTGCCGTTTCTCTGTAGGGTGTATGTAACCTTGGCAGGGAGCCCTGTGGGAAATCCTTCATGTCAGAAGACAAACCAAGACCTAGGAAATTCTGGTCTGAGAGGCCATACAGTTGTGGTAGTCACTAGAGGAAGACATAAACTGAAGTTCATTAGACTCTAAAACTATCATAACTGCATGCATGAAAGGGATTTTTTGTTTGTTTTATGTGTGGGTTTTTTTGTTTGTTTGTTTGTTTTTGAGACGGAGTCTCCCTGTCGCCCAGGCTGGAGTGCAGTGGCGAGATCTCTGCTCACTGCAAGCTCCGCCTCCTGGGTTCATGCCATTCTCCTGTCTCAGCCTCCCGAGTAGCTGGGACTACAGGCGCCTGCCACCACGCCCGGCTAATTTTTTGTATTTTTAGTAGAGATGGGTTTTCACCGTGTTAGCCAGGATGGTCTCCATCTCCTGACCTCATGATCTGCCTGCCTACCTTGGCCTCCCAAAGTGCTGGGATTACAGGCGTGAGCCACCGCGCCTGGCCTAATTTTTATATTTTTAGTAGAGATGGGGTTTCACCATGTTGTTCAGGCTGGTCTCGAACTCCCGACTTCAGGTGATCCGCCCGCCTCGGCCTCCCAAAGTGCTGGGATTACAGGCATGAGCCCCTCACTGCGCCTGGTCCAAAGTAGGTACATTTTCAAGAAAAGTTACATAAACCAGGCGCGGTGGCTCACGTCTGTAATCCCAGCACTTTGGGAGGCCGAGGCGGGCGGATTGCGAAGTCAGGAGATCAAGACCACAGTGAAACCCCGTCTCTACTAAAAATACAAAAAATTATCCAGGCGCGGTGGCGGGAGGCTGTAGTCCCAGCTACTCGGGAGGCTGAGGCGGGAGAATGGCGTGAACCCAGGAGGCGGAGCTTGCAGTGAGCTGAGATCATGCCACTGCACTCCAGCCTGGGCGACAGAGGGAGACTCCGTCTCAAAAAAAAATAAATAAATAGAAAAGTTACATAAAAAGAAAAGGAAGGTATTTTCATTAATATTTAATTAACAAGAAAATGCAGTTAACCATAACTTTGCACCCCACTCCGAGCTCCAGTTTAAATAGGGTTCATCTGTGCTTTCAACATCCCTTATGTAATAAAACCCTTTCATGGCCGGGTGCAGTGGCTCACACCTGTAATCCCAGCACTGTGGGAGGCCGAGGAGGATGGATCACCTGAGGTCAGGAGTTTGAGACCAGCCTAGCCAACATGGCGAAACCCCATCTCTACCAAAAATACAAAAATTACATATATATATAAACACACACATATATGTATATATATACATATATGTGTACATATATATGTACACATATGTGTGTATATATACATATATGTGTACATATATGTACACGTATATATGTATATATGTGTGTGTATACATATATGTGTACATATATGTACACGTATATATGTATATATATGTGTGTATGTATATATATACACAAAAATTACAAAAATTACATATATATATCTATATATATAAATAAAAATCAGCTGGGCGTGGTGGCGGGTGCCTGTAATTCCAGCTACTCGGGATGCTGAGGCAGGAGAATTGCCTGAACCTGGGAGGCGGAGGTTGCAGTGAGCTGAGACTGCACCACTGTACTCCAGCCTGGGTGGCAGCAAGAATCTGTCTCAAAAAGAACAAGAAGTGTAAATAAGTGTGCCCAGAATCCTGCAAACCAGAGATAACACTAACTATTGCTGTCGCTTTTTCTGATACTTTTCCGTACATATCCCCATGTCAGTTTTCTGTGCTCTATCATTTTGATGACTGCACAGGACTCCATTTTTCATCATAATTTATTGATCAGCCCCTGTGGTTGGACATAGATCATTGCCAGTACTTTGCTATTACAGCTCAGCCATGGGCATGGTTGCAGTCAAAGCTTTGCACAGATCTGTAAGCAGATCCATGATGTTTTCCTTAAGCCACATTCCCAGAAGGGAGCTCTGGGTCAAAGGGCAGGTACATTTTAAAGCCTGTTTGCTCCACATTGCAAAATGCCCTCCAGAAAGCATGCACCAAATGATGCTGTTGTCTGCATGGTGTGAGAGTGCGCCTTTCCCTGAACTCTAGCCAGTTAGGTAGACTTCTTTTTTGAAACGGAGGTTCACTCTTGTTCGCCCAGGCTGGAGTGAAATGGCGCGATCTCAGCTTACTGCAACCTCCGCCTCCCAGGTTCAAGCGATTCTCCTGCCTCAGCCTCCCTTAGTAGCTGGGATTACAGGCACCCGCCACCACACCCAGCTAAGGTAGACTTTTTTTTTTTTTTTTTTTTAGCGAGGGGGTCTTGCTACATTGCCCAGGCTGACCTAGAACTCCTGGGCTCCAGTGATCCTACCTCAGCCTCCCAAGTAACAGGGACTACAGTCGTGCACCGTCGTTCCCAGCTCAATTAAGTAGATCTTTTAAAACCACTTCCTTTTTAATAACACATAGAAGGGATGTGTGTGTGTTTTCAGTATTTAAGCATGTGTACCATATAGAATATGGACATTGGCCAGAACACCTACGATTTCATGCCTATTAATAACTAGGCATACTTTTCCCCATAAACTTAGAACTTGTAGATATGTGCAGAGTAATTACAGCTCTGTGACCTTTCAGACGTTAGATTTCTGTTTTTATTTTCCTCAGCCTTGATTTTATACTTCTGTTTGTCTTCCTAACCTTGAGTCCTTCTGGTTTATCATGATTTTAGTGACTTGAGTTTTAGATTTTTTTTTTTTTTTTTTTTGAGACGGAGTCTCACTCTGTCGCCCAGGCTGGAGTGCAGTGGCACGATCTCGGCTCACAACGTCCACCTCCCAAGTTCATGCCATTCTCCTGCCTCAGCCTCCCGAGTAACTGGGACTACAGGTGCCCGCCACCATGCCCGGCTAATTTTTTTTTGTATTTTTAGTAGAGTCAGGGTTTCCCTCTGTTAGCCAGGACGGTCTCTGTCTCCTGACCTTGTGATCCGCCTGCCTCATCCTCCCAAAAGTGTTGGGATTACAGGCGTGAGCCACTGTGCCTGGCCAAGTTTTAGATTTTAATGGTTTTAGTTCCTGGTGTAACAGCTGCCTGAAGTCTTTGTGGATAAAAGTGAGATGCATATAAATGAGATAAAATGTTGCCGGTTTCTCTTTCTTTAAAAAATAGAAGAAAAAATATTACCAGAATGAGTTCCCAAACCAGGGAGCAGAATAGATGAGCCCAAGTCAGAGATCTAACCAGTATTTCACCTCCTAGAGTGCTTGTGCTTTTGAGAGAACAGCAGGTGGGTGAAGATGCCCCCAGATTTCCTGCTTAAACTGTGTTTATGGGCCGGGCACAGTGGCTCACGCCTGTAATCCCAGCACTTTGGGAGGCCGAGGCGGGCAGATCATGAGGTCAAGAGATCGAGACCATCCTGGCCAACATGGTGAAACCCCATTTCTACTAAAAATACAAAAAAAAAAAAAAATTAGCTGGGTGTGGTGGAGTGCGCCTGTAGTCCCAGCTACTCCAGAGGCTGAGGCAGGATCGCTTGAACCGGGGAGGCAAAGGTAGCAGTGAGCTGAAATCACGCCACCGCACTCTAGCCTGGCAACAGAGCGAGAGACTGTCTCAAAACAAAAAAACTTGTGTTTATTCATATGGTACTTTGGAGGCTAAAAAGTCCCTAAACAATATCAATTAAGCACTAGTTAACTCTAGGGCAGGAGTTTTTGGTTTTGTTTTTTGTTTTTTTTTGAGACAGAGTCTTGCTCTGTCACCCAGGCTGTAGTGCAGTGGCGCAATCTTGGCTCACTGCAAGCTCTGCCTCCCAGGTTCACGCCATTCTCCTGCCTCAGCCTCCTGAGTAGCTGGGACTGCAGGCACCCACCACCATGCCTGGCTAATTTTGTTTTTGTATTTTTAATAGAGACGGGGTTTCACCGTGTTAGCCAAGATGGTCTCGATCTCCTGACCTTGTGATCCGCCCGCCTCGGCCTCCCAAAGTGCTGGGATTACAGGCGTGAGCCACTGCACCCGGCCATATTTATATTTTTTAATGTAAATTGCTTACTTTTATAATATTTAATGTAAAGCAGATAAATATATATATTCCGTTTTAATGGACATAATGTTTTTAAAACTAAGCTAAAATTCGCCATCTCCTACCTCTGTTTGCAAATTACCCATTTAAAGATAAACCTAATTTTAAATCTTATGATTTCTGTCTTGATTTTTACGTATGGGAATACATGTTTAACATTTACTAACCCGAGACCGGGCGCAGTGGCTCATGCCTGTAATCCCAGCACTTTGGGAGGCCGAGGTGGGCAGATCACGAGGTCAGGAGATAGAGACCATCCTGGCTAACATGGTGAAACCCCATTTCTACTAAAAATACACAAAATTAGCCGGGTGCGGTGGCGGGTGCCTGTAGTCCCAGCTACTCGGGAGGCTGAAGCAGGAGAATGGTGTGAACCCGGGAGGCGGAGCTTGCAGTGAGCCAAGATCCCGCCACTGCACTCCAGCCTGGGCGACAGTGCGAGACTACCTCTCAAAAAAAAAAAAAAATTTACTAACCCAAGACTACACGTGCAACAGGCAACTAGCTGAACAAAATTGAAAATACTCAAATTCCAGTTCTTAAAACTGCCTTTTAAAAGTCAAGACTTTACTTTCAGGGGTCATTTCTATAGTTTGTTCAGAAGTTTCTCTGAATGTGTAGAGCAAAAAGTCATTTCTTATGTTGCAAGCAGTTAAAAGCATGGCTGTATCTTTGAAAGGCACAAAAGCAGGTGACAACAGGGACAAGAAGAGGTACAAGCGTGGTAATAACCTGTCAAAAGTATGGGGGAAATCTCAGATGATTAAAATATAAGGCCTCCTCATGCCCGTAATCCCAGCAGTTTCGGAGGCTGACACGGGCGGATCACCTGAGGTCAGGAGTTTGAAACCAGCTTGGCCAACATGGTGAAACCCCGTCTCTACTAAAAATACAAAAAAATCAGCCGGGCATGGTGGTGGGTACCTGTAATTCCAGCTACTTGGGAGGCTGAAGCAGGAGAATTGCTTGAACCTGGGAGGCGGAGGTTGCAGTGAGCTCAGATGGTGCCACTGCACTCCAGCCTGGGTGACAGAGTGAGACTCTGTCTCAAAAAAAATAAAAAATAAGGCCTCGAACAAATGTGCAGAAAAGATTGGGGTAGGGGTTGGAATAGGTCCCAGATGACAGATCCAACCACCAGCTACCCTAATCCAGCAGCCCCATGCTGAGTTAGGAGGAGGGAAGCCCCTGCCTGTTGGGGGAGGGGAGAGGAGTACAGAAGACAGGGCCCCCTGTCACCTTCACATGCCTGTCTGACACAATTGCCTGAGTCTTAGTTAATAGACCAATCTGTTTCTGGCCACAAAAACCTCAGGTGACAAATCAGGAAAGTCACAATGATAATTCCTCATACTTAGGGGCCAGGATTTTTTGGATAAAACTTGAATGGTTTGTTTTTTGTTTTTTTTTTTTAATTTCTTAGGGTCTCTGTTGTCCAGGCTGGAGTGCAGTGGTGTGATCATGGCTCACTGCAGCCTCAACGTCCCAGGCTAAAGCGTTCCTCCTGCCTCAGCCTCCCAAGTAGCTGGGACTACAGGCACGTGCCGCCAAGTCTGACTAATTTTTATGTTTTTCATAGAGACAGGGTTTCACTATGCTGCCCAGGCTGGTCTTGAACTCCTGGGCTCAAGCCGTCTGCCTGCATCGGTCTCCCAAAGTGCTGGGATTACAGATGTGAGCCACTGCATCTGGCCCAGTTGTGATTATTTAATGGACTAAATGGTATGTCTCATCATAGCATGGGCTTATGTTACACTTTGAGCAGCTTAAGATACAGGACATCAGTTATGTCTGACAGTACAATATGTGACTGAACAATAAATGCAGGAACAATATGCCTGTAAACCAAAAAGTTTAAACATGCAAAACATGGGTTTGTTTTGTTTTGTTTTTGAGAGGGAGTCTCGCCCTGTCACTCAGGCTGGAGTGCAGTGGTGCGATCTCGGCTCACTGCAACCTCCACTTCCCGGGTTGAAGCGATTCTCCTGCCTTGGCCTCCCGAGTAGCCGGGATTACAGGCATCTGCTTAGAGACTCAGTCTTACTCTTATGCCCTCTGAGAAGGCTTCTTCAGCTAACCAGTGCATCCTTTGTGTCATCCCCGATGGTTGTATGTACTTGATAATGCCCTATTCTTTCATTTGATGTGCTTTAGTCTGTAAATAAGGATGATAATAGCTCCTAGGGTTGCTGTGAAGATTAAACGCAGTCATACATGAAAGCTCTTAGAATAGCATCTGGCGCATCGTAGGTATTCAATTAGGGCTAACTGTTAGTAGGCATAGCGTGTGTTTACTAGACTGTCACTCCCCACCCCCACCAAGAGCATTGATTTTCATCTGTTTATTACCTGCCTCCTTATTTACAAATGACTGAAATAGGTGGAGCTGAGTAAATACCTGATAAGAGAATAGTGTTGAAAATATTGGCACACATTTTTATCTCCCTGAAGGAGCTATATGGTCCTTGAAGGTTTTTTTGGTTGTTGGTTTCTGTTGTTGTTGTTTTGTTTTGTTTTGAGACAGGGTCTTAACTCTGTCGCCCAGGCTGGAGTGAAATGGCACAATCATAGCTTATTGCAGCCTCCAACTCCTAGGCTCAAGCAAATTCTCCTGCCCCAGCCTTCTGAGTGGCTGGGACTACAGGCGTGCACCACCACGCCCAGCTAATTTTTTTTTTTTTTCTTGTAGAGACAGGGCCTGCCTCACTTTGTTGGCCAGGCTGGTCTCGAACTCCTGGGCTCAAGCAGTCCTCCCACCTCAGCCTCCCAAAGTGCTGGGATTAAAGGCATGAGCCACTGCATCCAGCCCTTGAAGGTTTATTTAATCCCTTATCGTGGTGGCGCATAGTAAGAACTCAAGAATTTTGTGTTTTAAATGCTGAAGACCTGTGCTGATCACACAGGGGTGACTGAAATCATCACCAACTCTTTGGTGGCACTGAGATCGTGTCAGTAATAACAACTGCCATGTTGTGAGCACCTGTTAGGTACGGGCTGAGCTTTTACCACCAACATGAGTTCTTCCCGCAGCTGTTTTCTTGAGCACCACAGCTGTGCCAAGCACCATGGTTACCACCAGAAACCACGCTGGAGAAAAGACAAAGAAGGTCTGTGCCCATCCAGAGTTTATAGCTGTGACAGGACAGCAACCCCAAGTTCTAGTAGCCGCAGCCCCTCTCCTCCGCCTGGACCTGCCCATGTCGTAAATTAAACATCCTTGCTCCTTCCCTACCCTCTGTCCCAGCGGGGGCTGGCCTTTACAACTTCAATATTTGGACTTGGTTTTGTCTCAATATGGGAAGAAAGAAGGAAAAGCTTAATACGCGTGTAGGTTAAGTTTGAGAGGAGTTTTAAGGCGATGTACAGTCTTTAAGGAAGTCTTTGGAAGGCCAGGCACGGTGGCTCACGCCTGTAATCCCAGCACTTTGGGAGGCCGAGGCGGGCAGATCACGAAGTCAAGAGATCAAGACCATCCTGGCCAACACGGTGAAACCCCGTCTCTACTAAAAATACAAAAAATTAGTTGGGTGCAGTGGCGGGCGCCTGTAGTCCCAGCTACTCGGGAGGCTGAGGCAGGAGAATCACTTGAAACCTGGAGGCAGAGGTTGCAGTGAGCTGAAGTGGCACCACTGCACTCCAGCCTGGCGACAGAGCGAGACTCTGTCACCAAAAAAAAAAAAAAAAAAAAAAAACCTTTGGAAAGTTGAATATAGGAGAGAAGTCGATGAGAGACAAAAAAAAGTTCTCGGAAAGAACATTGTAGAAATGTTGATTCCTGCTTTTGGCTCTCTGACCAGCACCATGGCGGTTGGCAAGAACAAGCGCCTTACGAAAGGCGGCAAAAAGGGAGCCAAGAAGAAAGTGGTTGATCCATTTTCTAAGAAAGATTGGTATGATGTGAAAGCACCTGCTATGTTCAGTATAAGAAATATTGGAAAGACGCTCGTCACCAGGACCCAAGGAACCAAAATTGCATCTGATGGTCTCAAGGGTCGTGTGTTTGAAGTGAGTCTTGCTGATTTGCAGAATGATGAAGTTGCATTTAGAAAATTCAGGCTGATTACTGAAGATGTTCAGGGTAAAAACTGCCTAACTTCCATGGCATGGATCTTACCCGTGACAAAATGTGTTCCATGGTCAAAAAATGGCAGACAATGATTGAAGCTCACGTTGATGTCAAGACTACCGATGGTTACTTGCTTCGTCTGTTCTGTGTTGGTTTTACTAAAAAACGCAACAATCAGATACGGAAGACCTCTTATGCTCAGCACCAACAGGTCCGCCAAATCCGGAAGAAGATGATCGAAATCATGACCCGAGAGGTGCAGACAAATGACTTGAAAGAAGTGGTCAATAAATTGATTCCAGACAGCATTGGAAAAGACATAGAAAAGGCTTGCCAGTCTATTTATCCTCTCCATGATGTCTTCGTTAGAAAAGTAAAAATGCTGAAGAAGCCCAAGTTTGAATTGGGAAAGCTCATGGAGCTTCATGGTGAAGGCAGTAGTTCTGGAAAAGCCACTGGGGACGAGACAGGTGCTAAAGTTGAACGAGCTGATGGATATGAACCACCAGTCCAAGAATCTGTTTAAAGTTCAGACTTCAAATAGTGGCAAATAAAGAGTGCTATTTGTGAAAAAAAAAACAACAAAAAAAAGAAATGTTGATTCCTGGCTGGGTGTGGGGGCTCCTGCCTATAATCCCAGCACTTTGGGAGGCTGAAGCAGGCAGCTTGCTTGAGGTCAGGAGTTCGAGACCAGCCTGGACAACATAGTGAAACCCCATGTCTACGAAAAAAACAAAAAAATTAACTGGGCATGGGGGCGTGTGGCTGTAATCCCAGCTACTCTGGAGGCTGAATCGCTTGAGTCCGGGAGGTCGAGGCTGCAGTGAGCAGAGATTGCGCCACTGCACTCCAGCCTGGGCAACACAGCAAGAACCTGTCTCAAAAGAAAAAGAAATGATTTCCCCTTACTGGTATCTGAGAAATAAAAGTAAAGAATTTAAACTGTTTTTAAATCATTTGGAGTTTTTGAACAATTCCTCAGATCGCAAAGGCCGCAATTTTATTTTATTTGAGACAGAATCTCGCTCTGTCACCCAGGCTGGAGTGCAGTTGGCACAGTCTTGGCTCACTGCAGCCTCCGCCTCCTGGGTTCAAATAATCCTCCCACCTCTGCCTCCTGAGTAGCTGGGATTACAGGTCCCTGCCACCATGCCTGGCTAATTTTTGTATTTTTAGTAGAGATGGGGTTTCACCATGTTGGCCAGGCTGGTCTTGAATTCCTGGCCTCAAGTGATCTGCCCACTTCAGCCTCCCAGAGTGCTGGAATTATAGGCATGAACCACTGCACCCACCCAGCTGCGATTTTAAGACAATAGAATGAGGTTGATTGCCGTGGCTCATGCCTGTAATCCCAGCACTTTGGGTGGCCAAGGTGGTTGGATCACCTGAGTTCGGGAGTTCAGCACCAGCCTGGCCAACATGGCAAAATCCCATCTTTACTAAAAATACAAACATTACCCAGGCGTGGTGGCGGGCACCTGTAAACCCAGCTACTTGGGAGGCTGAGGCAGGAGAATCGCTTGAACCTGGGAGGCCGAGGTTGCAGTGAGCCGAGATCGTGCCACCTACGCTCCAGCCTGGGCAACAGAGCGAGACTCCATCTCACAAAAAAAAAAAAAAAAAAAAGGTAGAATGATCTGTCTCACAGAGTCTGGTTGAAGGAAGTTAGCTAGAATGATTCCAGATACTACTATAAAAGTAGCATTTGGAAAGAACTAGTGCAGTAAGTCAGTGTACTTTGATCCGATAAAGTTCCTGTTACCTGTTCAGTGCTCTGGGGCTTTCTAAACAACGTAACCCAGTGCATAAGATGTCCTTTCCTGTAAATTTATTGATTGCTTTTTTATTCCAGGACACACCTTTTAAAAACAGTAACTAGGCAGGCAAGAGCACTTAGTCAAACAGCCTAGTATACTCTGTGGTCTTCAAAGTATGTATCTTTTAACAGCTATTTCAGAATCAGTAACTAATCAGTTACTGGTCCTTAATACATGCCATTTATCTGTAGTTTTATATTTCTAAATGATAACGTAATATTTCAGGTGTTTGCATTTCTTATTTTCACCACGTCTCTGTGAATTGCCTTGGTATTTCTTTGTACCTGTTTCCGTGTAAGACGGTACATTTCCAAGGACTGGAGCTCTTTCTTTTTTTTTTTTTTTTCTGAGACGGAGTTTCACTCTTGTTGCCCAGGCTGGATTGCAATGGTGCGATCTCGGCTCACTGCAATCTCCGCCTCCCAGGTTCACGTGATTCTCCTGCCTCAGCCTCCTGAGTAGCTGGGATTACAGGCACGTGCCACCACGCCCAGCTAATTTTTGTATTTTTAGTAGAGACAGGGTTTCACCTTGTTGGCCAGGCTGGTCTCAAACTCCTGACCTCAGGTGATCTGCCCGCCTCAGCCTCCCAAAATGCTGGGATTACAGGCGTGAGCCACCACACCCGGCCTGGAGCTCTTTCTTCATTCATCTTTGTGTTTCCTGGGTCCAGGATGGGGTGGGCTCAACGTAGGCATAATAATAAATGTTGCAGAAATGTGTAGATTTTTATGTGTTTGAAAGCCTGAAATGTGAGACTTTACAGAGTTGGTGGAATGAAACGTAAGTACACACATTCACATGTTACTTCTCTGTCTCTCCCACACATGCACAAACTTACACAAAGAGGAGATCCCAGAAAAGAGGCACATTTTCAGATTCTGGTTGAAATGTTACTTTTAAGACTGAAAGTTATGGCCGGGCGCAGTGGCTCACGCCTGTAATCCCAGCACTTTGGGAGGCCGAGGTGGGTGGATCACCTGAGGTCTGGAGTTCGAGACCAGCCTGACCAACATGGAGAAACCCCGTCTCTACTAAAAATACAAAAATAATTAGCCAAGCGTGGTGGCGCATGCCTGGAATCCCAGCTGCTCGGGAGGCTGAGGCAGGAGAATCGCTTGAACCAGGGAAGCAGAGGTTGTGGTGAGCCAAGATCGCACCATTGCACTCCAGCCTGGTCAACAAGAAGGAAATTCTGTCTGAAAAAAAAAAAAAAAAAGATTGAAAGTTATATTACATGGTAGTCATCTTGGTATAGCAGCTTAGAATAGGAAGGATTGTGTTTCCATTCTTTCTTTTCTTTTCTTTTTTTTGTTTGTTTGTTTCTTTTTTGATACTTTGAGACAGAGTCTTGGTCTCTTGCCCAGGCTGGAGTGTGGTGGCGCCATCTCAGCTCATTGCAGCCTCCGCCTCCTGGGTTCAAGTGATTCTCCTGCCTCACCCTCCCAAGTAGCTGGGATTACAGGCACGTGCTACCATGCTTGGCTAATTTTTTGTATTTTTAGTAGAGACAGGGTTTCGCCATGTTGGTCAGGCTGGTCTCGAACTCCTGACCTCAGGTTTCATTCTTTCAAATAAGAACATGTACCTCTAAGAACAAAGCAAACGTGGATACTGGTATTATCCTAGTAGGAATTTGAAGAAATGATTTTTACTTCAGTCTTATAGGCATTACTTATTCCCTATGAAGTTCAGAATTTAAAACCTGCTTGAATTCTGGGGCAGGGTTCCACAATCCCTCATCTGATGGAGGCCGGTGTGGACGAGACATTGTTCCAAAGTTTGATAGCTTGCTAATTGCCAAAGCTTCAACCTGAACGCTTTCCTGGCATTGCCAAGAAATAAACATAACTATATAGAGTTATGGTATCTGTGGACCTTAAACCCAGTATAATCATCCACACTTAAACTACAAAGGAAAGTGATTTTGAACCATTCCATTCATAGGCAAATGTAAAACCTTTGTCTAGTAATTAAAATAGAATGAAATTTTCTAGTCTTTTTTTAAATTTTATTTTTTGTAGAGACACAGTCTCCCTGTGTTGCTTAGGCTGGTTTCAAACTCCTGGCCTCAAGCAATCCTCCTGCCTTGGCTTCCCAAAGTGCTGGGATTACAGGCGTGAGCCACTGTACCTGGCTGAAATTTTCTAATCTTGAACTAGGTTAAAGACCATTATTTTTTCCTTCAAGTTACCTTCTCAGATGGGCTGAGCTCAGTTTTCCTGTACATTGTTCTCCCTCCCCACTCTTTTTTCAAATTAACAATTGAAAACCTAGATTTTGGCTGGGCACGGTTGCTCACGCCTATAACCCAGCACTTTGGGAGGCTGAGGCAGGCGGATCACGAGGTCAGGAGATCGAGACCATCCTGACTAACACGGTGAAACTCCCTCTCTACTGAAAATACAAAAAAGCCGGGCGTGGTGGCAGGCGCCTGTAGTCCCAGCTACTCAGGAGGCTGAGGCAGGAGAATGGCGTGAACTCAGGAGGTGGAACTTGCAGTGAGCCGAGATATCGCCACTGCACTCCAACCTGGGTGACAGAGCGAGACTCCATCTCAAAAAAAAAAAAAAACCCTTAGATTTTTACCCTAATGTGGGTGGGGGTAGCTCTGGGACTTAATTTTCTTAACGGGCTTGATACTTTTGTCCAGAAGATGTGAACAGTTGTAGGACATCCTTCTTTCTTACCTCAGTGTATTGGGGCCATTTTTTGGCTTAATTATGCTTTAGCTGCAGAATAATTCTTGCTGCCTAAGTGAGTAGGGAGTAGGAAGCCAAGAGTTTGTCACAGAAATCTGTCTCTTTAAGCAACTGAATGAAAGGTCACAGCAACGTGATTGCGTCTAGTAATATATCAGAAGAAGCAGCGGTGCATGTCTTTCAGTGATCACACTGGTCCCAATTGCTTGGTTGGCCTTAGAGAGCTCAGGCTCTCATAGGTGCTCCCAGGACTCTGAGAATATTCTTCTATGACAGGCTAAGCCCAAAGACTGTACCTGCACGCCCAGTGGAGGCTCAGGCCACGTTGCTAGGGATGGGGCCTGGTAAGCCTGCAGGCCTCTTGGCTTCCTTTCTGCTATGACCTTTGCACCTGGAAGGACAATCTTTGTAGCAATAATTCTGTAAAAACCAAAACCTAGATTGTGGGTGAAGATGGGAAAGGAAGAATGAAGGCAAAACAATGATTATGTCATAATGAAATTCTCACGGAGAGTTTTCTCCATGCGCTGAAGATTTCCTAGGAAACCCCGCCTTTTAGAAGGACACAGTAAGGACTTTTGCCTGGAAAAACATTTGCCAAACTCCCTACCCAATCATAGCTGGAAAAACAACTGCTACGCCAGCCGGAGATCTGCCTCAAAACAGCTGGGTTATCATTTTCTACTAATGGGTCAAATTGATTTTCACCCTAGAAGGGGAAATGGCTGTGGACGGCTCCATAGGCATAAATGCTTTGCAGACCAGTGGTGCGTGTCCAGCTGTCTGGGACCCATGTTCCCAAAGGACGGGGGATGACCTGTGCGTCTCAGTATGCTGGGCTGTGCTGTGGGCAGGCTAGTTAGAGACCACCAAAGAATGAGCAAAGGCATACACATCTTTGTGGCCATTCCATAACATTAGGGATTTAGATCCCTGAATCCTTAGCAGCCTGTAATGGAAGAAGGGGTGGGGCGGGGGTTGGGTGGTTGGGTGGTGGCGATGGTGGTGGTGGTAGTGGCGGTGGTGGTGGTTCCTTTTTTTTTTTATTAAAAAAAAAAAAAAAACGGACCGGATATGGTGGCTTATGCTTGTAATCCCAGCACTTTTTAGGAGGCTGAGGTAGGAGGATTGCTTGAGGCCAAGAGTCTGAAACCAGCCTGGGTGATATGGTTTGGCTCTGTGTCCCCACCCGAATCTCATTTTGAATTGTATTCCTATGATTTCCATGTGTTGTGGGAGGAACCTGGTGGGAGATAATTTGAGTCATGGGGGCGGTTTCCACCATACTGTCCTTATGGTAGTGAATAAGTCTCACAAGATCTGATGGGTTTATCAGGGGTTTCCGCTTTTGCTGCTTTATCATTTTCTCTTCCTGCCGCCATGTTAGAAGTGCCTTTCGCCTCCCACCATGATTCTGAGACCAGCCATGTGGAACCGTAAGTCCAGTGAAACCTCTTTTTCTTCCCAGTCTTGGGTATGTCTTTATCAGCAGCATGAAAACAGACTGATACACTGGGCAACATGGCAAGAGCCCATCTCTAGAAAAAATTTAAAAATTAGGTGGGTGTGTTGGTGCGTACCTAAAGTCCCTGCTACATGGGAGGCTGAGGCAGAAGGATCGCTTGAGTCTGAGAGTTTGAGATTACCATGAGGTCTGATCACACCACTGCACTCCAGCCTGGGTGACAGAGTGAGAGTCCCTATCTCAAAAAAAAAAAAAAAGCATTTTTGAGGTGTAATTTATACGTTATAAAATTCACGCATTTTAAGCGTACAATTTAATGGTTGTTAGTAAATTTATAAAGTTGTGCAGCCGTCACCACAATTTAAATTTATAACACTTCTGTCACCTCAAAAAGATCCTTCATCCCCATTTGCTATCATTACTCATTCTCGCTTCCAGCTCCAGGCAACCACTAATAGATTTTCTGTCTCTACAGATTTGTCTTTTCTGTACTTTTTGTAAATAGAGTCATACAGTATTTGGTCTTTTGTGACTGGCTTCTTAGCGTAATGGGTTTTATCTATGTTGTAGAGTGTCTTAATATTTTATTCCTTTTCTATGGCTGAATAATATTCTATTAAATGGATATACCACGTTTTGTTCATTCACCAGTTGATGGACATGTGGGTTGTCTCTAAACAAGATTTTTTTTAAGAGGCCACATTAATGCCTTGTATTTCACAGGGAATTTAAATGACAGCTTAGAAAAACATAGGATTGGGAAGCAAAATTCACAGACAGCCCTGGTATTTGCAGATTTGTAAGCCTGTTAGGACTTGGTAGGTAGAAGGCCGAGCCTGGCAGCTTTTGTGAACCTTGGTTGGAGTTATCGCCTTGAGCTAGGGAAGTGGCAAGCAGTGGCACCATTACCTAATGCTCAATTTTCGAGGCTGATTGACCCACGGGGCCTTTGTGTCTGTAGCGATGTGTTCAGATGAGCTGGTGGAGCTGAGGGTACAGCCTGCAGCTGGTTCGTCCGTGGGTGCAGGCATCTCTTATGAAATACAGGTGTCAGAACCTGCTGCTGCTGAGAACACTGTGAGGCATTAATCAGATGATCCAGGCAGTGTTCTTGGTGCTGGAAATGCGGTGGTGGTTACATTAAGATTCCTAGCTTTGGCCAGGCTCGGTGGCTCATGCCTGTAATCCCAGCACTTTGGGAGGCTGAAGCGGGCGGATCGCCTGAGGTCAGGAATTCGAGACCAGCCTGGCCAACCACGAGGTCAGATCACGAGGTCAGGAGATTGAGACCATCCTGGCTAACACGGTGAAACCCAGTCTCTACTAAAAATACAAAAAATTAGCCAGGCGCGGTGGCAGACGCCTGTAGTCCCAGCTACTCGGGAAGCTGAGGCAGCAGAATTGCTTGAACCGGGAGGCGGAGGTTGCAGTGAGCCGAGATCACGCCACTGTACACCAGCCTGAGCAACAGAGCGAGACTCCATCTCAAAAAAAAAAAGAGTGAGCCTTCTGCCTTGGCCTCCCAAAGTGCTGAGCCATGGACATGGTGGCGTGTGCCTATAGTCCCAGCTGCTGGAGAGGCTGAGGCACGAGAACTGCTTGAACCTGGGAGGCAGAGGTTGCAGTGAGCCGAGGTCATGCCACTGTACTCCAGGCTGCGCGACAGAGCAAGACTTAGTCTAAAAAAAAAAACATCCCTAGCCTTGATTACATGTAGTTTCTACCAAGGAGACAGAGAGTAAACAGGGAATATCTTATACAGTATGATAAGTACTTTAAAGAAAGAGAAGCCAGGAACAGAGCTAGAGAGAGGCTGGGGTTGCCACCATTTGTGGAAGAGGTCAAGGAAGGTGTCTCTGAGAGTTTGTGGGAATGGATGTGACCTGTTTGGAGAACAGCCCGGAGGCCAGTGTGCCTCAGCCCAAACCCAGGTGGAGCATGCAGCTGCAGGGAATGTCCCGGCTTTCAATGCCTCTTCCCACCCTGTGTTAAAAGGACAGAAGTCACTGATGACATTCACTTATGATGGACACGAGAACTGAGGCTAAAACACACCAGGAAACTACCTTTCATCATTTCTCTCCCCATGCTTAGCTATTTCCAGTCGTGTTATTTTTTAATGCTGATGAGAAATAGTGTATGGTACTTTTTTTTTTGTTCGTTTTTGTTTTTATTTTTGTTTTTTGAGAGACAGAGTCTTACTCTGTCACCCAGGCTGGAGTGCAATGGCACAATCCCAGCTCACTGCAACTGCCGCCTCCTAGGTTCAAGCGATTCTCCTGTCTCAGCTTCCCACAGTTCTCAGCCTGTAGCTGGAACTACAGGCATGCGCCACTATGCCCAGCTAATTTTTGTATTTTTTTTTTTTAGTAGAGATGGGGTTTCACTATGTGTTGGCCAGGCTGGTCTCGAACTCCTGACCTCAGGTGATCCGCCCGTCTCGGCCTCCCAAAGTGCTGGAATTACAGGTGTGAGCCACCACACCTGGCCTTTTTTTTTTTTTTTTTTTTTTTTTTGAGATTGAGTCTCACTCTGTCGCCCAGGCTGGAGAGTCAGTGGTGAGATACTGGCTCACTGCAGCCTCTGCCTCCTGAAGTTTAAGTGATTCTCCTGCCTCAGCCTCCTGAGTAGCTGGGATTACAGGCGCGTGCCACCACACCCAGCTAATTTTGTATATTTAATAGAAATGGGGTTTCACCATGTTAGCCAGGCTGATCTCGAACTCCTGACCTCTGGTGATCCACCCGCCTTGGTCTCCCAAAGTGCTGGGATTACAGGCGTGAGCCACCGGGCCTGGCCTAGTGTATGGTACTTTTTAAAAGATACTATTGTTTGCCTATCAAACAGGCAAAAAGTATGACAGTACCAAGTGTTGGGGAGAACATGGCAAAACAGCACTTTGACACGGTGGTTTCAGGCATGGAAATGGCTACAGTTGCTGTCTTCAAATTTGGGAGTATCTAACAAAATGGAGAAATATGTCACATACCCTGTGTCTCTGCAGTTCTGTTTCTGGGTAAATTCTTACCTGTATGTACAAGGAGACATGTATCATTCCCTACCACGTCGTCGTCATTAGCAGAAGCTCGTAAGCCATGTAAATGCCTGTCAGTCAAGAAATAGATGGGTAAAATGCAGTCTCTTTACATGATGGGATATGTATGTATATGTATATCTATATATAAGTGAAAAGATTTATTTCAAGAAATTGGCTTCCATGATTGTGGGGCTGACTAGTCCAAGATCTGTAGGGCAGCCTGGGAGCTGACTCTGTAGCCCTTAAGCAGAATATCTTCTTCCTTAGGGAAACCTCAATTTGTCCTCAGGCTTTTGACTGATTAGATTACACCCACCCTGATTATTGAAGATAATCTCTTTTATTTAAAGTCAACTTTAAATAAAAGTTGTAGTGTAGATGTTGACCATATCTACAAAATACCTTCATAGCAACGCTGTGTTTAGACAACACCGTGTTAGATTAGTGGGTTGGTTTGTTGTTGTTTGAGATGGAGTTTTGTTCTTGTTGCCTAGGCTGGAGTGCGATGGCATAATCTCAGCTCACCGCAACCTGCACCTCCCGGGTTCAAGTGATTCTCCTGCCTCAGCCCCCCGAGTAGCTGAGATTACAGGCATGCGCCACCACACCCAGCTTTTTGTGTGTTTTTTTTTTTTTTTTTTGTAAAGATGGGGTTTCTCCATGTTGGTCAGGCTGGTCTCGAACTCCTGACCTCAGGTGTTCTGCCTGCCTCGGCCTCCCAAAGTGCTGGGATTACAGGCTTGAGCCACCGCTCCCAGCCAATGGGTTGGTTTTGTTTTGTTTTTTGAGACAAGGTCTCCCTCTGCCTTGCTCAGGTTGGAGTATGGTTGTGTGATCGTGGCTCGCTGTGACCTCGACCTCTCTGGCTCAAGCAATTCTCCCATCTCAGCCTCTAAGTAGCTGGGACCACAAGCACACGCCATGCCACCCCACCTGGCTAATTTTTTTTGTTGTTTTTGGTAGAGACGGGGTCTCACTATGTTGCCCAGGCTGTTCTCAACTCCTGGACTCAAGCAGTCCTCCTGCCTCAGCCCCCCAAAGTGCTGGGATTACAGGTATGAGCTCCCGTGCCTAGCCTAGATTAGTGTTTAATTGACTGAATACTGTAGCTTTGCTACGTGGACACTTAAACCATCATAAAGGGATACCGTGTAGAAGTTAAATAGGAAGAACCTTGGTCAGTACAGACCAAGGTGAGCAGATCTCAGAAGTATAACACTGAATAAAGAAATAAGATGTAAGAGTGAAATGTATTATGTGATACCATTTAAGGATTTATGTAAGTATTTTTTAACACACAAAGCAAAATTTTATGTTAATCTTGACTAAATATATACGTGTGTGTGAAAATATAAAATATCGGCTAGATATTTAACAGCAGTCTGAATTAGTGGCTCCCCCAGGGGAGAAAAGAAAGGGTATGAGACTTGGATGGGGTGACTAAGGCATCCTGTCCTTTTATCTCTAGTGCTTTAGTGCTTTTTCAGCAAAGGGAACCAGTGTGACTGTTAACTGTTAGTAATTTTTTTTCTTTTCTTTTTTTTTTTTTTTTTTTTGAGATGGACTTTCGCTTTTGTCGCCCAGGCTGGAGTGCGGGGGTGTGATCACCGCAACCTCCGCCTCCCAGATTCAAGCGATTCTCCTGCCTCGGCCTCCCGAGTAGCTGAGATTATAGGTGCCTGCCACCATGCCTGGCTAATTTTATATTTTTAGTAGAGATGGGGTTTCTCCATATTGGTCAGGCTGGTCTCGAACTCCTTACCTCAGGTGATCTGCCAGCCTCGGCCTCCCAAAGTGCTGGGATTATAGGCATGAGCCACTGCGCCTGGCCAACTGTTAGTAATTCTTGTGGGGACTACAGGTGGTTGTGGATTCTACACTCTCACAAATTTTTTTTTTTTTTTTAAGATGGAGTGTTGTACTGTCGCCTGGGCTGGAGTGCAGTGGCCGGATGTCGGCTCACTGCAACCTCCGCCTCCCAGGTTCAAGTGATTTTCCTGCTTCAGCCTCCCGAGTAGCTGGGATTACAGGCTCTCACCACCAGGCCCAACTAAGTTTTGTTATTTTTAGTAGAGATGGGGTTTCACTATGTTGGCCAGGCTGGTCTTGGACTCCTGACCTCGTGATCCACCTGCCTCAGCCTCCCAAAGTGCTGGGATTATGGGGTGAGCCACCACGCCTGGCCTTTTTGTTTTTGTTTTTTGTTTTTTTTGAGACAGGGTCTCACTGTGTCACCCAAGCTGGAGTGCAATGGCACAATCTCGGCTCATTGAAACCTCCGCCTCCTGGGGTCAAGCACTTCTCCTCCCTCAGCCTCCCAAGTAGCCAGGACCACAGGTACACACTGCTACGCCCAGCTAATTTTTTGAATTTTTGGTAGAGACAGGGTTTTGCTATGTTGCTTAGGCTGGTCTTGAACCCCTGACCTCAAGCGATCCTCCCACCTTGGCCTCCCAAAGTGCTGGAATTACAGGCATTAGCCACGATGCCTGGCCAGATTCACCTTTTTCTTTCTTCCATTTTATTTTATTTTTTTTATGGGAAAGAAGAGAGAGAGGGTCAGACGTATTTGCCCAGGCAGAATTGCTCGACATTATGCTATTAGATTAATTATATTCACCAAAAATCAGGAGTAAGATTATAAGAAAGCTTCTAAAAAGAAAAAAAAAAGTACTATAGAGACACCTACAATCACTCATACTAAAATATGTCAGTGCTCTGATCTCATAAAATGCATTTTCATCTCACTTTTTTTCACCATTCATTTGAAGGAACTATTGAGGCCTAAGGCAAAGGACAGTAGGGAAACTGCCTGGAGCTGACTCCACCCCACCTCTCGCTGCTGGTAGGACCTTCAGCAGGGTTTTAAAATGCAACATTTCAAAGCTTTGGTATCTTGTCTATCAAGTGGGATTAATAACAGCCACGATGTTAGGATCAGTTGAGACAATCCATGTAAAATGTTAGACATAGAGCCGGATTCATAGTAGCCCTCTGTAAATGTTAAAATGTGCCTCAAATGGAAAAAATTAATGACATAAATGTTCTAGGGCCAGATGTGGTGGCTCACACCTGTAATCCCAGCACTTTGGGAGGCTGAGGTAGGAGGATTGCTTGAGTCCAGGAGTTCAAGGCCAGCCTGGGCAACATAGCAAGACCCCATCTCTACAAAAAATCCAAAAATTAGTCGGATATGGTTTGCGTCTGTAGTCCCACCTACTCGGAGGCTGAGGTGGGAGGAGTGCTTGATCTCAGGAGGTCAAGGCTGCAGTAAACCATGTTCTTGCCTCTATACTCCAGCCTGGGCAACACAGCAAGACCCTATCTCAAAATAAATAAATGTTCTCAACTGAATAAAGCAGAAGATCATAACACCTTCAATGTCCTTTGTCCCGTACCCTTCTCCAGAGGTTCTGTGTTCATGATCTCCCTCGTCCTGATGATGACACCAGGGTGGAAGAGCTGATACCAGTTAACAGGAAGTGGAGGTTCCTGGAGATACCTGTGTAAATAGGAGTGTTCCTCTGTTTGGAGACTTGACTCATATTTTAGAGCTTTTCTCTTAGAATATTAATTACTACAGTTGGTTCAGTGTGTACTGAGTATCAAGTGCTTGCAGAGTACATGATAAGCACTCCATAATGTTAAGCTGCCTCACTGAATCCTCATGCCCCTCATGAGCTAGAAAGTATCATGATTCCCATTGTAGACAGGAAGAGACTCAGGCTTTCTAGAGGCTCACAGAGGTGGTGATGTGATTTGCCCAAGAATTCAAGGCCAAATTTTCTTTCTGCCAAGTTCCCCACACCTTCCAGGCCCATTGCTATTGAGATGGCATCTTATAAGTTACAGATAATGCAAACTAATACATAATGCAAGATAGCTAATATAATAGCTAATATAGACCAATAGGTAACCAAAACATTACTCATATTTGACCAACAAAAAGCATTTTTGTGGGTTTATATATTTCAATGAGTATTTCTGATCTAACTCAATACCTCAAAGGAAACATCTCAGTTGTCTAATTTTTCTGTACTTGGCTTGTGCTCCAAATTCATGATGGGTATGAACAGCATGACTCTTGTGACCATCTGTTAGCCCACAGGCAGCTGTCTCCTTGCCAGATTTGCTTACTAATACTTTCCCTAAAGGAAGAGCAGGTGATCAAGTATTGGTGATGTTAGTCCAGGAACAGCAGCTTCCAGCAACACTTAAGGAAGAAGGAAGCAAGATTTCCTACAAATAAAATTGATCTTGACCGGGCGTGCTGGCTCGCACCTGTAGTCCCAGCACTTTGGGAGGCCAAGGCGGCCAGATCACCTGAGGTCAGGAGCTCGAGACCAGCCTGGCCAACATGGCGAAACCCCATCTCTACCAAGAATACAAAAATTAGCTGGGCGTGGTGGTGGGTGCCTGTAATCCCACCTACTCCTTAGGCACGAAAACCGCTTGAACTCAGGAGGCAGAGGTTGCAGTGAGCCGAGATCAGGCCACTGGCCACTACATTCCAGCCTGGGAGACAGAGCGAGACTGTGTCTCAAAAAAAAAAAAAAAAAAAAAAACCAAAATCGATCTTGACATATCCTCAGTTAACCCTCATTACAGCTATTTTTGCTACATGACATTAGCATGTACCTTGATTGGTTTGAACATTTGTGATGTCACTCGGTTAATTTGTATGAGATAGTATAGAATAAAATAATATATAAAATTTCAAGGATACATACGTTACAAGCCACAGAACTGCATATTTACTTAGAGATTCTTAAACCACTTTTAATGCTTATTTATCATAAATGTTACACTTTTAGCTGAGAAAAACAAAGCACTAAAATATCAAATAATTTGTCCTTGTTCATATAGAGAATTTTTGTTTTGTTTTGTTTTTTTGAGACTGAGTTTCGTTCTGTCACCCAGGCTGCAGAGCAGTGACGCCATCTCAGCTCACTGCAACCTCCACCTCCTGGATTCAAGCAATTCTCCTGCCTCAGCCTGCTGAGTAGCTGGGACTACAGGCGCCCGTCCCCATGCCCAGCTAATTTTTGTATTTTTAGTAGGGAGGGGGTTTCACTATGTTGCCCAGGTTGGTCTCGAACTCCTGACCTCAGGTGATCCGACCGCCTTGCCTCCCAAAGTGCTGGGCTTACAGACGTGAGCCAACACACCCGGCCTATACAGAACTACTAAAAGAAACTAAAAGAGGGCCGGGCGCGATGGCTCACGCCTGTAATCCCAGCACTTTGGGAGGCGGAGGCAGGTGGATCACGAGATCAGGAGATCGAGACCATCCTGGCTAACACTGGTGAAACCCCGTCTCTCTAAAAATACAAAAAACTAGCCAGGTGCAGTGGCGGGCATCTGTAGTCTCAGCTACTCGGGAGGCTGAGGCAGGAGAACGGTGTGAACCCGGGAGGCGGAGCTTGCAGTGAGCCGAGATTGCGCCACTGCACTACAGCCTGGGTGACAGAGCGAGACTCCGTCTCAGAAAAAAAAAAAAAGAAACTAAAAGAGAAACTAATTTTTAAAAGTTTAAAGTCCACTCAGCTTATCTGGCTAGTCATAATTGAATTAATGTATACTTTATTATAAATGTACACAGTTAATTTATGTATAGTTCCATACTGGTAATTCTTTGAAAATGAGTTATAAAAAGTCCATATGCTAAGGAAGTTAAAACCGTCATAAGATTGCATCATTCATTTCTCATAATTATTCTTAATTCATAATTATGATCTGTAACTTTACAGAGGCAGTAGAAATGCCGAGGTAAACAGGGCAGCTAGAAATCTGGTGAATAGTGTGTGCTGGTTCCAGCGGAACTGTTCTCCAACATTTTATTTAGAATAGCTAATCACTAATTTTCCAGTACCGCTAAGGTTTTGCGGTAGAACCAAGCTTCTTTTTATGCGACTCAGCACAAGTAGAAGAGTGATATTACCATTAGCCTAGAATGTATTGTGCAACCATAACTATGCATGCCCTTCCCTGGATGGAAATGAAACTCATTCTGGTTAAAACCAGTTTGGCAGAGTATCCTTGCCAGGCAGTAATCGATAGAGATATAGACTAAGCTATTGCTATTTTTTTTTCTTAGTAACAGTGCTGCTTGGCCCATTTATAATTTTTCTGTTCACTTTGTTAAGATTCACTTGGTATCCTAAGCCCTTTAATTCTTAGTGCCAAACTTAAATTAAAATGGATTTGTTCATTACTCCTGATGACTCTTAACATTGTAGGCTGTTTAACAATTCAGGTCTTCACAAGCCTTGCAGTAGCACCGACCTTTGCCTCAACTACAGCTCTCCCCCAAAATGTGGGACCCTTTCTATTCACAAGTGTGTCCACAACTACTATAAAACTTTATAGATTCTGGAATACAAAGGCAGCATTGCTTTTTTTGTCCCTGGGTTTAAAAATAACATGTACTTCAGCTAAAATAACTAGGTGAAGAGCCAATATAGGAATGGATTTTCCACTGTTAGAAAGACCAAAATTGGCCAGGCGCGGTGGCTCACACCTGTAATCCCAGCACTTTGGGAGGCCGAGGCGGACGGATCATGAGGTCAGGAGATCGAGACCATCCTGGCTAACATGGTGAAACCCCGTCTCTACTAAAAATACAAAAAATTAGCTGGGCATGGTGGCGGGCGCCTGTAGTCCCAGCTACTCAGGGGGCTGAGGCAGGAGAATGGCGTGAACCCAGGAGGCGGAGCTTGCAGTGAGCCGAGATCGCGCCACTGCACTCCCTGGGCGACAGTGCGAGACTCTGTCTCAAAAAAAAAGCCAAAATTTCTGGGAGGGAACATTTCTGTAGCTGAACCTACGTACAGTAATAAAGAAGTATATATGTTGAACTTTTCAAGCTTAAAAACTCAGTATTGACTACAAACTGTAGTTGCAAATCTTTTTTTTTTTTTTTTTTTGAGACGGAGCCTTACTCTGTTGCCAGGCTGGAGTGCAGTGGCGCAATCTCAGCTCACTGCAACCCCGCGTCCCGGGTTCAAGGAATTCTCTTGTCTCAGCCTCCTGAATAGCTAGGACTACAAGCACCCGCCACCATGCCTGGCTAATTTTTGTGTTTTTAGTAGAGATGGGGTTTCGCCACATTAGCCAGGATGGTCTCGATCTCTTGACCTTGTGAGCCACTGCGCCCAGCCTAGTCTCAAGTCTTAGTTGAACTTTTTTTTTTCCCCCTCTGGTAGAATCATTTGGATAGGGATTTGTGTATGGTGTTAACTGTGGAAGTTCTCATTCATTTGTTGTTCTTCGTATTTTAAGATGTTAGGGTTATATGTGAACATTTTAAGAATTATATCAGGAAATTGGTTGGGTATGATGGCTCATGCCTGTAATCCCAGCACTTTGGGAGGCTGAGGCGGATGAATCACTTGCGGTCAGGAGTTCAAAACCAGCCTGGGCAACACGGTGAAACACCATCTCTACTAAAAAAACAAAAATTAGCTGGGTGTGGTAGCAGGCATCTGTAATCCCAGTTACTTGGGAGGCGGAGGCACAAGAGTTGCGTGAACCCAGGAGGTGGAGGTTGCAGTGAGCCGAGATGGCACCATTGCACTCCAGCCTGGGCGACAGAGCAAAGCTCTAGCTCAAAAAAAAAAAAAAAAAAAAAAAAAATTAGGAAATCAAATGAGACTTTCCTCCTATTGTATTTGGAGAAGGAATATCCGCAGGAAAGAACAGATCTGGGCTGCTTTCTGTGGTGCTCATATGTTATTGGGCAGGGTCGGCTCTCTGTCAGTTTTCTTATATTTTTACCTACACCCAGCCTCATAAGAATATCATATGAATTTTTTATTTTTCAAGACAGGGTCTCGCTTTATCGCCCAGGCTGGAGTGCAGCGGCACGATCTCACTGCTACCTCCGTCTCTTGAGTTCAAGCGATTCACCTACCTCAGCCTCCTGAGTAGCTGGGACTACAGGCACCCACCGCCGTGCCCAGCAAATTTTTGTATTTTTGGTAGAGATGGGGTTTCACCACGTTGCCCAGGCTAGTCTCGAATTCCTGGGCTCAAACAGCCCACCTCCCTCGGCCTCCCAAAGTGCTTGGGATTACAGGCATGAGTCACCACGCATGGCCTGTAATAATTTTCAGTAACTTTAAAATAGTTTTGTCTTTTAATTAGAAAGTAGCTGTGTGCTAATGAAATTATCAGATTTTGAAAATGAGTGAAATCTCCGAGTGCTAATGGGAAAGTAAAATGGTGCAGCTGTTCTGAAAAAAAAAAAAAAAAAGTTTGGCAGTTTCTTAAAAAGTTAAACACGTGCCTACCATGTGACGCAGCCATTGAACCCCCAGGTTATCCTAGAGATACGAAAACGTAAGCTCACATAAAAACCTGTATGCGATCGCTCATAGCAGCTTTGCTTGGAATTGTCAAAACCTGGAAACAAGCCAGGTCTTCAACAAGTATGTGGATAAACAAACTGCAATATATCCATACCATGGAATGCTACTAGCCAAAAAAAAAAAATAAAAAGTGATAAACTACATCCAACAACTTGGATACATCTTAAGGCATTGTGCTGGGTGAAAAGGGCAAATCTTAAAATGCCACATACGATACGATTCCTTTTTTGTTATTTTTTTGAGACAGAGTCTTGCTCTGTCACCAGGCTAGAGTGCAGTGGTGCGATCTCGACTCAATGCAACCTCCGCCTCCTAGGTTCAAATGATTCTCCTGCCTCAGCCCCCCAAGTAGCTGGGATTACAAGCACGCACCACCACACCCAGCTAATTCATGTATTTTTAGTAGAGGCGGGGTTTCACCATGTTGGCCAGAATGGTGTCGATCTTCTGACCTTGTGATCCACCCGCCTCGGCCTCCCATGATTCTTTTGTTTTGTTTTGTTTTGTTTTTGAGATGGAGTCTCACTCTGTCACCCAGGCTGGAGTGCAATGGCACGGTCTCAGCTCACTGCAACCTCTGCCTCCCAGATTCAAGCAATTCTCCGGCCTCAGCCTCCTGAGCAGCTGGGATTACAGGCAAACGCCACCACGCCCGCTAATTTTTGTATTTTTTAGTAGAGACAGGGTTTCACCATGTTGGCCAGGCTGGTCTTGAACTCCTGACCTCAGGTGATCTGCCCAACTTGGCCTCCCAAAATGCTGGGATTACAGGCATGAGCCACTGCACCCGGCCATGATTCCTTTTATATAACATTCTCACAATGACAGAATCATAGATTGAGCTCAGGAATTGCCAGAGGTGAGGATTGGTGAGGAGGAGGGCATGATTATTAAGTGGCAGCACAAAAGAGGCGTGTGTGTTAGTGGAACAGTTCCGTATTTTACTTGCGGTGATGGTCGTGGCAACCTACATGTATGATAAAATTTCATAGAAATGATGAAACCCGGCCAAGCGTGGTGGCTCACGCCTGTAATCCCAGCACTTTGGGAGGCCGAGGCAGGTGGACCATCTGAGGTCGGGAGTTCAAGACCAGCCTGACCAACATGGCGAAACCCCATCTCTATTAAAAATGCAAAAATTGGGCTGGCCGCAGTGGATCACAAGGTCAGGAAATCGAGACCATCCTGGCTAACAGTGAAACCCGTCTCTACTAAAAATACAAAAAATTAGCCGGGCGTGGTGGTGGGTGCCTGTAGTCCCAGCTACTCGGGAGGCTGAGGCAGGAGAATGACGTGAACCCCAGAGGCAGAGCTTGCAGTGAGCCGAGATTGCGTCACTGCACTCTAGCCTGGGCGACAGAGCGAGACTCCGTCTCACAAAAAAAAAAAAAAAAAGCCAGGTGTGGTGGTGCGCGCCTATAATCCCATCTACTCAAGAGGCTGAGGCAGGAGAATTGCTTGAACCGGGGAGGCAGAGGTTGCAGTGAGCTGAGATCGTACCACTGCACTCCAACCTGGGCAACAGAGCAAGACTCTGTCTCAAACAAAGAAAAAAGAAATGATGAAACCTTCCCCCAAAAATGAGTGATACAAAAAGTGGGAAAATCCAAATAAGGTCTGTAGTTGAGTTAATAGAACTGTAGCAGTGACAGTTTCCTGGGTTTGATAATATACTATGGTTATAGAAGATACCATTGCAGGAAGCATACCTGGGAACTCTGTGTATTATTTTTACAACTCTTATGAGTCTTAAACTATTTCAAAGAAGCTCCAAAACAAAAGAATTGAGAAGAGATGACAGAAATAACAGCTGTGGACAGACCAGCCTGGACAACATAGCAAGACCCTGTCTCTTAAAAAAAAAAAAAAAATTTAATTACCTGGGCATGGTGGCACACACCTCCCAGCTACTCGGGAAGCTGAAGCAGGAGGATCACTTGAGCCCAAGAGTTTGGGGCTACAGTGTGTGGTGATCATGCCACTGCACGCCAGCCTGTGTGACAGATCAAAACCCTGTCTCAGAAAGAGAAGAAGGAAGAAAGGAGGGAAGAAGGGATGGAGGGAAGAAAAGAAAAAAAGCAAAGCAAAGAAAAAGAGCAGCTGTGGCTACGTAATGAGGCTTTGCCATCTTGTAGAGAGGATCGTGGGGGAGTTGGCTGGCTCTGGGGCTTCCTGGCCACTGGTTGCGCGTAGGTGCCAAGCACCTGACTGCGTCTAGTGATACCAGGTGAGCGGGCTTCCAGGCAGGCATGGGAGAGGCACCTTGTGTATTTTATTTTCTTCCTTTTGAGAACCCATTAAAATGATGGCAAAGGAATTAAAAACAATACCCAATAAATCCACAGTGCAAAAAGACCTGGAAAACATCCATTGACAAGAGACCTAAAGAAATCTGGGGTGATAGGAAATGGACAGAGAGTGCTCAGTGACCTCAGAGAGCCTGAAGAACCTGGGGAAAGGAGTCTGATGGAAACTGAGCCATTCACCCCAGGGGCCCCAGAGGCTGAGGACTGGGCCGCAGAAGGTGGGGGCAGGAATCGGAGTCTGGTGCACAGGGTGGCGGAGCTCCTGGCTTCCCTTCCCTACCCCAGCCACCACCACCAGCAGCTCCCTCTGGCAGAGCAGAGATTTAACCTCAGGATAATCTGAGGTGCTCTAGACTTGGAAACAGCAGCCAAGGGTGGAGGAGGCAGAACTCTGAGCTGAAAACAGAGGAGTTCCTGAAAATCAGCTCCAAACTGTCCAGTCCCGGCCCCCTTCCTGACTGCGAAAGCTGACCATCCGATGATTGTCCCCCACCCAATGACAGGAAATTAGAAACTTCTCAGCAGAAGCCCAGTGGCCCCTGATGACTGTAGAGTGGCCATTGGCTTGGAATGAAGCCAGCAAGTCAGCCACTACCCTGTGCACACACCCACAGCTTCCAGCCGGCAGTGACGGGCTGCACGCCTCAATACAAACTGGCCATCAGGGATCACCACACGTTTGAGGAGAGTCTCTAACATGAAAGACAGGGATATCAAACAGTGAAAGGTAATCAGGAGATGATACGGGAACTAGAATAAAACACACCAAAAAATTCAGACAGGAGAAGATACTGCATCTATAAAACAAGAACAGGAGAGTACTTTTAAAAAGAAGCAATCAAAAGGCTGGGCGTGGTGGCTCACACCTGTAATCCCAGCACTTTGGGAGGCCAGGGCGGGCAGATTGCTTGAGCTCAGGAGTTTTAGACCAGTCTGGGCAACATGGCAAAACCCTGTCTCTACCAAAAATACAAAAAATTAGCCAGGCGTGGTGGCGCATGCCTGTGATCCACCCCCCGCAGCTACTTGGGAGGTTGGGGCACGAGGATCACTTGAGCCTGGGAGGCCGAGGTTGTAGTGAGCCAGGATCACACCACTGCACTCCATCCTGGGCAACGGAGTGAAACTCCATCTCAAAAACCAAACCAAAACAAAAAGAGCAATCAAGAAACATGAACATGCTCTTAGAAATTAAGATATATCAAATTCAAAAAATAGAATTGGAACATAAAGTTGAGGATATCTGTTAGCGTTATAGAACAAAACTACTGAAAGTGGAAAATCAAAAAAGATTAGAGAATAAATCCAGGATATATAAAATCTTCATCAGAGTTCCAGAAAGAATGAAGAGACAAGAAATAAAACAGGAATGATATTTGTACCTGAAGGACATAATTTTCCACATGGCTAGGGGTCCCACTGAGTGTCCGGTAAAATAAATGAAAAACAAACAAAAAAAATGCTGGGACAGACCATGGTGCAATTTCAGAACACAGGAATAAAGAGAAGGCTTCCAGAAATAAGCTTTAAAAAAAAGTCACATAGGAAGAAATGGCAGCTGACTTCAGCAGACCCAGATGCTAAAGACAGTGGAGTAATAGCTCTTTTTTTTTTTTTTTTTTTTTTTTTTTTTTTTTGAGACATATCCTCACTCTGTCACCCAAATTGGAGTGAAGTGGTGCAGTCACAACTAACTGCAGCCTCAAACTCCTGGGCTCAAGTGATCCTCTCACCTCAGCCTCCCAAGTAGCTGGGACCACAGCCACAAGCCACCACCCTTGGCTAATTGTTTTTATTTTTTGTAGCGATGGGAGTCTCGATATGTTGTCCAGGTTGGTCGCAAACTCCTGGGCTCAAGTGGTGATCCTCCCACTTCAGCCTCCCAAAGTTCTGGGATTACAAGCATGAGCCATCACGCCTGACCAAGTGATGTCTTAAAAATTCTAAGGAAAATAGTTTCAATCTACTCTGCTCTACTCAGCAAAATAGCAAACGTCAAGGTAAAGATAATTTCAGACACACGGGGACTCAGATTTACCTCTCACGCATTAGTTCTTAGATCATTTTTGGAATGTGATCTCCATTTTGGAGAAATAGGAAGACGTGGACCTACCTGGCTGACAAGAGCGCTGCCACAGGCCACCAGGAGGGCCATGCTAGGGCAATCGTGACAGTCAAGCCACACTGAGCAAGATGGTGGAGAGTCCTTAGAGGAAGTCAAGGGAAAAACGGAACAGGAGATTAGCTGAGAGTTTTGTACATTTGAAAAATAACACTGATAGGCCTCAGCCAAGTCTAATACAGCATGGGGACAAGTTTAAGGTAGATAAACAGAAAACTAAGCAAAGGTGGCGGGGCGGAAAGAAACAATTGTCCATCCCAGGAAAAACAGCCAGGCTTTACTGAGAAAGGGAACCATCAGCCTTAGTGCAAAGTCATAATGAACACTGACTATAGTTTCATCAGCAAATTGCCATCTAATTGCATAGAAAGTCCATTGGAAAGGAAGAGTGAGAGGTATAGAGACCTGAGGCCTCATCTGCTGTCGTAGGAAGCTGCAGTTACTCCCCAAAATCAAGAAATCAAGAATATTTAAAAAAAAAAAGAATATTCAAAACTGCAGCAATAAATACAAAAATAGGAGCATAGTTGAAAGTGCTCTCGGGCATAAGACCAGGGCTATGGAAAGGTCGAGGCATGGGTTGTTTTTCATTGTTATCACAGTTTGATTAAAAACAAGAGTCGTCCTATTCTCTCTCTCCTCCTGATTCATTTATTCTGAAGGGTATGTGTGTAAAGCACCTGCCTCTTTGAATGTTGGGTAGTTGTTCATTCTTTTTTGCATCTGGTCGTCTATATAAATGGAGCATGCATTTGGGGAAGGGGTCGGTGAGACTTGAATGGTCTCTTTGGGGTGATTAATATCATGAAGCTTATTGTTCCTAGATGGAACAAACACATAACAATCGCCACGTGTTGTGAGTCGTGAAGTCTGAGTACCGTAGGAATGACTTATTGTCTGTACTTCAAAGTTAGGGTATTTTAAAATTTAGACCCACGTCCTAAATAGTTATTTGTCTTATACTTGTCCTAGCATTTGTCTTTATGACTTTCTGCTGATACAGGAATAACACGTGTTGAAATGAAACCTGGACACTGGCTGCACCATGAAATCCATGAGAGGGAAACTGTGCCTTCTAATCCTTAGCTGTGTGCACAGGGTCTGGCCCATGGTAGTTACTCCACACAACTTTGGTGAATAAACCAATCAGTGGGAAAATGCCAGGGAGGCAGGGCGCAGTGGCTCGTGCCTGTAATCCCAGCATTTTGGGAGGCCAAGGTACGCGGATAACCTGAGGTCAGGAGTTCGAGACCAGCCTGGCCAACATGGTGAAACCCCGCCTCTACTAAAAATATAAAAATTAGCTGGGTGTGGTGGTGGGCTCCTGTAATCCCAGCTACTCGGGAGGCAGGGGCAGGAGAATTGCTTGAACCTAGTAGGCGGAGGTTGCAGTGAGCTGAGATCGTGCCACTGTACTCCAGCCTGGATGACAGAGTGAGACTCCGTCTCAAAAAAAAAAAAAAAAAAAAAAAAAGAAAAAATGCCAGGGACATCCAGAAGTTTCCAGGCAGGCCTGTGTCCTGGGGCCATCAGCAACATGCTACCAATGCCCCCTTTCACGTCCCTCCCCGCCCACACCCCTATAATTAGGCAGAGTAAAAACAAAATCTCCTGGAAATTTCTATTCAGTGGATAGAAATTCATCGAAATCTATTTGAAACATTGCCTTTGTAAGTAAGTACAGGTAGCTGATCCTCCACAGGCGTTCCTTAACACTAGAATGAGAACCATTAGCAATCCACTCAAACCCAAGAGGATGCCAGGCCTACAGTCCCTGCAGGGTATGGTAGAGACATGAATGACTGCTGCCTGCTCCGCTTATAGCAGATTCCAGGCAGCCTCTTGGGCAACTGAGAACTGCCAGGGTTACGGGCACCTTGCCACCTGTGAGCCCTGTTCCATCAGGTAAGGGAATAGGTGTGCTTCATTATTTTTACATCAGCATTCATTACTTTGTAGACTGTGCTGTTAGGCATCCATAGCTATCCTGGGCCACACAGTGACAAAATCTGAAGATGACTTGGTTTATTTTTTATTTTATTAATTTGTGTGTTTTGTTTGTTTGGCAGAATGTTATGGAACAGTTCAATCCTGGGCTGCGAAATTTAATAAACCTGGGGAAAAATTATGAGAAAGCTGTAAACGGTAAGTCTGTTTTTCTGAATTGATTATATATAAAGCCACTCAGTAAATATGTAATTATTTTTAAATGCTTAGTATTGAATTTTTAAATACCTTTAAGTGGTTAAAAATTGTTCACAATGAATTTAATCTACAGAACTTTGCAATGACAGTACACAATGATATTAGCGTATTTGAAACAAGTCAATTGAATGAAAGTGAGGGTACTCTAAGTGATGTCTTTTAACTATAAAACCGTGCTTTCTACTTTTAAAACCAAATTCTTGGTAAACTAACAAATATAAAATGTGTACATGAGACATTTATAAGTTAGGGTCCTACAGCACAGAAATTATTCTCCTTTTATGTATATAAAAGAATTTCTTGTCTTTAGATGTATCACTTTTTTCATCTTTTTTTCCCCGATGT
Source organism: Homo sapiens (assembly GCF_000001405.40). Taxonomy (NCBI): domain Eukaryota; kingdom Metazoa; phylum Chordata; class Mammalia; order Primates; family Hominidae; genus Homo; species Homo sapiens. Next base: position 98,361,951 of record NC_000007.14, on the reverse strand, counting down.
GTCACTTTTGATAGTTACATGAGAAACAATATTTTTAGCTTGAATGAAATTAGCTGCACGTGGTGGTGCGCGCCTGTAGTCCCAGCTACTCAGGAGTGTGTGGCGGGATGATCGCTTGTGCCTGGGAGGCTGAGGCTGTAATGAGCTGTGATAGTGCCACTGCACCCCAGCCTGAGCAACAGAGTAAGGGTCTGTCTCAAAAAAGAAAAAAAAGAAGAAATTTTTTTTAGCCTGAATGGAAAAACATCTAAATTAAACAGTTGGACTTAGGTTCTCATTTCAAAATATATGCTTCATTTAAAATGAACTTGAGTATTGCTATTGGCCTGTCTTTGTGATTAAAATGCATCAGTGATCACCTTAAAAACGCTAGCAATCACCAAATTCTAACATGGGCAAGACAGTTCTTCCCCAAAATGTAGCAAGTATCACCCCAAAACACTCAGACCCCAGTTTCACCCTCTCCCACCGCTCTACTTTTGTCACCAAGTAACATAAGTAGAAATGTAGTTTCTGACAGATTTGAAGGCAGCTTCAGATCAAGTTTTACATCTTCTTATCTCTTCTTTCTTTCTTTCTTTCTTTTTTTTTTTCCCAGACAGAGTCTTGCTCTGTCGCCCAGGCTGGAGTGCAGTGGAACAATCTCGGCTCACTGCAACCTCTGCCTCCCAGGCTCAAGCGATTCTTCTGCCTCAGCCTCCCAAGTAGCTGGGATTATAGGTGTACACCACCATGCCCAGCTAATTTTTGTATTTTTAGTAGAGATGGGGTTTCACCATGTTGGCCAGGCTGGTCTCGAACTCCTGACCTCAGGTAATCCACTCCCCTCAGCCTCCCAAAGTGCTAGGATTATAAACTTAAGCCACCACACCCAGCCTCTTATCTTTTTTGCCATACTGGTTGCTCCCTGTTGATATTTTGAAAATAAACCTGTGGCCTCACTCTCGCTCAGCATGAACCTGCCCCAGGAAAGGGTGTGAGCTGGCTAGACTGTGGACTCTGGGTGAGGAGGAGCACCATTGTGTGTAGTCGCTGGAAAAGTATACTGCTCATTTACTCTTCTGCCTTGCTGTGCTTTCGGAGATTTCAGCAGCAGGAAATGCAGCAGGTCTGGGATTTTGCTCCCTTGCCCTCCAGTGGTCCCCGTGACTTCTGCAAGTGCCCCTGTCCTCCAGAAAGCCAGAGCTGTGCACTGCTGACTCTCCCTCGAAGATTGCTTAGTCACAAGGCCACAAAGTCATTGCTTTAGATGTCCTTGTGAAGGAAATCACTGTGACCTGCAGTTTTTTTTTCTTTCTAGCATGAGCTGCCTCTTTTTTTTTTTTTCTTTCTAGCATGAGCTGCAGAGTTTTACAAGGTGAGCCAGTGAGCTGCCTACAGCTTAGCTTCCTGCTAACAAGGCTTCTCCCCAAAGGGCTCTTGACACTTTAGCACCTCCTGGGGAGTAAATACTTCAGAAGGTATTTCCAGAATTTCTGCAGGCCATCTGGTTGTGCCTTTGCTGAAGCCATTGAGAAATGTAGGTAAATGTGTAAAGTCCTTGGTGAGAATTTGGAAATAGTTGAGGCTGCCAGGTGTGCAGTCCACAGTTACGTTAGAACACAAGGCAGGCTGGGCGTGGTGGCTCGTGCCTGTAATTCCAGCACTTTGGGAGTCTGAGACAGGAGGATAGCTTTAGCCCAGGAATTCGAGACCCCGTCACTACAAAAAAAATTTAAAAATTAGCTCAGGCCAGGCGCGGTGGTTCACGCCTGTAATCTCAGCAATTTGGGAGGCCGAGGTGGGCAGATCACCTGAGGTCAGAAGTTCGAAACCAGCCTGGCCAAAATGGTAAATCCCTGTCTCTACTAAAAATACAAAATTTAGCCGGGAGTGGTGGCACGTGCCTGTGATCCCAACTACGTGGGAGGCTGAGGCAGGAGAATCACTTGAACCCGGGAGGCAGAGGTTGCAATGAGCCAAGATCATGCCACTGCACTCCAGCCTGGGCAACAGAGTGAGACTCGGCCTCAGAAAAAAAAAAAAATTAGCTGGGCATGGTGGCATGCTCCTGTGGTCCTACCTATCAGGAGCCTGGGGTGGGAGGATTGCTTGAGTCCAGAAGTTCGAGGCTGCAATGAGCTGTGATTGTACCACTGCACTCCAGCCTAGGAGACAGAGCAAGACCCTGTCTCAAAAAAATTAAAAAAAAAAAAAAAAAAAAAAACCCAGGTCTACAGGTGAATGGCTAGGAGCATTGTACAGACCAGTGTCACAAGAATTTGAGTGGTGTGGGTTGGTGTGGCCTGGAACAGGGAGGAGGCCCTGCAGGAGATGAGCTATCTGCCAGATGTTAGGTTTCAGCAGGCAGACACTACTGCACGCATAAAAGACAGCAAGTCGGCCGGGCGCGATGGCTCACGCCTGTAATCCCAGCACACTGGGAGGCCGAAGCGGGCGGATCACGAGGTCAAGAGATTGAGACCAGGCTGGCCAACATGGTGAAACCCCGTCTCTGCTAAAGATACAAAAATTAGCCAGGCGTGGTGGCGGGTGCCTGTAATCCCACCTACTCAGGAGGCTGAGGCAGGAGAATCACTTGAACCCGGGAGGTAAAGGTTGCAGTGAGCAGAGATCGTGCCATTGCACTCCAGCCTAGTGACAGAGCAAGACTCTGTCTCAAAAAAAAAAAAAAAAAAGACAGCAAGTAAGCCAGGACCTGGGGTCCACACTGGCATGGGTGGCACACTGCTGGGGCGTGGGCGGGATAGGGTCAGATCACTGTGCACTTGAATAGCAACAGTTTCTTATTTCTCCTATAAGGCAGGGCAGTTCTCCAGACCCTCCGGGCTCACTCCTGCACCTGCAGTCTTCTGCGGCCCGTGTGGGGCTGTGGGCTGGATGCAGCCCTGCAATGGGGTCTTTCCCCTTCAAGGAGGCCAGACTCTGTCCTCACTCAGTAGCAGTGGTGTCCTAAGAGTATAAGCCCCAGTGCCCAGCACCTCTCAAGTCCCTGCAGGAGTCATGCTTGCTGATAACCCGTGGGTCAAAGCAGGTCCCATGGCCACACCACCTGGTAGGGGACCACATACGCTGGGAATTCCGGGAGGTGTGATTCCTGGAAGGCCATTACTGTAAAAATCTACTACGGGCTCTGGGGTGTGTGACCTTACCTCATGGGCAGTGGGAGGACACCAAAGGCTTTGAGCAGAATGTTCACCCAATGAAACCATATTTTAAGGAAAAATTATCAAGTAGAAGTACATAGATTGGTCTAGACTGATGAAGTAGTTGGCCAACCACTAAAATAGAACTATGCTAGGTATGGTGGCTTATGCCTGTAATGCCAGCACTTTGGGAGGCTGAGGTGGGAGGATCGCTTGAGCCCAGGAGTTCAAGACCAGCCTGGGCAACATAGTGAGACCCTATTTCTAGAAAAAATAAAAAATTAGCTAGGTGTGGTGGCGTGCACCTGTAGTCCCAGTTACTCAGGAGGCTGAGGTGGGAGGATGGCTTGAGTCCAGGAGGTGGAGGCTGCAGTGAGCTATGATCACACCACTGCACTCCAGTGTGGGCAACAGAGTGAGACGCTGACTCTTAAAAAAAAAAAAACAAAAAACTAATATGCTTCTTTCCTTAAAACAATAAGTAGTAGAAAATATCTTAATGTGCTCACAAAAGGGAGGCAAAATTATGAAAGTATTATTTATCTCTTCTGGCTAAATTTTATAATTTTCAAGTTAATTTAACTTTATCATCATAGCAAAGATATTTTACAAGACCGAGAAGGTTACATGGTTTTCAATGTAAGTCAACAATTAATGAAAAATTGTGATTTCATGTGTGGATGCAAACCAAACATTTTGCTTAAATATTGTGTAATCCTGCATTCCATTCCCGCACTAATTTGCTTTTCAGATGATCAGTACTTTACAACTTAACATCTTCATACTAAGATGTTCCATCTTACAACTTGACAGTTTCCTGGCTACACACCTTGTTTTTAGGTGGAGTCACTTCTTTCTTAGTTCTAGACGAGACCAAAGAATCAGAAAGCACCATAATTTAGAGCTGAGGAAGTGAAGTGCCCAGCCAGAGCTGTGTGCCTTCCCGCTGACTCAACATTGACCTTGGGTATGTCCCAGAATATCTCCACTCCGCTGCCCTTAGCGCAACGGGCTGATGACATTACGGACTGTGTCTCAACATAATTGGATAGATTAACTAAGTATGTATATAAATGCTAATTGCTATTGTTCTTTTTACATTTACACTTTAAGGTTGTTCTGAGTCTTATAATAGTGCAGTAGATAGAATATTGCATTTCCTAAAGTTGGATATGTATATGGTAAAAACCATAACTTTTATATATATATAAATATATATGTACTTTTTTTTTTTTTTTTTGAGACTGAGTCTCACTTTGTCGCCAGGCTGGAGTGCAGTGGCGCAATCTCAGCTCACTGTAACCTCTGCCTCCCGAGTTCAAGCGATTCTCCTGCCTCAGCCTCCCGAATAGCTGGGATTACAAGCATGTGCCACCATGCCCGGCTAATTTTTGTATTTTTAGTGGAGACGGGATTTCACCATGTTGGCCAGGACGGTCTTAATCTCTTGACCTCGTGATCCTCCTGCCTCAGCCTCCCAAAGTACTGGGATCACAGGTGTGAGCCACAGCACCTGGCTATAAATTTTTAACTCTACAATAAATCCTAAAGTAGATTAATGTGCCAGAAAAAATATACTACTGTTTTGGCTTTTCATACCTTCAGCTGGACCTGCACATGAATTAATTCTGTGGCTCACAACTATAATCCAAACACTTTGGGTGACTCAGGCAAGAGGATCCCTTGAACCCAGGAGTTCAAGACCAGCCTGGGCAACAGAGTGAGACCCCTACTCTTAAAAAAAAAAAAAAAAAAATATATATATATATATATATATATATATATTTTTTTTTTTTTTTTTTTTTTTTTTTGAGACAGGGGCCTCACTCTTGCCCACGCTGGAGTACAGTGGTACAGTTGTGGTTCACTGCAGTCTTGACCTTCTGGGCTCACGCAATTCTCCCACCTTAGCTTCCTGAGTAGCTGGGACTACTATAGGCGTGTGCCACCACCACCATGCCTGGCTAGTTTTTTTTGTTTGTTTTCAGTAGAGATATGGGGGGGTCTCCTTATGTTGCCCAGGCTGGTCTCAAACTCTTGGGCTCAAGTGATCCTCCTACCTCAGCCTCGCAAAATGCTAGGAGTACAGGTGTAAGCCACTGCACCCAGCCCCTTCAATTTTTTTTTTTTTTTTTTTTTTAATTAGCCAGGAATGGTGGCACGTGCCTGTAGTCCCAGCTACTTGGGAGGCTGAGGCAGAAGGATCCTTTGAGCCCAGGAGGTCAAGGCTGCAGTGAGCCATGATCTTGCCACTGCACTCCAGCCTGGGTGAAAGAACAAGACTCTGCCTCTAAAAAAATAAAATAAAATAAAATCCACCTTGTTAAAACAATTGCCCATTATACATTGCGGCATTGCAGCTGGTATAGCCTCTGGGATTCCCGAGGGCTCTTTTAGCTCCAAAACTGTGTGGTCTCCAAAGCTCCAGGAGAAACTGATTTCTATGTCTGAAACCAATCTTAGAGTAAAATTCCAAATAAATGCTTTTCTCCAAAATTACACTAACCAGGCTGGGTCTCTATCATACATCTTCAATACCCTCAAACCTAGATTGTAAAGTGAAAAAAGTGTATTAGCAGCTTCCATTTGTTCATCTGTCACTCACATTCTTAGGGCATTTTAAGGATGAGCAACCTTTGTTTCAGAAAGGGTAAGTAATTTGCCCCTGGAGGTTACATAGTTATAATTTAGTCTTCAGAATCAGTTCGAAGGGGGCAGTACTATTTTTAAGATAATTAGAACCCACCTTGTAGCAATAAAAGTTTTCTTGTCTTTGCCAAAAAAGAAAAAGTAGAGCATTCAGTTATTTTTTCAGACAATTGTGTTGCTTTTTGGAATGATAATATATTTCAAATTTCATATATTCTCTCCTGGCAACAAATAGGTTGGTTGGTTGTGGCTCAAAATGCCTTTTTCAATAGAAAAATTAAGCACTGCCATCAAAGGACCAGGCTCCTAGTCCACCTCACACAACTCCTAACTAAGAATGTTGCAGACCTGGAGTGCTGGAGAAGAACTAGCTCAGAAAAGATTTCTGGCTGGAGAGGATGTATCTTCTTTTTTTATATTTATTTTTGAGACAATATCTGGCTGTGTCACCCAGAGTAGAATGCAGTGTCATGATCTCGGCTCACTTGCAACCTCCGCCTCCTGGGCTCAAGCGATCCTCTCACCTCAGCCTCCCAAGTAGCTGGGACTGCAGGCACACTCCACCATGCCTGGCTAATTTATGTATTTTTTTTTTTTTTTGTAGAGGCGGGGTTTTACCATGTTGCCCAGGCTGGTCTCAAACTCCTCCCACCTCAGCCTCCCAAAGGGCTGGGATTACAGGTGTGAGCCACCGTGCCCAGGCAAAGCCCTAGTTCAACGTTAGGAACGCATCCACTCTGAAACTGGCATCAGGAGCAAGCTGAGCCTTCTCTGGACTTTCAGCACCTGCTGCTGAAGGTTCCCCGGGGCTGGTCAGAGACGAGGATCTCATGGGGCTGTCCCTTGGCTGGAGGGCCTCCACCCCGGCACCACTCTCAACACAGGTCTTACCTCCTGAGAGCCACACCTGCCACAGCCCAAACCTTCCTGCAGCCAGAAGGGACCAGGGGGTGTTTGGAAGAAAACTTGTGTTGCTTCCTCCTTTCCTTGTCTAAGTGACGATTTTGTGTGTCACCTTTTGTGTCTAGCTATGATCCTGGCAGGAAAAGCCTACTACGATGGAGTGGCCAAGATCGGTGAGATTGCCACTGGGTCCCCCGTGTCAACTGAACTGGGTGAGCGATCTGTCCCTTTATACATAAACCCCACTTGTCATCCTGTGAACCCCAAGAGAAACGCGTGGGATGGCCCAGTCCAGAACAGAGGAGAGATCTGGGCCAGCATGCTGTGGTTCTACTTCACCGCGGTCTGTGGAAATTGATGCTTAGTCGTAGGGTGGGCTGGGACTGGTGCCGGAGGGCGAGTGGAGGCCTTGTTTTCTGGCCAGCCTCCCTGTTCTCCTAGGAACTTGAGCTTTTGCCCTGGGTGCCTGGGCTCTCACCCTTCCCGCTGGGAGTTTGACCTACATTCCTGATGGGCGAGCCGGGCCTCCTGGGGCCTCGGGCTGTGGCCAGAGTGTTTCCTGTGACTCACCTAGTAGAAAATCCGACTCCTTTACATTGCTCTCTTGGCCCTTGCCTCTTCCCTGGTTGCTTTCAGCTGTGATTTTTCCGGTTCTGCTGGTATGAATCGCTCTCCTGTGCAGGCAGAGAGGGCGGTTACACCCTGGGCAGTGCCCGCTGCCGAGGGGATCTGGGCTTCTGTTTATAGAACACTTCACTGTCGGGGGTTAGGGAAAGGTGGGCTTTTAAAACGGCCCCACACAGCACTCTCATTTAAAAAACTTGTTGAATATGTTTTATTGTACAAAGGGTAAAATTTCTGGCTTAACCGGAGGAAAATCATGGTAAAGTGTGTGCGTATTTAAAGAAAAGTGCATCCATGTCCAGTTAAGAAGTAGGAAGGGGAAGCAGAGGAGTGGGGGCATCACCAAGGGAAGGTGCGGGCAAGTCACATGGTTTCTCGATGGGGTTGGCCTGAGGGTTTTTAGGATTGTTTGGGAAGCTCTTAACTGACCCATAAAAGACAGGGACAAATGAGAGGCCTGACAGTGGAGTTGAGGAGCTGGGCTGTTGGGTGCAGAGGCGATCTGGGTCCTCACAGTCTCCGTATAAAGCCATAGGCACACGGTAGACCATATGCTGGAAGTGATGCCTTGTTAGTGAATAAGTCAGTACTGCGAGAAAGCGATCTATGTATTTTTTAATTTTTTATTTTATTTTATTTTATTTTATTTTATTTTATTTTATTTTATTGAGACAGAGTCTTGCTCTGTCACCCAGGCTGGAGTGCAGTGGCACGATCTCGGCTCACTGCAACCTCTGCTGCCCAGGTTCAAGCAATTCTCCTGCCTCAGCCTCCTAAGTAGCTGAGACTACAGATGCCCGCCACCACGCCTGGCTAATTTTTTTGTATTTTTAGTAGAGACGGGGTTTCGCCATGTTGGCCAGGCTGATCTCGAACTCCTGACCTCAGGTGATCCTCCTGCCTCAGCCTACCAAAGTACTGAGATTACAGGTGTGAGCCACCGCGCCCAGCCATAATATTATTTATATATATAAAAATATATATAATATACATATATAAATATATGTATATTATAAATATACATATAATATACATATATAAATATATATGTATTTATAATATTAATATACATATATTTATAATATAAATATATGTATATTTATAAATATATGTGTATTTATAATATAAATATATGTGTATTTATAATGTAAATATGTATATTTATAATATAAATATGTATGTATATATATTTATATATAATATAAATATATTTATAATATATATATTATGTATATTTATAATATACATAATATAAATATATGTGTATATATATAAATATATAAATATATTTATATATTTATATATATTTTAGGGGGTCTCTCTGTGTTGGCCAGGTTGGTCTTGAACTCTTGGCCTCTAGGATTCCCCCTGCCTTGGCCTCTCAAAGTGCTAGGATGACTGGCCTCACCCAGCCCAGTACTGCTATATTTAATAGACTCAGTTACATGCAGAAGTTTTCCAAAATCCTGCTTGTGCCCTGGTTGGTGCCATAATCCTGCATGTGCCAGCGAGGACTGAACTGTAGTAACTCTGTTCTAAGCACAATGAATTTAATAAAATACGGAGGCTGCCGGATGTAGACAGAAGCAGACAGCAAAACCTAGGATATTTGGGGGAGTCGTTGAGATGATTATAGGGTTCCAAAAATAGCATGAATAAAAAGAAACATCCTATTGGTGTCATGCATCAGAAAGAAAACATGTGTGACCCTTACATTAAAACATATGGTGCTCTGACTCACCACACCCAGTTTGCCTTTTTAATGTTTTATGGGTCCTGCCACTGTTTAAATAAGACTTCTGCTCCACACCTTACTTGAGTCAGTCGTGAGTTCCTAATGTTGAAACAGCTATTTCCACAGCAACGATGTTGGTATAAACAACACAGGCTTAGAACTTTCATTTCAGTGAGGAAAGTATTTTGTGATGGTGAAATTTCTTTCATGTGCATGTATATATCTATGGGGTATTTTTTGTTTTTGTTTTTTTGAGACGGAACCTCACTCCATCACCTAGGCTGGAGTGCAGTGGCGTGATCTTGGCTCCCTGCAGCCTCTGCCTCCAGGGTTCAAGCAATTCTCATGCCTCAGCCTTCTGAGCAACTGGGATTACAGGTGCCCACCACCATACCCGGCTAATTTTCATATTTTTAGTAGACACATGGTTTCACCATCTTGGCCAGGCTGGTCTCAAACTCCTGACCTCGGGTGACCCACCCGCCTACGCCTCTCAAAATGCTAGGATTACAGGTGTGTGCCACCGTGCCCAGCCACTTGTGCGTATGTATTTTATTCAGAGGGAACAGAAATAACTTTCTGTTTTATTTAGTTTCAAGCTGTCCTTTTGCTTAATACTTGCTATCTCATGTAGTTACTGGTTTTTCTTCTCGTTTCGAACAATTCCATGGTACAATGCTATCTCAGGAGGAGTTACTTCCTTGACTGGCTCCATTTTTCTTTTATTGATACAGTTCAGACTAAAAAGGCACCCCGTATCTGTTTAAATTCCCTGTATGGAAGAGTCATGGACAATTCATAGAAAAAAAAAAAGACCAAAGATAGATTGTATTTTTCTCATCTTCCAAGAAGATTTTATTGTCTAGTTACTCCGTTTTGGTATTTGGTATTCACAACTTCATCATGAAACTTTATAACTCTCATATGAGAAAACTCGAAGGGGTGTTATCACATACATGAAAATCATGAATCATTTCAAAACGTTCATTCTGTGCGCCTCGAGGGTCGGCCTCTGTGACAGCGGTGCCATTTCTGATGTCTAGCAGTGGATACTTACACTTAGCTCTCTCCTGGCATCGGCTCACTCACTGCTGTGTGAATAATGTAGGATGCTTTTGCCTAAAAGTAAAAAATAAAATACCCAATGAACAGTGAGTTAAGCAATCAGCATCTTTATTATTCCACATGAGGAGCAGCAGGTTGTCAGTTTATCATCACTAGGGACCCAGGTTCCTTCTCTCTGTCTTCTCATCCTCATACTCATTTCCTCATGGTGCCAGGATGGCTGCCACTGCCTCTCCAACCATCACATCCTCTCTCTCCCCATTGTCTCCAAAGGCAGGAAGGGGAATTTCTTCTCAGGTGTGCTGACAACCTTTGCCCCAAAGCTCCAGCACACAGCCCCTTATACCCCACGGCCCAATTTAGATCACACTCCCAGGACCCAGCTGCTAGCAAAGCTCCCCAGGCATGAGCCAAGGAACACCAGGTCAGAGAGGATGTGGCTGTTAGGAGATGGCCTGGTGACAGCCCCCACGTCGGCATCTCTGGTATTAAAGGTCTGTTTTCAACAACTTTCAGTGAAAGGGCAGGACTGATAGAAATGTTAGCGGTGCTCTGGGTGTACATGGTGCTTCCGCGTTTTTTGTGTGTCTGAGTGGAGTGATGTTTTTCTCCCTCGTGGGCTGGTGTGTGGTTTTACCAGCATGCATATACTTCAGACTTCATAATTGTGGCCGGGTACAGTGGCTCAGGCCTGTAATCCCAGCACTTTGGAAGGCCAAGGCGGGCGGATCACCCGAGGTCAGGAGTTCGAGCCTAGCCTGGCCAACATGGTGAAACCTGTCTGTACTAAAAAAAATACCAAAAAATTAGCCAGGCATGGTGGCGCATGCCTGTAATTCCAGCTACTTGAGAGGCTGATACAGGAGAATCACTTGAACCCGGGAGGCAGAGTTTGCAGTGAGCCAAGATCGCTCCACTACAGTCCAGCCTGGGCAACAGAGTGAGACTCCATCTCAAAAAAAAACAAACAAAAACTTCATAATTGCTGTTTTTCCAGGGCCCTCCCACTTTTTTCCCCCAGAAGACCACAGCCATCCTTTCCAGTCTGTTTCTATTTGGGAAGGGGAGATCTAAGCACAGAGGAAGAAATAGGGGCTGTGGGGTAGGGGGCCTTAGGGTAGCTGTAGGTTTTTTCTGCTGGTTTTGTTTTTTTATTTTTGTTTTTGTTCTTGAGACGAAGTCTCGCTCTGTCGCCCAGGCTGGAGTGCAGTGGCGCGATCTTGACTCACTGCAACCTCTGTGTCCCGGCTTCAAGCAATTCTCCTGCCTCAGCCTCCTGAGTAGCTGCGACTACAGGTGCACACCACCACGCCCAGCTAATTTTTGTATTTTTAGTAGGAGCGGTATTGTTTCACCATGTTTGCCAGGCTGGTCTCAATCTCTTGACCTCGTGATCTGCCCGCCTCAGCCTCCCAAAGTGCTGGGATTACAGGCATGAGCCACTGTGCCCAGCCTTCTGCTGTTTTGTTTTTTTTTTTAAGCCTTTGGATATCTTGTAACCATGGACTCTGGTGCATTTCCCCTGCTCATCTTTCTCGCTGCCAAGGTACCTGAATGGTCTGGTCAGCAGCCACTGACTCGTGGTTGAAAACAGGGGGAATAGAGAAAATTAAAAACCATCACCCGAGATGTGAGCACTCTAAGGCAGACGCTTTATCATCCTTGTCTTTCTTTCTAGCCTTGTTTTCCAGTCAGTATGTTCTTTTTTTTTTTCCCCCCTTTTTGAGGCAGGGTCTTACCTTGAAACCCGGGCTGTGCCATCATGGCTCATTGCAGCCTCGATCTTCTGGGCTCAAGCCATCCTCCTACCTCAGCCTCCCTTGTAGATGGGACATATGCATACACCACCATGCCTGGCGATTCTCCTGCCTTAGTCTCCCGAGTAGCTGGGATTACAGGCATGCGCCACCATGCCTGGCTAATTTTTGTACTTTCAGTAGAGATGGGGTTTCTCCATGTTGGTCAGGCTGGTCTCGAACTCCCAACCTCAGGTGATCCGCCCTGAGGTGAGACTCCATGTCAGAAAACAAACAAACAAACAAAAACTTCCCATCGGCCTCCCAAAGTGCTGGGATTACAGGCGTGAGCCACCATCCCCGGCCGTATTTTTTTTTTTTGTAGTAGAGATGGGGTTTCACCATGCTGGCCAGGCTAGTCTTGAACTCCTGACTTAAGGTAATCCACCTGCCTCGGCCTCCCAAAGTGCTGGGATTACAGGTGTGAACCACTGCACCCAGGCTGACAGGGGACTTTTCAAGAAGGGGATGAGAGGTTATCGTTAGTGTCTGAATGGCTGGCAGGTGTCATGATTAGCGGTCACAGTCCCCTTGGAAATGGTGGTTTCACTGGGGTTCCAACCATAAACGCCAGGAGTTACGGGGTAAGGATAGTGGAAATCACAGAGGCGTAGCGTGGGCGTGGCTCTTCTTAGAAGTATTGCTCCGCTCTTGTGCCGTCTTAGAAGTATTTCCCTGCCCTTGCGCCACGTGCTTCCATACAGAAACACGGGTCTCCGGATGTGTCCACCGCGTGCCGGGCACTTCTGTTGTCTCATTTCATCCTCAGTAGCCTCCTGGGTGACTTCTTCCTCAGGGGTTGCAGAGTGCAGTGTTTTTCCTCAGGGTGGCTGATAGGCCCTAAGGGTAAACGTAGCTGTCACCTTTTTCTACATGGGCCTAAGAGATAACCTCCATGGGCAACCACATTGGGTCACATGTCCCCAGCAAGGGGTTTTGCAGCCAAGCTAGGCAGAGCATGGACTGTGGGGGTGGTTACCCCTCCAGGGATGGTAGGGACATGGGTGCTGCCTGGGTTGCAGAGCTCACCCCGCCCAGGCGAGTCCGGGAAAGATCCTTTGACCCAGGACAGTAAGGCCAGGCCACATCTCACTTTCCCCTGAGACTGCTGGATAGCATGCCACCTGGCACCTAAGAGATGCTCGGGAGTGGTGACGTTGCCACATTCCTGCTGTTAACTTGTGTGACCCCGGGCAACACTTCACCTTCGGCAGTGGGTTATTTACTCACCATGGAGGTGACAGCCACGCCTTCCAGGTCATTAGATGAAATGAGATGATGTGCCTTGTGGCTTCTGTATCAAAGACTAGAAGGATGCCTCTCTCTTTCTACTTCACACATTCGCAAATATTTCAGAATTTAAAAACAGTGACAATTTTCTTCATTGACATTCTTCTCATAAAGTAAGTAATAAAAGAATATATAACATTTTTCTTTTCTTTCTTTCTTTTTTTTTTTTTTTTTGTGGAGGCAGAGTCTCACTCTGTTGCCCAGGCTGAAGTGCAGTGGTGCAATCTCGGCTCACTGCAACCTCTGCTTCCCGGGTTCAAGCGATTCTCGTGATGCATCCTCCTGAGTAGCTGGGGTTATAGGTGCCCACCACCATGCCCGGCTAAGTTTTGTATTTTTAGTAGAGATGGGGTTTTGTCATGTTGCCCAGGCTGGTCTTGAACTCTTGACCTCAAGTGATCAGGCCACCTCAGCCTCCCAAAGTGCTGGGATTACAGATGTGAGCCACTGCGCCTGGCCAGAATATATATTTTTCTTGATTATTCATGAACCAGTTGTTCAAGTCTCTCCATTGTGTCTTTGTTTTCTATTTCATTGGTCTCTCCTTTACTCTCTTTCATGTATCTTTGAAATGACTCTTTTATTCTTTTTCTCATTTCTTTTTTTTATTATACTTTAAGTTCTGGGATACATGTGAAGAACGTGCAGGTTTGTTACATAGATATACACGTGCCTTGGTGGTTTGCTGTACCCATTAACCGGTCATCTACATTAGATATTTCTCCTAATGCTATCCCTTCCCTAGCCTCCCACCCCACAACAGGCCCCGGTGTGTGATGTTCCCCTCCCTATGTCCATGTTCTCATTGTTCAGCTCCTACTTAGGAGTGAGAACATGCGGTGTTTGGTTTTCTGTTCTGTGTTAGTTTCCTGAGAATGATGGTTTCCAGCTTCATCCATGTCCCTGCAAAGGACATGAACTCATCCTTTCTTATGGCTGCTCTTTTTCTAATTTCTTTTTTTTTTTGAGACATTGTTTCGCTCTGTCGCCCGGGCAGACAGAGTGCAGTGGCGCGATCTTGGCTCACTGCACGCTCCGCTTCCCGGGTTCACACCATTCTCCTGCCTCAGCCTCCCGAGTAGCTGGGACTACAGGCGCCTGCCACGGCGCCCGGCTAATTTTTTGTATTTTTAGTAGAGGCGGGTTTTCACCATGTTAGCCAGGATGGTCTCGATCTCCTGACCTCTTGATCCACCCACCTCGGCCTCCCAAAGTGCTGGGATTACAGGCGTGAGCCACTGCGCCTGGCCTTTCTAATTTCTTAAGTGGTACATTTAACTCACTAATTTTAAAAACAGGCAGCCCTGTTTTGCATGGTAATGGCATCATAAAAATGTGCAAGCTGAAACCACACAAAGTCATTTTGATACTGCAAAATTACGTTGTTCTATGACCTTTAAAAATGTTTGTTAAAAACGCACTCACTGTCAGTTATAAATGTATAGGGAAATTAAAAAATAGTAAAACTAATATTTGTACACTTTAAAGCATTAGAAACATTGGGAATTAGAGTTTTTATTTGTAAAAATCCTACCAGGAGTGGTGTAAATAGGGCTTACCACCTTCTCATGGCTTAGGATAGGGCGAGCATCTTTTCTATGCTTTAGCAAATTGCCATACTCCTTGCCAAATTTGGATCAGCTTCCAACATTTCATCCTTGCAATTACAATGTTGTGAAGTATCTTCAAGAGTTCCTTTAAGGTGAAGTTTTGTTTTGTTTTGTTGTTGTTGTTGTTGTTGTTGTTGTTTTGCTGGCATCGCTTTCCCTGAAACATCTTCATCCTTTTCATCACAGCCACTTGGCTCAATTATGTTGGTAAGTTTTGGCCTCACTCAGTTCCTGTGGCCGTTCATCCAGTGCCACAAAGGCCAACAGTGTCAGCATTTCCAGTCAGCTGTTTCTTCTCTAATTCCATCTACGTTTGACTCAGTGTTGCTACTTTTCCCATTTCATTTCTGTGTCTTCAGTTTTGTTAGCAGTTTCTCTTGTAGTTACTCATTTTTGTAACATCGCCTGGGTTATCACTGGGAGACAAGGAGGCAACGCAGCTACACACTCGGCTGTCTGTGGGGATGCTCTGCTGTCCTTGCACCAATAGCAGACTGTCTTAATTACTGCAACTGTCTAATCTTGGTATCTAGTCGCATAAGTCCTCTAGCTTTGTGTTTATTTGAGAGTACCTTGGATATTCTAGGACCTCTGCATTTGTTTATATCTTAGAATCAGCTTGTCAATTTCCACTTTAAAAAATTCACTTGGAATTTTGATTGGAATACATTGAATTTACGGGTGGATTTAGGTGGAGTTGACATCTTAGCAATATTGGATTTTCTAATCCATGAAAATGGTAGATGCTTTCATTTATTTGAGATTTCTTTCGTTTCTGTAGCACTACTTTGTATTTTTTATTGTGGAAGTCTCCTCCTTTTTTATAGACTCATTCTTTATGTGTTTTGTCCTATTGTAAATGGTATTTTTAAATTTTTATTTCCTAACTGCTGGTTCCATTGAATTGTTTAGTGCCTGTCTTTCGTTACTGGAAGTCCTATTTAGTTCTTTTCTGAAATCTGCAAATTAATTTTTTGTTGTATTTATTTTTATAGCAGCTTGAGATACAGTTTACCCATTTAAAGTATACAGTTCACTGGTTTTTAGTATATTCACAAAGTTGTGTGATTATCACCACAATTAACTTTAGGATATTTTCATCACCGCAAAAAGAAACCCTCACCCATTAGCAGTTGCTTCCCATTTAACTCCAACCGTATCCAACCATTCATTTGCTGTACATCTTTAACACTTGTTATTGTCTCTTTTTTTTTTTTAGTATAGCCATCCTATAAATGATTTTACACATCCTGTAGTGTGAAGTGGGCTCTCATTTTGGCTTTCGTTCACATCTCCCTAGTGACTAACGACATTGAGCATCTTTTCATGTTCTTACTAGCCATTTGCATATCTTCTTTGGAGAAATGTATATTCAGATCCTTTGACCATTTTAAATTAATTTTTTTTAATTATTGAGTTTGCAAATTGACTTTTAGGCTGGAGTGCAGTGGTGCGATCTCGGCTCACTGCAATCTCTGCCTCCCAGGTTGAAGCGATTCTCGTCCCTCAGCCTCCCGAGTAGCTGGGACTACAGTACCCCCCCACCACACCCAGCTAATTTTTGTATTTTTAGTAAAGATGGGGTTTCACGATACTGGTCAGGCTCGTCTCAAACTCCTTACCTCAGGTGATCCACCCGCCTCGGCCTCCCAGAGTGCTGGGATTACAGGCGTGAGCCACCGTGCCCAGCCATCTTTTCATGTTCTTACTGACCATTTGCATATCTTCTTTGGAGAAATGTCTGTTCAGATCCTTTGCCCATTTTAAATTATGTTTTTTTTTATTATTGAGTTTGCAAATTGACTTTTGTCATTTATAAAGCAGTTCCGTTGCTTGAAGTTCTTGAGAGTCAAATTCTGCTAGGTGTTTTTATTGTATCTCTTGATGGCCGTTCATGAAGGATTCTTTCTGTAAGGGTTTTGTCAAGTCCTCTTATTGTTCTCTTCCATGTTAGGCTGGTTGTCCTCTTTATTGCGGATGTAAATTTTTTTGTGTCTTTAAAGACAGGGTCTCGCTATGTTGCCTAGGCTGGTCTTGAACTCCTGGGCTCAAGCAGCCCTCCTGCCTCAGCCTCATGGAAGATGTAAAAGTTTTGCCATTGGAAATCACCAGGAAATGAAAAGTAGAAATGCCAAGCAATGGGAGAGCCTCTCTGAGTCTCTGAAAAATAATATAGTTCACTTGTTTTTCTTTTTTTGAGACAGAGTTTCGCTCTTGTTGCCTAGGCTGGAGTACAATGGCGCGATCTCAGCTCACTGCAACCTCCGCCTCCCGAGTTCAAGTGATTCTCCTGCCTCAGCCTCCCAAGTAGCTGGGATTACAGGCATGTGCCACCACGCCTGGCTAATTTTTTGCATTTTTAGTAGAGACGGGGTTTCACCATGTTGGTCAGGCTGGTCTCAAACTCCTGACCTCAGGTGATCCGCCCACCTCGGCCTCCCAAAGTGCTGGATTACAGGCGTGAGCCACAACGCCCAGCCTACTTCTTAGGAAGAAGATACACTTTAATATACATATGCAAAATTTGCAAGTTAGTATCTAAAATTTAGGAAATAATGATGGATTTAAATGATCGGCAAATCTGTCAGACCTACATTTTACCCCCACCAGAGAACTCATTTCTTGATTTTCCTCCTTAAAATAAAAGGTCCTTTATGAATAGAATCTATTCTATTAGATAGATGATTCAGAAAATGTGTCCTTGCTCTTTCTTCAAGTATATTTGAAAGTGATAGAAAAATATTGATGATTTAAAGAGAAATACCAAATTCTAGTTGTTTTCATGCTGAATGTTCTCAATGACTTGAAGATAAGAGTTAACATATAATTTGAAACCTTTCAATTTCATTTTGCTAAAATATCACCTTTACCAGATGTACCTTAACTGCAGGGGTGAGCAAACTACAGCCAGGGATGACCAGGGCCTGCTTGTAAAGAAAGTTGTTTGTTTGTTTTTTGGAACGGAGTCTTGCTCTGTCGTCAGGCTGGAGTGCCAGTGGCGCGATCTCAGCTCACTGCAACCTCCACCTACCGGGTTCAAGTGATTCTCTTGCCTCAGCCTCCCTATAGCTGGGACTACAGGTACCCACCACACCCAGCTGATTTTTTTGTATTTTTAGTAGAGATGGGGTTTCACCATATTGGCCAGGATGGTCTCGATCTCTTGACCTCATGATCCGTCCGCCTCGGCCTCCCAAAGTGCTGGGATTACAGGCGTGAGCCTTTGTGCCGGCCAGGAAAGTTTTATTGGAACACAGCTGTGCCCATTTGTTCCTGTCTGGGGTTACATTCAGGATACAGTAGCAGGGCTGAGTGGCTGCAGCAGAGACGTTTGGCCCACAAGGCCTAAAGTTTTTGCAATTTGGCCCTTACCCAGACAGTAGAAGATCTCTTGTGTCATACAGTTGCTTGCTTCAATTGGGATAATCTTGTGAGGGATTTGGTATCCTTTTCTCCAAAGAAAAAGCACTTCTTTACTACCAGCTAGCTAAGTGTCTGGATTTAAGGTGCATTAACGACATAATCCTAACAACCACAGTAGCATGGGATACTCAAGTCCTAACCTCTTCGTCTTGTTGGGCAGAGCAAACAAACCGTCAACCCAAATCCAGAGATCAGTAGTCAGGGTTTGGCCAGTAACATATTTTAATCCAACTGTTTATTTTTATTTATTTATTTATTTTGAGACAGAGTCTGGCTCTGTTGCCCAGGCTGGAGTGCAGTGGCGTGATCTTGGCTCACTGCAAGCTCCACCTCCTGGGCTCAAGCAATTCTCCCACGTCAGCCTCCCAAGTAGCTGGGACTACTGGCGCCTGCCACCACACCCAGCTAGTGTGTGTGTGTGTCTGTGTGTGTGTGTGTGTGTGTGTGTGTGTGTGTGTGTGTATTTTTTTTTTCCAGTAGAGACAGGGTTTCACCATGTTGGCCAGGCTGGTCTCGAACTCCTGACCTCAAGTGTTCCACCCACCTCAGCCTCCCAAAGTGCTAGGATTACAGGCGTGAGCTACTGCGCCTGGCCGCTCCCACTGTTTAATTGTTAAATAATAGGTCATGGGGTCAAATTCATGCCACTCAACAGATTGTCAGTGGGTGTACCTAAAGTCACTCATGTGACTTTATCACGTGTGATAAAGTTAAATCCTTTATCACACGTGATAAAGGTTAATCCTTCATTACCTGTACACAGTTCAGTTCAAGGCAGCACAGCTACCCAGCAGTGCCCATTTAAAAAAGGAATCTGACATTTTCATAAACTTCCAGTTTTGTTCCTAAATCAAGCAAGGTTTATTTTTATAACTCAGAAAATATTGAAAAGGTGAAAGGGAAAACAGAAATGGTAAGGGGAAAATGTTTTGCCAAAATCTTTAGAAGAACCTTTGAGTCAGTTTTTTCATCCTTAAAGCAGAGAAAAATAAAGGATGTTCTCATTGACTTCTCAGGAAATAAGACTTTCTTTGGGGAGTTTATAAATTTGCTTTGAGCTTTTTAGAGCTCACCATTATGTAAATTTAGGCTATGTTATTTTGTTGTAGTTTAGTCAGCCATTGCATTTTGAATCATTTATTGTTTGGGCCAGTTTCTGAAATTGGGCACAAAACAGAATATTTTATCTCCTCACTATCAGGGAACCTAGAAAATCATAGATTTCCTTTAATCATTGATAGAATGCTTATGGATCATGCAATTTTTAAAAACTACATTATAGATTTGTCTTGCTGATACTCAGAATCCAATCTGACAGTCTTTGGTCTAAAAATTAGAGCAGAAGCCAGGAACGGTGGCTCAGCCTGGGTGCAGTGGCTCACACCTGTAATCCTAGCACTTTGGGAGGCCGAGGTGGGTGGACCTGAGGCCAGGAGTTTGAGACCAGCTAGGCCAACATGGCAAAACCCCATCTCTACTAAAAATACAAAAGTTAGCTGGGCATGGTGGCGTACACCTGTAATCCCAGCTACTTGGGAGGCTGAGGCATGAGAATCATTTGAACCTGGGAGGCGGAGGTTGCAGTGAGCCATGATTACACCACTGCACTCCAGCCTGGATGACAGAGCAAGACTCTGTCTTTATAAAAAAAAAAAAAAAAAAAAAAAAATCAGAAAAAAATTTCTGAAACATTTTTGAAATGTTACTAATTCACAACAATATTACAAATATATTCCTAAGATCTGGATAAAAGAATTCATACCACAGTAGGGAAAGAGCTGAGCTGAGCCACAGCAGTTATAATTGACCAAAATCACTTATCTTTTAGTTACAGGTTAGACTCACTTTAAAGAGATTAAAATTCTTCCACAAAAATAGCAAAGAAACAAGAGGAGATTTTATTTACTGAACACTGTACCTGCTATATGCCAGGCACAGTTCTAAGCACATTATAAATGTAATATTAACTCCTATAATCATCATGACAGCACTGTGAGGCCCATGCTTGTTATTTCCGTTTTATAGATGAGGAGACTGAGGTACAAAGGCAGTAACTTGCTGAGGTCGCGTATCTGGTCAGTGGCTGGTTCATTGGACCCCAGGCTACCTACCAGGTATATGACCTAGTCTGCCAACTTAATTTTCTATATGTCCAAAAGATGTGCTTTTTTAAAAAATAAAAAATTTTTTTTAGAGATGGGGGTCTTTCTGTGTTGCCCAGGCTGGTCTCGAACTCCTGGGCTGAAGCAGTCCTCCCACCTCAGCCTCCCAGAGTGCTAAGATTACAGACATGAGCCACTGCACCTGGACTGTGCTTTTCTAACGGCTTTACTTTATGGCTGTCAGATTTTCCTGCCAATTAGAGTTCAGCAAAATAAAGGATTGTGTTAAATTGCAAACCATCATATGGTCCATGCTGACTAACCATGTGAGTATGAGTCTGTATTTTGTTGGATTTTTCTCAGCTGTAATCACAATTTTGCTGGTTTTACTTAGAAGCATTTATAATGCGATCATTATTCCAGCTTTTTTTCTTGAGTATTTTCAGTTTGGGGTTTGGAAAATAATTTTTTTCCTGGAAGCAAGCACATGATAAATGCCTTTAGACCTTGAAGGTGGCTTTTCTCATCTCAATTTTTGGGTGGATGTTCTTTCTTCTCCCTTTTGGAACAGGAAAGGTCTCAGCTAGAATAATTAGAAAGGTAGGGTTATAATTTATAAAACCTGTAAGAGACAAAAAAAAAAAAAAAACCAATTAGCTGGGCCTGGTGGCAGGCACCTGTAATCCCAGCTACTCGGGAGGCTGAGGCAGGAGAATCGCTTGAACCCAGGAGGCGGAGGTGAGCTGAGGTCACACCATTGCTCTCCAGCCTGAGTGACAGAGTGAAACTCTGTCCCCTGCAAAAAAAAAAAAAAACCTGTAAGAGCATGTACTGTGGAAGTCCATGTGTCGTGTAGGCGCATTGGTGTAAGTATGTGTACATTCCTAAAGTTTAGGAAGATGTTCTGTGTTATAAATTGTACTTGTTTACAAAAGTTGTTACAAGAAGAACATTCCTTCTCTCAGCTTTGAAGTGAGTATATATATACTCAATGTACTATAATTAGTAAATATTACTTACATAGCCGGGCGTGGTGGCTCATGCCTGTAATCACAGCACTTTGGGAGGCCGAGGCGGGTGGATCACGAGGCCAGGAGATCGAGACCATCCTGGCTAACACAGTGAAACCCCGTCTCTACTAAATATACAAAAAATTAGCCGGGAGTGGTGGCGGGCGCCTGTAGTCCCAGCTACTCAGGAGGCTGAGGCAAGAGAATGGCGTGAACCCGGGAGGCAGAGCTTGCAGTGAGCCGAGATTGGGCCACTGCATTCCAGCCTGGGCGACAAGGCAAGACTCTGTCTCAAAAAAATAAAGAAATAAATATTACTTATGTAGAAGCTGAATCATTGAATCAGATTAGCCATTTCACACTTCATGCTTCCAGATTGCTCACTGGGCACATCCTAAGTGTCAACCTGAAACGTCATTTCCTGTTTTTCATTGTAACTTTATTATGTTTGCCCGTTCTCTTAAATCTTTGGATTTTTAAGTGTTTGAACAGAAAATTGTTTAAACCCAGTTTTCACAGTTACTCAAATTGGTCTTTTTCTCCTTGAAGTATATTGTGTGTCCTAGTAACTCAAGATGGAGACAGCGTAAGTGTCCCTGTCCTCACGCTGTCAGCCACAGCCAAAGGACCGCTGGCCAAGGAGCTGCAACAACTGGGCCGGATAATTGGCCTGTCATGGCGAGGGGGGGTGGCGCAAAGGACCTGGGGCTGTGCCTCTGCCATCATCACCATCCTTGTTCACAAGCGCTACTTACATCCTCTTACAAATAGGTGTGGATTTCTAACTTTTTCACAGCACCATGCTGGGCCTGCAGTGAAGGGTCAGGAACGAAAACACTAGGTTATGACACCCAAATTGGGGAGTGGGGTTGAGAGCATGCCAAGAAAGAGCTGCTGCGGTCACACGCACAGGTAGCAGCAAAGGGCGTAGCTCCCGTGACAGGCTGAAGAGAGGGATACTCAAAGATGGATGCGGCTAGAATCATGAAGCGAGTGAGGCCTGGCCACGCCAGCCGCATTCCCGGGCACACCATGGTGCCACGGTGGAGGGTAGACAGTTCTGGTGGGGGGTTAGAGTCTTCGTTAGTGCAGGTGGGGTTCTAGAAGTTTTTTGGTCTTTAGCAACTTGGGAGTAAATGCACTTCCCTATGTACTCTTTCCTCTTCCGAGTGACTTAACAAAACTGTTAAAAGTAAGAGTGCCAACAAGCACATGAAAAGATGCGCAACATCATTAGCCATTAGGGAAACACAAATCCAAACCACAAGATAGCTACAGCACACCCAATAGAGTGGCCACAATTAAAAAGTCAGACAATAACAAGTGTTGGCAAAGATGCAGAGAAATTGGAACCCTTGACCATTGCTGGTGGGCATGTAAAATGGAGCAGCCACATTGGAGCTGTCTGCCAGTTCCTTAAAACTCAAGCATAGAATTACCGTATGACCAAGGATTCCATTCTAGACACCAACCCAAGGGAAATGAAACATATGCCCACACAAAGTCTTTTTTTTTTTTTTTTTTTAAAGACAGAGTCTTGCTCTGTTGGCCAGGCTGGAGTGCAATGGTACAGTCTCACCTCACCTCAACCTCTGCCTCCTGGGTTCAAGCGATTCTCCTGCCTCAGCCTCCCAAGTAGCTGGAATTATAGGCATGCGCTACCACACTCAGCTAATTTTGTATTTTTAGTAGAGACGGTGTTTCTCCATGTTGGTCAGGCTGGTCTCACACTCCTGACCTCAGGTGATCCGCCCACCTCAGCCTCCCAAAGTGCTGGGATTAAAGGCATGAGCCACCACACCTGACCCACACATAGTCTTGACCACAAATGTTCAGAGCAGCACAACTCACAATAGCCAAAAGGTGGAGGCAGCCCAGATGTCCACCTGCTGATAAGTGGAAAAACAAAATGGAATATTATTTACCCACGAAAAAGAATGAAGTACCGCTATATGCTGCAATACGGGTGAACCTTGGTTATGTGCCACGTCAAAGAAGCCAGATAAAAAGGCTATTTATTGTATGATTTTGTTTATATGAAATGCCCAGCATCAGCAAATCCACATAGAAAGCAGATTTTGAGGCTTCAAGGGAGAAGGCAGATTTTGAGGCTTCATGCGAGAAAGGGGAATGGGGAATGGCTGCTTAACGGCATGTCTTTTTTTTTTTTTTTTTTTAAGACGGAGTCTTGCTCTGTGGCCCAGGCTGGAGTGCAGTGGCGCAATCTCGGCTCACTGCAAGCTCCGCCTCCCAGGTTCACGCCATTCTCCTGCCTCAGCCTTCTGAGTAGCTGGGACCACAGGCGCCCGCCACCGCGCCCGGCTAATTTTTTTTGTATTTTTAGTAGAGACGGGTTTTCACCGTGGTCTCGATCTCCTGACCTCGTGATCCACCCGCCTCGGCCTCCCAAAGTGCTGGGATTACAAGCGTGAGCCACCATGCCCCGCCTAACGGCATCTCTTAAGGTAACGAAGATGATTGTGAACTGGGTAGTGGTGATGGTTGCACAATATTGTGAATGTACTAATGTTACCCTTGGTAAACTTTTGTATATTATACCACTAAAAAGAGTTAAGTATGCCAATATGGGGTATCCTAATGAATTCATACTAAAATCAGTAAAATAGGCATTGTAATAACTCAAGAGGCTAGCTGTACATATTTGTTTGTTTGTTTGTTTGGAGATGGAGTCTTGCTCTGTCACCCAGGCTGGAGTGCAGTGGCGTGATCTCGGCTCACTGCAACCTCCACCTCCTGGGTTCAAGCAATTCTCCCACCTTAGCCTCCTGAGTAGCTGGGATTACAGGTGCACGTCACCAAGCCCAGCTAATTTTTGTATCTTTTTATTAGAGATGGGGTTTCACCATGTTGGCCAGGCTGGTCTCGAACTCCTGACCTTGTGATCCACCCTTCTCAGCCTCCCAAAGTGCTGGGATTACAGGCGTGAGCCACCGCGCCCGGCCACATACCCAACTATGAAACCTGTAGGAGTAGCAGTTATTTGACCAGTGTTTTCTGGCACTCTGGAATATTCAGGCAGTCTGGCAGCAATGCCATTAACATCTGATTGCTGCCTTATTCTCCTCAACTGTTCACACAAGAAGGTATCTGAGGCCAAGGTGGGTGGATCACTTGAGATCAGGAGTTCAAGACCATTGTGGACAAATGGCAAAGCCCCGTCTCTACTAAAAATACAAAAATTAGCTGAGCGTGATGGCACACGCCTGTAATCTCAGCTACTCGGGAGACTGAGGCAGGAGAATTGCTTGAACCCAGGAGGCGGAGGTTTCAGTGAGCCAAGATTGCACCATTCCACTCCAGCCTGGGCAACAGAGTGAGACTCTTTCAAAAAAAAAAAAAAAATGGTATCTGAAAACCAGAATTGGGTCCTGGTTGGTCAGAGATCTTTCAGACAATGTGCCACACACTTTCCAGCACTTCCCACGTGCGCTGCCTCGTAACCTCGCCGTGACCCCGTGAAGAGTTTTAGTTGGCCCTGACTCAGTGCGCTTTGCACAGTAAATGAATTTTATTAGCATTAATGGAAATACGAAATTCAGGAGTCTCATTTAGTTTTCACAGCAGTCCTCTCAGGTAAGAGAGATTATTCCCATTTTATGGACAAGAAAATGGAAGCTTAGGTTGAGTGACTTGTCTAATTTCATCCAGCTAAGGAGTACACACAACAGGTAAGGAGCAAAGCTGGGGTTTAAATTCAAAGTCCTTGATTCCATGGATAGTGAAATATTCACCACAAAACTCACGGCACTCAACCTTAGGCCTTTCCAGTCTCTCCACCCCTTCTAAAACCTTGTAGGGCACTTCATTTTCAATTTGTAGTTTTGTATTCTCTTTCTTAAGGGCGACCCTTAAATGTTGGATGCCTATGCAGGGAGCAAATCATGAAAGCAGTCTTCAAAAACTGGAAGACTGGGCATGTAAGAGAATGATATATTTATGCATTTATTTTATTTTATTTTTTTGAGACAAAGTCTCGCTGTGTTGCCCAGGCTGGAGTGCAGTGGTGCAATCTCTGCTCACTGCAAGCTCTGCCTTCTGGGTTCAGGCGATTCTCCTGCCTCAGCCTCCCAAGTAGCTGGAACTACAGCCATCCGCCACCACACCCAGCTAATTTTTGTATTTTTAGTAGAGACAGCGTTTTTCACCATGTTGGCCAGGCTGGTCTCGAACTCCTGACCTCAAGTGATTCGCCTGTCTCGGCCTCCCAAAGTGCTGGGATTACAGGCGTGAGTCACCACGCCTGGCCTATTTATGCATTTATTTATTTTACTTTCAACTTATATTTTGACTCGGGGGGTGCATGTGTGGGTTTGTTACCTGGGTATATCATGTGATGCCAAGGTTTGGAGTATGACTGATCCTGTCACCCAGGTGGTGAGCATAGCACACAATAGTTACTTTTTTAACCCTTATTCCCCTCTCTCCCACCCCCCCTCATAGTCCCCAGTGTCTGTTGTTCCCATCTTTATGTCCACGAGTACCCAATGTGGAGGTCCCACTTATAAGTGAGATATGCGGTATTTGGATTTCTGTTCCTGCGTTAATTCACTTAGGATACTGGCCTCCAGCTGCATCCATGCTACTGCAAAGGACATGATTTCCCTTTTTAAGGAGGATTTAGACCCCCTGTCTATCATTCCTTCAGTCTGGTTGAAGGAGGATCCAGGAAGCCAGAATTTGGTTCAGTATAAAAAATGGCCTTGGGACAAGCCCTTCTGTAAAACCTGGACAGGAACTGTGAACGGCTGTGCCGCTGCAGTGTCTCAAGAATGGGACTGAAGCTGAGGGAAGGTGTCCCGGTGGTCCTTCAGGGGCATCTGCCGGAGAGGAGTCCCAGCGGGGGAGCTGGCAGCAGTTACCACCCCTGTGCCACTGCTGCCTGCCTCAGTTATAAATTTCTGGTGAGGCAAGGATGTGAGAATCGGATATAGTTAAGGATGAGCTTAGAAATGTTTGTTGATTGACTGAATGAGTGTATCAGATAAGAGTATTGGGCTCTAATCCAATGAATCAGATTTATCTGGGCTTTCTTGAAATCAAGGTCCTTATTTACAGCATTAATAAGACTTGGTCCCCACCTTCAAGATACCTGCAACGCAGTAAAGGAGATGATGAAATATATACACACACACGTGTGCATTTATACTCATAGTTTTAATACAGGATGGAATGCTAGAGTAAAATGGTACAAAGCCTATAGGATTTCATAGGAAGAGATGATCCCACCTATGTGGGGGTGGAGGGAAACTGAGTGTCAGGGTATGATATGTAATATCCCCATGGTCAGCGTTGGAAGTGGAAAGGGTGATCTTTTCTGGAGAAGGGAACAGAGAGAAGGGATGGGATATTTCCATTGACCTGGGATTTAGGGCTCATGGAGAGGATCATGGGAGATAAATTTTTTTTTTTTTTTTTTTTTTTTTTTGAGATGGAGTCTTGCTCTGTCACCCAGGCTGGAGTGCAGTGGCGTCATCTCGGCTCACTGCCAGCTCCGCCTCCCGGGTTCACACCATTCTCCTGCCTCAGACTTCTGAGTGGCTGAGACTACAGGCACCCGCCACCACGCCCGGCTACTTTTTTGTATTTTTAGTAGAGAAACACGGGATTTCACCATGTTAGCCAGGATGGTCTCGATCTCCTGATCTCGTGATCCACCTGCCTCGGCCTCCCAAAGTGCTGGGATTACAGGCGTGAGCCACCACGCCCAGCCAGGGATAAATTTTTAAAAACTTGGCCAGGCAAGGTGGCTCACGCCTGTAATCCCAGCACTTTGGGAGGCCGAGGCGGGCGGATCACCTGAGGTCAGGAGTTCGAGACCAGCCTGACCAATATGGTGAAACCACATCTCTACTAAAAATACAAAAAGTAGCTGGGCGTGGTGGGGGGCACCTATAGTCAGTCCCAGCTACTCGGAAGGCTGAGACAGAATTGCTCGAACCTAGGAGGCAGAGGTTGCAGTGAGCCGAGGTCGTGCCACTGCACTCCAGCCTGGGTGACGGAGCAAGACTCTGTCTCAAAAAAACAAAAACCCCTTAATGAGCCTCGTTATTTTGTGTGCCAGGCTGCAGATTCTGGGTTTGTATGTTCTTGTTTCAAATTGAAATAAGAATTGGTATTATTAGGACTAAAAGGTTTTGAGTTATTAAAAAAAAACTGACTAATATTTTAGAAGTATGAGTTCAAAGGTAAAATAAAAATTACTAGGTGACTGAAGAGGCATATTAAATGGTGAGCTCTTTACAATGAAGCTGGACTTTTAGACTCCAGAGTAAGCCTGTTCCTATAACTCTTGGGTGCACTGATGCTGATCTGTGTGACTCAGGCATTTAAACTCGAAGGCAGGGCTGTTAGTAGCTTCCATTTTTATAACTATAGAAATTTGTTACCTACTAAGATCTCTCTTTTTCTTCTTATTTGATTAAACATTTTAATCTTAGGCCATGTTTATTCTTCTGCCTAATTTCTCATTTCATATTAACATTTTAAAATAGCTTATGAGTCCCCCGGGAAGTTTAGAAATGTACTTTCATTTTAAAATGGGAATTAAAATATACTTTATGTGTTTTTTAAATGTATACCTTTACTGAGAAATGAACCTAATAAACATCAAACTCAATTTCTAACTTTATTATTTTTAAATGCCTCTTTTTACATAATTAAACCCTGTGCCTATAGACTTTGTGCACCGCTTTTTAAAATGTAACATTCCACACATGAGCCTTGGCACCATCGTGGAGCCGTGAGCCAGGGAGGAAGATGAAGACTGGAGTACTGGGATTGGGTACAGGGTTTGTTTCTTCTTGGTTCGTGGGGAAAATTGTCCCTTAGTTTGGGGAGGGTGGGCGGGGTAGTTATCCCTTGGTATTCTGAAAATGACATAAAACCAAATGTCTAATAATCAAGAAATTGCAGTAGTTTTTCTTTGATATTTAAATACCAGTGTGCTCATTTATTTTATATTTATTTATTTATTTATTTTGAGACAGAGTCTTCCTCTGTTGCCCAGGCTGGAGTGCAGTGCCATGACCTCAGCTCACTGTAACCTCCACCTCCCAGGTTGAAGTGATTCTCCTGCCTCGACATCCTGAGTAACTGGGATTACAGGCGCCCACCACCACGCCCAGCTAATTTTTTGTATTTTTAGTAGAGGTGAGGTTTCACCAAGTTGGCCAGGCTGGTCTTGAACTCCTGACCTCAGGTGATCCGCCTGCCTCGGCCTCCCAAAGTGCTGGGATTATAGGTGTGAGCCACCGCACCTGGCCCAGTGTGCTCATTTAAATGAACATCTCCTGTCTCGTAGGCATTGTTCTAGTTGCTGGGGATAAATCAATGAAACAGAAGTCCCTGCCATCAGGGAACTAACATTCTAGTGGGGTGGACAGATAAACAAGTCTAATATCCAGGTAGTAATAAGGCAAGGGGCCACTGAGTGATAGAAGGGGTGGGATGCAGCTGTTTTAGGTAGGGTGGTCAGGGACGTGCACTGCGGGGAACTCATCAGGCAGGTGTCTGGGGAGAACATTCTAGTGGGAGCTGGCAAGTGCAAAGGCCCTGAGGCTTTAGTGGGCTTGGGTCACACATGTAAGCCAGTGTGGCTGAGGGGCAGGCGAGGATGAGGTCTGCAGACAGAAGGCATGAGGCTGGGTCGCGTAGGGCTTTGAGAGTCCTGGCAAGGGCTCTACCTCTTAACCCCGGGTGCAGATGGGGCTTCTGGAGGTTGTCAACTGAGGAGAGATGCCAGCTAACTTTTTTTTTTTTTTTTTTTTTTGGGGACGAAGTCTCATTCTGTAACCCAGGCTGGAGTGCAGCGGCGTGATCTCGGCTCACTGCAACCTCTGCCTCCCAGGTTCAAGTGATTCTCTTGCCTTAGCCTCCTGAGTAGCTAGGATTACAGGTGCCCACCACTAGGCCCAGCTAATTTTTTGTATTTTTAGTAGGGATGGGGTTTCACCTTGTTGGCCAGCCTGGTCTCGAACTCCTGACGTTGTGATTCGCCTGCCTTGGCCTCCCAAAGTGCTAGGATTACTGGTGTGAGCCACTGCGCCAGGCCTGTATACTTTGTTATACTTTTTAGAGGAGACATCTTTACTAAGTACTACCTTAGGTATTGGAAGACTAGATTGTACCTCACTGAAAAGGTGACATTAAATATCTAGAATGTTGTCTTTTTTTTTTTTTTTTTTTTTTTTTTTTTTGAGATGGAGTCTTGTTCTGTCACCCAGGCTGGAGTGCAGTGGAGCGATCTCGGGTCACTGCAACCTCTGCCTCCTGAATTCAAGCAATTCTCCTGCCTCAGCCTCCCGAGTAGCTGGGATTACAGGTGTGCGCCACCACACCCGGCTAATTTTTATATTTTTGGTAGAGACAGAGTTCCACCATGTTGGCCAGGCTGGTCTCTAACTCCTGGCCTCAAGTGATCCACCCGCCTCAGCCTCCCAAAAGTGCTGGAATTACAGGTGTGAGCCACTGCGCCCAGCCCTGTTCCTTTCTTTATGTAGATCCAAAGTTCCGACCTATGTGATTTTTGTCTCTGAAGAACTTCTTTTAACATCTTTTCCCAAGTCAGACCTACTGGTAACCAATCCCCTCAGTTTTTGTTTGTCTGAGAATGTCTTTATCTCTTCTTCACTTTTGAAGGATGATTTTACTGAAGAATTCTATGTTGGTGAATTTTTTCTTCCAACACTTAAGTATTTTACTCCACTCTCTTCTTGCTTGCATGGTTTGTAAATAGAAGTCTGATGTCATTCTTATCATTGTTCCTCTAGAAGCAAGGTGTTCTTTTCCTCTGGCTTTTAAGATTTTTCTTGGCTAGGCATGGTGACTCACACCTGTAATCCCAGCACTTTGGGAAGCTGAGGCAGGTGGATCACCTGAGGTCAGGATTTCGAAACACAGTCTGGCCAACATGGTGAAACCCCATCTCTACTAAAAATACGAAATTAGCTGGGTGTGGTGGTGCATGCCTGTAATCCCAGCTACTCGGGAGGCTGAGGCAGGAGAATCGCTTGAACTCGGGAGGCGGAGGTCACGGTGAGCCGAGATCACGCCATTGCACTCCAGCCTGGACGACAAGAGTGAAAGTCTGTCTCCAAAAAAAAAAAAAAAAAAAGATTTTTCTTTTTGCTAGTCTACAGTTTGAATATGTATACCAAGGTGCAGATTTTCTAGTATTTATCCTGTCCTGTGTTCTCTGAGCTTTTTGGGTCTGTGGTTTGGTGTCTGCCAGTAACTTTGGAAGATTCTCATATTATTACATCAGTTTTTATTGTTTTTGTTCCCTTCTCTCTTTTTCTCCTGGTATTTCCATTGTGGCTATTTATACCTTTTGTAATTTTCCCGCAGTTCTTGGATAT
Source organism: Homo sapiens (assembly GCF_000001405.40). Classification (NCBI taxonomy): domain Eukaryota; kingdom Metazoa; phylum Chordata; class Mammalia; order Primates; family Hominidae; genus Homo; species Homo sapiens. Next base: position 98,331,221 of record NC_000007.14, on the reverse strand, counting down.
TCTGTTTCATTTTTTGTTCTTTATTCTCCTTGCATTTCAGTTTCGGAAGTTTATGTTGACGTATCTTCAAGCTCATTCATTCTTCCCTTGGTCGTGTCCAGTCTGCTGGTGAACTTATCAAAGGCATTCTTTGTTTCTTCATTTCAGTGTTTTTGATTTCTAGTATTTCTTTTTGAATCTTTGAGTTTCTATTTGATATAGTTTGGATATCAGCCCCCTCCCAATTTTATGTTGAAATGTGACCCCCACTATTGGAGGTGGGGGCCTAGTGGGAGGTATTTGTGTCATGGGGGCAGATTCCTCGTGAAAGGCTTGGTGCCCTCCTTGCAGTAATAAGTGAGTTCTCACTCTATTAGTCCACATAAGATCTGCTTGCTTAACAGAGAGGGCACCCCTCCCACTCCCTTGCTCCCTCTCACACCATGTGACATGCCTGTGCCCACGTTGCCTTCTGCTATGAGTAGAAGTTTCCTGAGGGCTCGCCAGAAGCCAAGCAGATGCTGGTACCACGCAGAACCCAGAGCCAAATAAACCTCCTTTATTTTTTATTTTTATTATTATTTTTTTGAAACAGTTTTGCTCTGTCACCCAGGCTGGAATGCAATGGTGTGATCTCGGCTCACTGCAACCTCCGCCTACAGGGTTCAAGCGATTCTTTTGCCTCAGCCTCCCGAGTAGCTGGGATTACAGGCGTGCGCCACCACGCCCGGCTAATTTTGTGTTTTTAGTAGAGACAGGGTTTCATCATGTTGGTCCAGCTGGTCTAGAACTCCTGACCTCAGATGATCCGCCCGCCTCGGTCTCCCAAAGTGCTGGCATTACAGGTGTGAGCCACCACGCCTGGCCTAAACCTCCTTTATTAATGAATTACCCAGTCTCGGGTGTTCTTTATAAGCAACACAAAACGGACTAACACATCATCTCTCTGCTTCCATTACCCATCTCTTCTTGCACGTTGCCCACTTTTTCCCAGTAGAACCCTCAGCATATTAGTCATGGTGGTGGTTAGTTCTCTGTCTGATAATTCCAGATTCTCTACCACATCTGAATCTGGTTTTTTTTCTTAGCATGCCTGTAATGTTTGCTGCTTTTAGAAGCTGAACATGACGTGTCAGATAATAGGAACTGAGGTAGATGAGCCTTTAGTGTGAGGATTTATGTTTATCTGGCTAGGAGTTAGCATGGATTTAACGATAGAGGAAGCTGTATTTGTAACGGAGTCAGAGGCTTTGGTTTTCCTCTGATGTCCTTGTTTTTTCTCGCTGCTGTTGTCTTTGGTTTTCCCAAGAAAATTCTTCTAAATGAAGCCTGTGTCTTACTTACGGCTCTGTGCTGTAATCCACAGATATTATCCCGGAGCCCTGTTGATGGATAACTTGGTGGCCAAGTACTGGGGAGGGGAAGAATCTTCCTCTTATGTTTAAATCCCTGTGTTTGGATGGGTGTGGGGTGATAGGCCAGAGTTCCTGGGATGCCTTTTGGAAGAGTTTCTGAGTCTTTTTTTTTTTAAATCCCTTTACTTGAGACAGGAAGACTGGAGGGGGCTGGAGTTAGCAAGTCGCCCTTTCCCTGGTCAGATAAGGCTTTATTACAGCAGATTCCCTTGAGGCCCGGCCTTCCGTACAGAGAACATAACTGGAACAGAACAAAGCTCTGGGCATATTTCAGAATGTTTACCTCCCACCCCCTCTACCAGAAGCCTCAGGGGAAGCTTATCCAACCTCCCCTTGAGAATGTGGTGGGACTCCTAGACGTAAAACTCATGAAAGTGTGGGGACCGCCCGCAAAGACTGACCCCCTGAAGTTTGCAACTCTCAGACTCCTCCATGCCAAGCCCCCAGCAGTTCTTCCACTGCGGTGTAAGAGTTTCTGCCAGGAATGGCCCCAGCATTGGTCTCTGCTCCCTGTGAACTGTGAGTCTCTGCGTCAGCCTGTCCGTCTGGTTTTCAGGGTACATCTTCACCCTGTGAGCTTAGTCCTGTCATGCGTCTCAGAATTACTGTTTCTTATTTTAGCTTGTTTCCATTTGTTTAGCTTTTTCTTATTATAAGGGAGTGACGACCTCTAAGCTCTTAGACGTGCTGGAGTGGAAACCGGAAGTGCCTTTGCGATTGTTTTTGCATCAACGGTGACCAGATGTGTGTGTTCTCTGATGGATCAATCCTGATGGATGCAACTTAAACTATAGGAGAAATGTCAGCACTTCAGACTGAGGTTCTCAGTATTCTGTTTAAGGTTTTAAAAGATAGAGGAAAATAAAGTATACTCTACAGGTATGTTCCCTTAGATAACAGGAGATTGACAGTTTTTCCTTTGAGGACTCCGGGACTGGGGAAAGAAAGGCTATGACAGAAGTGTCGAGCTGAGTGTATAGATGGATATGTGTAAAGTGCACCAAAAAATGGTGACTACAGGCTGAACAATCACATGTGTGGATTTTATTTCCAGAAAACAAGTACTCGCCTAGAAAATGGCCTGTTGAGGAGTGTGTGGGCACATTTTTGTTGGTGTGTATCATGAATTTTTTTTTTTTTTTTTTTTTGAGATGGGATCTTGCTATGTTGCCAGGCTGGTCTCCAACTTCTGGGCTCAAGCAGTCTTCCCACCTCAGCCTCCCAAGTAGCTGGGACTCCAGGTATAAGCCAGTGCATTATTGAACCCATCTGCTCCACGTGTCTGGACTGGGGCACCTCAGCAGCCAGTGTTTCTCTCCAGAACACTGGAAAGCACAGTACCCACCGAAGCCTGTGGAGCAGGCACTCTACACAGATGAGAATACCACAGCTCCAAGAGATACTGCAGAAAGAGGTTAGGGAACTTCCCGGGGATGCACAGGTACTAAGAGGCCTGTCTGATGTCATTGCATCTTCCTGCGGATGCTGTGACCTTTGCCCCGTCTTCGTGTCCTTGAGTTCTCTATAGAGGCTGATCCAGAACCTTCTGCCTTCTGAAGCTGCGTCCAGTCTTTTCCCTTTCGTGGTGCCTGGCCCTTCTCCGGCCTCCTCAGCCAGCCTTCCCATCTTCCTCATGAGCTCTTCTTCCTAAAGATCTTGTATTCTATTACTCAGAGGTCAGCAGTCGCTTCTGACTTTTTAGTATGAAAAAAATCAATGTCTTTTGAGCAATCCATTCTAGACTTATATATAAAATGAAGGTGTATTTGTGCTGTGTCTAAAAGGGAACCCATTCTCCAAAAAAAAAAACAATGTTCGGGTTTCTGCTTGCAGCTCTTTTTGGCTTTTCACCTCCAAGTCTTCAGCCATGTCTCTCATTTTCTAAAATTGAGGTTGCCAGAGATTTTACTGTTAAGCAAAGCGTTAATAATATTTATCCTGTTAACACACTTCTCCATTTCCCCCTTACCTCCCTCAACCACACTGGATTAACCGCCGGAGGTGGATGAAATCAATTTATTCCTCTCTAAAAAGAAATAAGTAAATCCATTTAGTAGTGCAATAAAGAATTGGCACAGGCACGAACCCACATCAGAAATGCTAAACAAGGATGAATAGTCAGGAATACAAAATCTTCACTTTTCTTTTTTTTTTGAGACAGAGTTTTGCTCTTTTCACCCAGGCTGGAGTACAGTGGTGCAATCTCAGCTCACTGCAACCTCTGCCTCCCGAGTTCAAGTGATTCTTCTGCCTCAGCCTCCCAGGTAGCTGGGATCACAGGTGTGCACCACCATGCCCGGCTAATTTTGTATTTTTAGTAGAGACAGAGTTTCACCATGTTGGCCAGGCTGGTCTCAAACACCTTACTTCAGGTGATCCGCCTGCCTTGGCCTCCAAAAGTGCTGGGATTACAGGCGTGAGCCACCACGCCTGGCTTTATTTATTTATTTATTTATTTATTTATTTATTTACAAGGTCTTGCTCTGTTGCCTAGGCTGGAGTGCAGTGGCATGATCTCAGCTTACTGCAACCTCTGCCTCCCTGGTTGAAGCAATTCTCATGCTTCAGCCTCCCAAGTAGCTGGAATTACAGATGTGCACCACCACACCCGACTAATTTTTATATTTTTAATAGAGACAGGGTTTCATCATATTGGCCAGGTTGGTCTCAAACTCCTGACCTCAGGTGATCCATCTGCCTTGGCCTCCCAGAGCACTGGGATTCCAGGCATGAGCCACCGCGCCTGGCCGGGATCCTCACTTTCAAATACCAGATCTCCCTGATTAGATTCAGATTGTGTGTTCTCAGCTGGAATACTGTCCAAGTCATTTTATGTCCGCTGAGTATAAAATTTCAGCACACAGTGTTCATCTTCCTCTCATTTGTTATGTTTGTTTTGATTGTCCATTGAAGGTGTTGTCTGATCTCTACACTGTGTAGTTAATTTTTTTTTTTGTCACGACTAGTAAGCAATTTGTGGGGAAAACACTTTCAGACCATACAAACCTCTCTTTCCTTGTCAACACTTGTGCCCTAGTTGAGCATCTGTTGATGATTTTTGTCCAGACAAGTCTTCCCTGCCCTGTGGTGATGATTTTCCATCTCTGTACTCCCTCTTCATTTACTGATTGGCACTGTGCAACTCTACTTCTAGCAAGAGCTGTCCCTGGTCCCCCATTTCTTTTTTCTAATCTGTTTACTGTGGACTCGCAGATTCCTAGACTTTTCCATGACTTGTAATTTGTGACTGCCTTTATTTTGGTGCTCAAGTTGTCCCAGTATGAGCTTCTACATGGCCAGTACTAGCTCCTTCAAGCCGGCTCTTGTGGCATACCCGCTAGTTAGTTAAGTTAGTTAGTTAGTTTTGAGCACAGTGTACAGTAACTTACAATGTCTCCTTGTAAGACATTGATTAGGATGTGGTGCCGTTGTTATTTAAGTCAGCAGCTAGACACGGAGGAATGATCCAGGCAATGCTCACCCTATCACTTATTTGGGGTCACCCCTACAAGCACATTGGTTGTTTGTACGTGTTTTTGTTTTGGTTTTTTGAGACTGTGCCTTGCTCTGTTGCCCAGGCCGGAGTACAGTGGCACAGTCATGGCTCACTGTAACCTCAGCCTCCTGGGCTCAAGTGATCCTCCTGCCCCAGCCTCCCGAGTAGCTGGGACCACAGGCACACACCACCACACCTAGCTTATCATTGTATCTTTTGGAGAGATGGGGTTTCACTGTGTGGCCCATCCCCTGGGCTCAAGCAATCCTCTTGCCTTGGCCTCCCAAAACTGGGAGCTGTGATTACGGACGTGAGCCATTGCACCCCGCTGCTTGTGCAGTGTTGGTACTGACCCCAGGAGGGCACCTCACTTCCAACTGCGTCCAGGGACTGCAGGTTCTCAGATGCTGACCGAGCCTTTCAAATTTGATCACGTTTGTGGTTGCTCATCTGCCTCCGCACTGATTCAGTGTGGTGACTCTAATCTTCAGAGCTCACGCTCGTTTAATGCATCCCGTGTGTGTGCTGGGGAGCGGTTTGCTTTTACTTCCACTGTTTTCTCCTCATTCCATTTGAAACTTGGAAAATTGTCAGAAAAATTCAGTCCTTTTTCCAATGACATTTTTATTTTTTTTTTGTATGTATATATTTTTTGAGACAAAGTCTTGCTCTGTCACCCGGGCTGGAGTGCAGTAGCACGACCTTGGCTCACTGCAACCTCTGCCTCCTGAGTTCAAGCAGTTCTCCTACCTCAGCCTCCTGAGTAGCTAGGACTACAGGCACGCGCCACCAAGCCCGGCTAATTTTTGTATTTTTAGTAGAGATGGAGTTTTCCCATGTTGGCCAGGCTGGTCTCAAACTACTGACCTCAAGTGATCCACCCACCCCAGCATCCTAAAGTGCTGGGATTACAGGCATGAGCCACCACACCTGGCCTCCAATTATTATTATTATTTATTTATTTATTTTAGAGTCTTGCTCTGTTGCCCAGGCTGGAGTGCAGTGGCCTGATCTCGGCTCACTGCCACCTCTGCAGTTCTCCTGCCTCAGCCTCTCTAGTAGGTGGGACTACAGGCACCTGCCACCATGCCCAGCTAATTTTTGTATTTTGAGTAGAGACAGGGTTTCACCATATTGGCCAGGCTGGTCTCGAACTCCTGACCTTGTGATCTGCCTGCCTCCGCCTCCCAAAGTGCTAGGATTACAGGCGTGAGCCACTGCACCTGGCCTCCAATGATATTTTTAATCAATTTTACTTTAATCTCTGCAGCATAGCTTTAGAACAGTACTAGATTGGCTGCTTCCACTTTTTACTGTCTGACTCCACTTGTAGTGATGTGTAGGAAGTAGTGCGTGACTCAGGCGTTGCTCTGCGTTCTCTGGAAATGAAGCAGGTTCTGATTATCCATGATCAGATATAAATGGAAAGAATCTTTATGCCTACATGTCCTATGCAGTTCAGGTGCATTAGTAATCTCCATCTGGTTCCTCTAAATTTGTACTGTGAACTGATGAAGAAAATATATTAATAGTCCAATGACTGTATTATTTTTCTTTTTGGAGACAGGGTCTTGCTCTGTCTCCTGAGTAGCTGGGACTACAGGCATGTTCCATGAAGCCCAGCTAATTTTTAATTTTTTTTTGTAGAGATGGTGGAGGTCTCACTGTGTTGCCCAGGCTGGTCTTGAACTCCTGGCCTCAAGCGATCCTCCCGCCTGAACCCGAAAAAGTGCTGGGACTTGAGCTACCACACCTGGCCCTGTGTTTCCAATGAAAATGTTCTAGGCATTCATACCAATAATCTTCCTGAAGTTTTGTCCTTTTTTTGTTTTAACTCCATACCACCTATTGGCTAAATGCATCTCTTTATACAATAGTGTCCAAAATGTTGGGCATATTTGTTCACAGTTTCTAAAATCAGAGTGATACCACCATTAACCATTCTTTTTTTGTTGGAGATTTCCACAACCTGCTAGACAAGCTCTTGCAGAGCTCTAACACTCTGTGTGAATTATTTCTGCGAATATTGAGGAAAAATTGATGGCAGAAAATGTCTTCGAGTTATGTTGAGTTCCTGCTTTTGAAATACGTGTATATTGCCACTTATTCAGACTGAATCACAGTACTGTAATGACGGCGCTGAGTTTCTTCCCAAAAGGGTGACTCCAAACGTAACCGGGGGAAAAAGGAAGCAGGCGCCCCAGTGTGCACAGCACAGTGGTGTGTTTCTTATTGGGGCGCATGCTTAGCTTTGCTTCTTCTGAGTCCAGGCTGTGCCTGCTTCGCCCCACCCTCCGGGTTTTTTTTTTCCCCCTTTTCAAATGTAATTTCTGAAAAAGTAGGTTACCGAACTAAGAGCAAACAAACCAATGTGGCATCGCATTTTAAACATAAAGTAACACTTGCTCTATTTAAGATGAAACTTCTGCAGATTGAACATAAAGGGTGTTTTCATCTTCCGCTTCAAGATACTCTTTCGGCTACTTGCAGAATCGCAGCCAAGATGTGTGTTAATCCTTTCTGTGACCGCTGACTCCGCGGCGGCCAGCTGCTGTGAGGTCGGCATCTGAATTCCAGGAGCAGTGAGGGACAGGAATAACAAGGCCAGGTGTTGCCTGCCTGCCCGCAGAGTGAAAGAGCTGCTTCACTGCGCCTCTCCGCCATGCTGCGGGAAGCCACGGGCAGGAGCATGGAGCGTGCCCAGAGGCCCGGCCAGGCCAGAGCACCAGGTTCAACGGTGTTGGCGTCCACCCTAGCACACACCTTGGTTTTGGCACCATGCTTCCCAGAGATCCACATTATATAAGGTTGTGGAAATAAAGTTCATGAAAGAGAACAGTATGAGGGAAAAAATGTGAATGCGTTTCCTCTAGCTCAAATCACCGAATGCTTTGAGCCACATTATTTTTAGATGTTTATTTATTTATGTATTTTAAGTAGATCTCCTTTGCCAAGAATAGAGTGTCTGATTTTCTAAATAACTGGAGCGGGTTTTGTTGTTGTTTATATTTCATCCCCAATGAGGAATTGTTTGTGGGTTTAAAATAGATGTGAAAGTAACTGAGTTTGTATCTGAAATGACTGAGGGGCTATAAAATGGCATATTAATGGAATTATGCTCTTGGCTGTGTGAAGGCAGCTTTTGTGAAGAATTCTGGTCTGTCGGTTTTCTCATGCCCCGTTCTGGAAGATGAAGCCAGCGTTGCTAAGGATGTGGAGTGGGAAGCTCGCTTACTCGGAGGGTGGAGCCCTGAGTGCTGGGATGGTTCTGTCTTTACTCCCCGTGTTTAGCCATCGAGTTACTCCGTCAGAGCGCTGTAAAATCCCACAGGGCTTAAGGACTAGGTTATATACCTGTCACAAGCCCTGCAAGTTCTGCTTATCTGAGAGCCTCTGACCCCACCTTGTCTAGGTAGCACTGTTTGCAGAGGGCTCTGAAGTACAGCTCGGAAGCTGGTTTCCCTGGAACACCATGGCGGGAGCAGGGGAGCGACATGTTACGCCTGCATTTTGGAAAGATCCCTGGCATCTGTGAGGAAGGTGATCTGGGAAAGAACAAGCTGGGAGTCCAGAGAGAGGATGAGGGATGGAAGCAGGCATTGGGGTTGGGCAGGCATGAGAGAGGACCTCCTCGAAAGCCCACGTGGTGGGACGTGAGTGCTGGGGGTGGATGGGAGAATCCTCCGCCATCTCTGGTGGAACAGATCACCTGGTGAACATGTCTTGGTGACTTCACACGCCATGCCCCATGCCTTCTCTCCTGGGCAGGGAAGAGACCACAGAGCTTAGGAAGGGACATGGCTGCACCCTACAGGTGGCTCCGATGATGGCCTCCTATCCCCAAGGGATTGTCAGGTATTACACATGGGCGAGAAGTTGATCCTTGGCTGGCTGGCAGCTGAGAGCTGGAATTAGAGAATGCAGGGCAGCCAGAGAGGTCACTTTGAGACATGTCGAGGATGAGGTGTGCCCAATGGGACGTCTGCGTGGTCGTGTTCAGCAAGGGTTGAATCCTGAGCTGGGACAAGGGAAGCCTGGGTGGCCAGTGTCAGACTCAGATGTCTTCAGATGTACCTAGAACAGGACATGATAGGGTCATTTGTATGGTGATCATAGCCGAGGCCATAGTCCAGTCTGTGCTTTCTCTCTCTCCCCATATTCTACCACAGTCCTCATTCCGATTCCTCCCCTGCAGCCTCTCAGTTCCCCACTAGAATTCCTTTTTTGGGGGGCGGGGAGACAGGGTCTCACTCTGTCACCCAGGCTGGAGTGCAGTGGCGCTATCTCGGCTCACTGCATCCTCTGCCTCCCAGGTTCAAGCAGTTCTCCCACCTCAGCCTCCCAAGTAGCTGGGATTACAGGCACGTGCCATCATGCCCAGCTAATTTTTGTATTTTTAATAGAGACGGGGTTTCACCGTGTTGGCCAGGATGGTCTCGAACTCCTTACCTCGTGATACTCCCACCTCAGCCTCCCAAAAGTGCTAGGATGACAGGCGTGAGCCACCACACCCGGCCTGGAATTCATTTTTATCTGGCCGCTGAGCTGTAGGATGGTCCGCCGGCACATCTTGCTGTTGGTCGGCATTGTTTGATGGTGGTGGTAACGGTGGTTCCAGATGAGTCTATGTGTTTCTCCATTTCTTAGGTGTCAGACCCTAGGAAACCCGTTTGGTTCCTGCAGATAAGTTGGCAGAGAGAGGCCCTTGTTCACCTTTATCAGATGTCACCTGTAGAAAGGTGGCAGAGAGCTGGCGCACTGCCACTCACTGCAGAGATATGATTGCAAACCCGGGGGCGTGATTGCTGCCCTCGGCGGTGAGGCTTCTCTGTCCTGGAGCATCCTGCCCATCATGTGACTGTGCTTGGTTTCAGGGGCTGGTGTATTCCCAGCAGAGGCAGGGCTGAGCACTCTTCCTGCTGCGGGTTCCCCTGGCGTTAGTATTTTCCAAAACATTGTAAGAACTAACGTGAGAAAAAAGAAATAGCCTTTATCTCTCGTGCCTGACAGATAATCAGATTACTCTGGGGATTCGATAAAAATAAATCATTTTTTATTCCTAGAGTTAGCTACTGTGATGACCGAAGTAATCATTTGTGAGACAATTTCAAAATTTGAATCAGATATATAGAACTTGGCTTAGGGAAAAAGTGCATATAGAAAGGGCCACGTGGGCCAGGTACAGTGGCTCACACCTGTCATCCCAGCACTTTGGGAGGCTGAGGTGTGCGGATCACTTGAGGTCAGGAGTTCGAGACCAACCTGGGCAACATGGTGAAAAACCCTCCCCACAAAATGTCCCAAAAAAATAGCTGAGTGTGGTGGTGCACGCCTGTAGTCCCAGCTACTCGGGAGGCTGAGGTGGAAGGATAACTTGAACCCAGGAGGTGGAGGCTGCAGTGAGCCAAGGTCGTGCCACTGCACTCCAGCCTGCGTGACAGAGCCAGACCCTGTCTCAAAAAACAAAAGACAGAACAGAAAGACTCATGTGAATTTGAACAGAGTTTGCATTTGTCTGATTAATTATGTTGTAGAAGCTGTTTGCTCTCAGCTGTGTCCCCCTGGAAGCCACTGTGGGGACCCTGTTGTGCTCCTGATGTGTCTCAGGGATGATGCTTAGAGACCCTGAGGACAGTGTATTTCTGTGTTTCCCTGTTCTGTTTCACTTTTCCTAATACTTTACAAAACTGTGCAATGGGCCTGGCGCGGCGGCTCACACCTGTAATCCCAGAACTTTGAGAGGCCAAGGCAGTTGATCACCTGAGGTTAGGAGTTCAAGACCAGCCTGGCCAACACGATGAAACCCTGTCTCTACTAAAAATGCAAAAAGTTAGCCAGGCATGGTGATGCACACCTGTAATCCAGCTATTTGGGAGGCTGAGGCAGGAGAATAGTTTGAACCCGGGAGGCGGAGGTTGCAGCGGGCCAAGATCGTGCCTTTGCACTCCAGCCTGGGCGACAGAGCAAAAACTCCATTTCAAAACAAAAAAATACGCAATGGCTTCCCGCTAACATATCTGGTTTTGTTCCCAGGACATGTCCTCATAGAGATTTCAAGTACCCACAAGAAACTCAACGAGAGTCTTGATGAAAATGTACGTGATCTGTGTTTCTATTTACAAAATACACTCATTTCAGGTTTTAGAACTTATTTTGCTTAAAATCTCAAACCTGGTATGAATTTATTTCCTTTTGTTAACAGTTTAAAAAATTCCACAAAGAGATTATCCATGAGCTGGAGAAGAAGATAGAACTTGACGTGAAATATATGAACGTAAGTGCATGGTTTTCCTCCAGCCCCAGCCTTGGGCTGCCTGACCTCCCAGCCTGGGGAGAACTCGTTCCCACTGTTGACTCATCAGCAGCAGACAGGAGAGAAGCTCCGTGTTGATGATGCCCAGATGCATGAAACCGACAAGCTCTCTTTGGGCTGTGTGGGCCGGTTTTCGCTAACACTTGGGATCTTATTAGAAAGCATAGGGGCCAGGTGCGGTGGCTCATGCCTGTAATCCCAGCACTTTGGGAGGCCAAGGCAGGCGGATCACTTGAGGTCAGTAGTTCAAGACCAGCCTGGCCAACATAGTGAAACCCCATCTCTACTCAAAATACAAAAAAAAATTAGCTGAGCATGGTGGTGCATGCCTGTCATCCCAGCTACTCGGGAGGATGAGGCAGGAGAATGGCTTGAACCGGGGAGGCGGAGGTTGCAGTGAGCCAAGATTGCGCCACTGCACTCCAGCCTGGGCGACAGAGCAAGACTCCATCTCAAAAAAAAAAAAAAAAGGCATAGGAAAAAGTATTGCAGGAAATCACACTGCTTCCAGAAAGCATTGTCTTCACAGAATACATTCACGCTGTAGGACATTTGTGCTTCTGTCGCTGCAGCTGATGCAGACATAACACTTCCTAAGCCAGCAGCACTTCAGGCTGTGGGTGGTGTGCGGGAGAGCACCGTCCGGGGCTCCCGGTGTGCCCTGGCCCATCTGCAGAGACCGCTCCTGCATGGCGCCCCTTCTCTATCCACTTTTGTCCATTTCAGCAGGTTTATCCAGGTCCCCTTCAGGGTGGCCCTACAGACCCGGTATTGAGGGCTCTTGCCATCTTCCCTTGCTCTATAGAGTACTTAACTTTCTCCTGCCACCCAAAGTCCCCTTCCTGCTCACCCAGACCCCCATGTGGCAGTGAGTGTGCGAGTTGCCCTGGAATCATCCCTCCCCTGTCGTCCTCGTGAGGACTGCTGCCTGGCTGCACCCTCCCGGCAGGAGGCCACAGGACCCGGACAGCTGCTAAGGTGCATTTCATGCCAAGTGATTTACATACGTTATCTAATTGCTATGCCTTCAGAAACTCCAAAACATAGACACCATTCTTTTTTTTTTTTTTTTTGAGATGGAGTCCTGCTCTGTTGCCTAGGCTGGAGTGCAGTGGCGCAATCTCGGGGCTCACTGCAACCTCCGCCTCCTGGGTTCCAGCGATTCTCCTACCTCAGCCTCCCAATTAGCTGGGATTACAGGCACCCACCACTGCACCCGGCTAATTTTTGTATTTTTTAGTAGAGACGGGGTTTCACCATTTTAGCCAGGCTGGTCTCAAACTTCTGACCTCGTGGTGCACCTGCCTCGGCCTCCTAAAGTGCTGGGATTAGAGGCGTGAGCCACCATGCCGGCCAGACATCCTTCTTATCTGCACTTCACAGATTATAGGGAAAACAAGGATTTGAATTCTGACGCGGGTCCGTTTAAGACCCTGTGTTCACTGGGCGTGGTGGCTCACGCCTGTAATCCCAGCACTTTGGGAGGCCAAGGCGGGTGGATCCAAGGTCAGGAGTTCGAGACCAGCCTGGCTGACATGGTGAAACCTGGTCTCTACTAAAAATACAGCCGGGCGTGGTTGTGTGCGCCTGTAATCCCAGCTACTGGAGAGGCTGAGGCACAAGAATCACTTGAACCCGGGAGGCAGAGAGTGCAGTGGCGCGATCTCAGCTTGCTGCAACCACCTTGGTGGCTAAGTGCTTTGGATGGAACTTTGAGACTTTGGGTGGCAGAAGAAAGTTAACCACCCAGCATCAAAAAGCCTTTGAGGAAAGAAGGAATAAAAGAAAGAGAAGATGTCCTTAGAGACTTGGCTTCTGGTCGGGGGCTCCTCATTTAAACAGTAACCTTTAGAACAAAGCCAAGACATTAAAGTTGCATGAAGGGGGCAATGTGAACTGAGGGGTGAGGGCTCTAACCAGTGTGTGGATGGTGTGAACTGCGGGTTGAGGGTCCCAGCCAGCATGCAGATGGTGTGAGTTGCAGAGTAAGGGTCCCAGCCATCATGCAGATGGTGTGAGCTGCGGGGTGAGGGTCCCAGCCAGCGTAAGGATGGTGTGAAATGAGTGAGGGCCCCGGCCAGTGTGAGGATGATGTGAACTGTGGGGTGAGGGTCCCAGCCAGCATGCAGATGGTGTGAACTGCAGAGTGAGGGTCCCAGCCATCATGCAGATGGTGTGAACTACGGGGTGACAGTCCCAGCCAGCGTAAAGATGGTGTGAAATGAGCGAGGGCCCCGGCCAGTGTGAGGATGATGTGAACTGTGTGGTGAGCGTCCCCAGCCAACATGCAGATGGTGTGAACTGCGGGGTGATGGTCCCAGCCAGTGTAAGGATGGTGTGAAATGAGTGAGGGTCCCAGCCAGTGTGTGGATGGTGTGAACTGCAGGGTGAGGGTCCCAGCCAGCATGCAGACGGTGTGAACTGAGGGATGAGGGCCCTGGTCAGCATGAGGATGGTGCGAAGTGTGGGCATGGGACCCCGGCCAGCAGGAGGATGGTGTGAACTGGTGTGGGTGTGGGGGCCCCAGCCAGTGTGAGGATGGTGTGAAGTGAGGGTGTCAGGGCCCCGTTGAGCCACACACAGTGGAAGTGTGAGTAAAGGCAAACTGTGTGACAATTCGTGTGGTGCCACAGTAAAATAAGCACAGCCATTTAACTTACAGGCAACTCTAAAAAGATACCAAACAGAACACAAGAATAAATTAGAGTCTTTGGAGAAATCCCAAGCTGAGTTGAAGAAGATCAGAAGGAAAAGCCAAGGAAGCCGAAACGCACTCAAATATGAACACAAAGAAATTGAGGTGAGCTTTTCAACAATATCTTGTTTTCTTTTGTTGTTGACAATTTGCACAGTTTAAGAGGAGGTTAGCCGGGTGCGGTGGCTCACGCCTGTAATCCCAGCACTTTGGGAGGCCGAGGCAGTAGGATCATATGAGGTCAGGAGTTCGAGACCAGCCTGGCCAATGTGGTGAAACCTTGCCTCTACAAAAACTAGCTGGGGTGATGGCAGGTACCTGTAGTCACAGCTACTCGGAGGCTGAGGCAGGAGAATTGCTTGAACTTGGGAGGCAGAGGTTGCAGTGAGCCGAGATTATGCCACTGCACTCCAGCCTGGGTGACAGAATGAGACTCCATCTCAAAAAAAAAAAAAAGTTTTGAAGTTGATCTCATGGAAGTGGGGAGTAGAATGATGGTTACCTGTCATTCTCTAGATAGCTGAGGATGGTCATTGTGTTGACTGGGGAGTGGATGAAGGAGAGGTTGGTTAATGGGTCCAAACATACAATTGGATAAAAGAAATAAGTTCTAGTGTCCAATAGCAGAGTAGGGTGACTATAGTTAACAGCGATGCATTATTTCAAAATAGTTAGAAGAGAGGTCTTGGAATGTCCCCAACACATAGAAACAATAAGAATTTGAGGTGATGGCCACCCAAGGACCCTGCTTTGATCATTATCACATGTGCCCTATAAATATATAATCTATCAGTTTTTAAAAATAAGCATTTTGACTGAGAGCTGAAGGCTGTAGAGTTTCCCTGAGTTAAGTATAATTAATCAGTGACCTCCTGCCAAAACATGGGCTTTTTATCCTGGCTCTGAAAGAAGAAGGGACTCTCCATGATCAGTGTTACTATTCCCATTGTACAGATGGGGAAAATGAGGCTTAGGTTAAATCATATTTTATTACTCCATTTTCATGCTGCTGGTAAAGACATACCCCGAGACTGGGCAATTTACAAAAGAAAGAGATTTAATGGACTCACAGTTCCACATGGCCGGGGAGGCCTCACAATCATGGTGGAAGGGAAGGAGGAGCAAGTCACGTCTTACATGGATGGCAGCAGGCAAAGGAGAGCTTGTGCAGGGAAACTCCCTTTATGAAGCCATCAGATCTTGTGAGACTTATTCACTATCACAAGAATGGCATGGGAAAGACCTGCCCCCATGATTCAATTACCTCCCACCAGGTCCCTCCCCAAACACATAGGAATTACGGGAGCTACAATTCAAGATGAGATTTGGGTGGGGACACAGCCAAAGCATATCACCTATTGTTGGCATTTGGAACTGGGTTTGAACCTGGAACTTTCTGGTTCCAAAGCCCGTGGTGCTTTCCAGTAGGACACGATCATATCTCTGAAGTACAAAGTAATATTTGTGCAAATTGCCCCGTGGGAATGTCAAGCCCTTGGGCAACTTCTCTCTGCACACGAGTCAGGGACCTCAAGGAGAACGATGGTATCTACTTAGGTCAGGTTACAGCATTCTTTCCTCTCATGTATTTACTCTATTATTCAAATAAAGCAGGTGTAAAGATGGCAGAAGATAAACGTCAGGCTGCACGCTATCTGATGCTCATGTCATGCTTATATAATTATTATTATTATTATTTTTTTTTTTTTAGTATGTGGAGACCGTTACTTCTCGTCAGAGTGAAATCCAGAAATTCATTGCAGATGGTTGCAAAGAGGCTCTGCTTGAAGAGAAGAGGCGCTTCTGCTTTCTGGTTGATAAGCACTGTGGCTTTGCAAACCACATACATTATTATCACTTACAGGTGGGTGTGGTGGCAAATTGCCTTGAGCGTATTAATAACTTTATTTCATATTTAAATGCCCCAGAAGGCTGGGCCGTGGCCCACGCCTGTAATCCCAGCACTTTGGGAGGCTGAGGTGGGCCTGGGCAACATGGCAAAACTCTGTCTCTATAAAAAATAATAAAAAAAAAACTAGCCAGGCATGGTAGCATGTGCCTGTAGTCCCAGCTACTCAGGAGGCTGAGGTGGGAGGATCCCTTCAGCCTGGGAAGTTGAGGCTGCAGTGAGCCATGATTGTGCCACTGCACTCCAACCTGAGCAACAGAGCGGGACCCTGTCTCAATCAGTCCATACGTACAGAGATATACACACATGCACGCCA
This sequence comes from Homo sapiens, assembly GCF_000001405.40. Taxonomy (NCBI): domain Eukaryota; kingdom Metazoa; phylum Chordata; class Mammalia; order Primates; family Hominidae; genus Homo; species Homo sapiens. Next base: position 98,315,098 of record NC_000007.14, on the reverse strand, counting down.
CTCACCTTCCACACATGCCCAATATAAAGCAGTGGGCCATTTTGCCAATGAAAAGATTCCAGAGAAACTGTGTTTGGCCAACTTGAACATATAAACTTATAGAAATACAGCTGAAATGGTCAAACGTCCATGTATAATGTTTAATAAATTAATAATACATCCATATTTAAAGTCCTTCATAAAATAATGCTTCATCATTGAAAAATAGCACATGTTTGCTCTTCTCACCTGCGAGTCAGCTTTCCCCAGGCCCTTTCTGATGTGTCCTCAGCATCAGTGTCTTCACCATGGCTGCTGGTGAGTCCCAGCGGGCCCAGGTCTACCCCACCTGGGCGATTTGAGATGCTCCCTTCATGGGTCCGTGTCCGGGGGTCACGGGCAGCTCTGCCCCAGCCCACGGGCCCCCATTCACGCGCATCAGGACAGCTGGGCTCAGTGATGCGTTCATTCCTCTTGGTGGTATTGGTTCCTGGTTTATTCAACTGAATGACCTCATCACCCTCCTTCCAACACACACAGCTGTGAGGTTCGAACCCCCAGGAATCATGATGCAACACATGTCACATTTCCTTTCCTTTGTTTTAAATTATGAACTCTGTTGGGCCTTTGTAAACATCCAAAACTAGCACTGGTTGAGGTCAGAAATTCATTGTTGTTCATAGTAAAGTTAGAGAGTGTTCCAATATAGGAGAAGCTTTGCAAGAGCTTGAATATAAGTCAGCTTTGTCTTTGTTTTAAAGGAAAAATACTTTGGCCTTGTATGTATGCAAATGTTGTATTTTCTATAAACTTTTTACAACTTTAAGGAATATTCAGGACTGCGCATGGTGGCTCACGCCTGTAATCCCAGCACTTTGGGAGACCAAAGTGGGTGAATCACTTGAGGTCAGGAGTTTGAGACCAGCCTGGCCAACATGGTGAAACCCTGTCTCTACTAAAAATACAAAAATTAATCACATGTGGTGAGCACCTGTAATCCCAGCTACTCAGGAGGCTGAGGCAGGAGAATTGTTTGAACCCAGGAGGCTGAGGTTGCAGTGAGCCCAGATCACACCACTGCACTTCAGCCTGGGCAACAGAGCAAGACTCTGTCTCAAAAAAAAAAAAAAAAAAAAAGGAAGAAAAAGGAGTATTCAGCTCCCTAAATAAGATTTAAAATTAGTACAGCAGGCCAGGCACAGTGGCTCATGCCTATAATCCCAGCCCTTTGGGAGCCCAAGGCAGGAGGATCACTTGAGCCCAGGAGTTCCAGACCAGCCTGGGCAGCATAGCGAGACCCTATCTCTACCAAAAAAAAAAAAAAAAAGTTTTAATTAGCCAGTTGTGGTGATGTGCATCTGTGGCCCCAGCTACTCAGGAGGCTGAGGTGGAAGGATTGTTTGAGCCCAGGAGTTCGAGGTTGCAGTGAGCTGTGATTGTGCCAGTGCACTCCAGCCTGGGTGACAGAGCCAAAATCCTCTCTCAAAAAAGCAGAAGAAAATGGTTACAGCAAAGGAAATAGTTGCTGTATTAGGTGATCACTTTTGTCAACAGCATGTCTGTACTAGTTTCGGGAATGTAGAGTTCACTTTAGAATCTTCTCTTCCCAGAGTGAGGGCATCCTGTGGCACCAGGGTCGCAGGCTGGAGAGGACAGAGGTGACCTTGAGGTTCTCTTCCTGCGTGATATCCCCACCGTGTCATGAGGCAGCCTAGCACCTTTTCAGGGAGCTCCAGTTATCAGCAGAGTCTTTCTTAGACTTAACCATCGGTCCCAGTAATGCTTTCTAGAGTGACGCAGACCAAATCTGCTCGTTTCTATGCTGGAAGTTTCTTCGAGTATCTGAAAACTGGTTTTGTGGCTTCCCTTAATTCAGCTAAAGCGCCTCAGTCCTTTCTGTGGAGTTGGGATGAAGCAGGCCCAAGCAGCTGGTCCACGGTGCTGCAGAGTGTCAGGGTGACAGTTGGGGGTGGGGTGACAGTTGGGGGTGGGGTGGCATTTGGGGACAGGGGTGGTGTGAGGGGGTCTTTGCCCTTCCCCAGGACTGACATCAGCCCCCCACCACTCTTGATAAACTCAGAGGCTGAGTAAAAGCAGTGTGACTGCCATGCACACAGCCGCAGGACAGGCTCCTGCCTCCCCTTTCCCAACCAGAGTGCTCTTCAGAAAAGGTGCTCACTGGAAGCGCTTGGGGGGCCTCTGAGAATCCAGTTGTCAGGAGCAGAGCCAGGCTTGTGGGTGCTGGAGGGGCACTCTGCCTCCAGGGTTGCGGGTTCTCACCCCTGCTGGTCAGGTCTGCTCTGCAAAACCTTGTTTGGCCTGTGGTGGGGGCGTCCCTCAGCACTGCCCACCACTCACCCAGTCCCTCTTCCCCATAGACAGACTCTCAGGACAGTGTCTGATTCACTTCTCTAATGTCTGAATCGGTCAGAGTCAACTACGGGGCCCGTGGCCTGTGTTGGAGGTGCTGCTTTTAGTAGGAGTGGGAGGGAGAAAGTGATGGTTGGCGTTTCTGGGGCCACCTGGAAAACGGGATTCATACAGATTGCTCCCTCCCTCCCTTTGAGTTTCTGTTCTTGCTCTTAACCATTTACCATCCCCGTATTAGTCCCATGCTCTGTATTCACACTGAGGGATCAGGAAATTTCCTTTTGAGTCAGAGCCTTTGCCCCTCTCAGCCGGTGAGACACAGCTGATCCTCTAGGTGCTTAAAGTGCTCACCGAGTTTAACCCAGGGCCCCCACACTCCTGGTGCTAAGCCAGTAATCTGTTATCAGCGATATGACGTGATGTCATTTTTCTCAGCTCTTCAGACAATCTTCTTTGTCTTTAGTCTTCTTCTTTTGGCTTTGCAGTCTGCAGAACTACTGAATTCCAAGCTGCCTCGGTGGCAGGAGACCTGTGTTGATGCCATCAAAGTGCCAGAGAAAATCATGAATATGATCGAAGAAATAAAGACCCCAGCCTCTACCCCCGTGTCTGGAACTCCTCAGGCTTCACCCATGATCGAGAGAAGCAATGTGGTAGGAGCCAGTTTTCTCTTCCAGATTTCAATCGTGTGTTTCCTAACTTGATCTGGGCCAAATTTGCCTGTGTTGGTGGGAATCACAGGTCCCCCTTTATTACTTCCAGGACCACCTTTTCGCACCTCTATCCCCTTACCTTTAGGGGCGAAGGTAGCTGGGCACATGTTTGTTTTTTGTTGTTGTTAAGGTGGAGTCTTTCTTGCTCTGTCGCCCAGGCTGGAGTACAGTGGAGTGATCTCGGCTCACTGCAACCTCCACCTCCCGGGTTCAAGTGATTCTCCTGCCTCAGCCTCCTCAGTAGCTGGGATTACTGGGGCGCACCACCATGCCTGGCTAATTTTTGTATTATTAGTAGAGACAGGGTTTTGCCATGTTGGTCAGGCTGGTCTCAAACTCCTGACCTCGTGATCTGTCTGCCTCGGCCTCCCAAAGTGCTGGGATTACAGGCATGAGCCACCATAAGTTGGGCACATGTTTTATACTATGTTTGGCGCTATTATCTTTGTTTTGGAAATTTTATCCTTACTGTTTTTTTTTTATTTTTTTTGTTTTTGAGACACAGTCTTGCTCTGTCACTCAGGCTGGAGTGCAATGGCGCAATCTCGGCTCACTGTAGGCTCCGTCTCCTGGGTTCACGCCATTCTGCCTCAGCCTTCCAAGTAGCTGGGACTACAGGCGCCCGCCACCATGCCTGGCTAATTTTTTTGTATTTTTAGTGGAAACCGGGTTTCACCATGTTAGCCAGGATGGTCACGATCTCCTGACCTCGTGATCCGCCCACCTCGGCCTCCCAAAGTGCTGGGGTTACAGGCGTGAGCCACTGCACCCAACCATACTTACTGTTTTTATTTGTAATCATTCCAACTAAGTTTACTCCCAAGTAAGGAAGTATAGGTGTCTCAGAATAAATTAGACACACTCTGATGGCATTCATCACAACGTAAGGCACTTCAGGAAAAAAAATAGGCATCAAAGTATTCACAGTAATGAATTCACACATTTGTAGTTTGCTGATCTTTGAACCTGGGCTCTGTGGAGATTGGGATGCAGCAGGTACTTTGAACACATGGATCCACTCTTTCTGCCCATCTCAAACCCCCTGAAATGTGGCCAGTCATGGTGGCTCACACCTGTAATCCCAGCACTTTGGGAGGCCTAGGCGGGCAGATCACTTGAGGTCAGAAGTTTGAGACCAGCCTGGCTAACATGGTGAAACCTCATCTCTACTAAAAATACAAAAAATAGCCAGATGTGGTAGTGCGTGCCTGTTATCCAGCTACTCAAGAGGCTGAGGCACAAGAATCACTTGAAACTGGGAGGCGGAGGTTGCAGTGAGCTGAGATCGTGCCACTGTACTCCAGCCTGGGCAACACAGCGAGACTCTGTCTCAAAATAAATAAATAAATAGCCTATTATTTAAAAAAAAAAAACAGCCTTGGGAATCTGTGTAATTCCGGTTCTGCACTATACTAATATTGGACTAATAAAGAATTTTTCACAGGTTAGGAAAGATTACGACACCCTTTCTAAATGCTCACCAAAGATGCCCCCCGCTCCTTCAGGCAGAGCATATACCAGTCCCTTGATCGATATGTTTAATAACCCAGCCACGGCTGCCCCGAATTCACAAAGGGTAAATAATTCAACAGGTAAGAGATTCAGTCTGATTTATTTGAAGATACCTTTTACATTTGTTTTAAGATAAGCTGTGAAATAAATATTTTGTATAAATGTATTGCAAGGTTTGGAGGTAAACAAGCAGGTATGGTAGATACATTCAGCCCTGGCTTTGCAGAGCGTGAGTTCAGAAGAAATACAGGACTAGACTGTGAGACGCTCTGATAAGTGATACATTTCTCTGACATTTACCAGTTCTACGCACTGACTGATGTTTATCCAGAGTAAACATACTGTTGAGAATTATCTATTTACAAATAAATGGAGGCCAGGCGCGGTGGCTCACGCCTGTAATCCCAGCCCTTTGGGAGGCCGAGGCAGGTGGATCACCTGAGGTCAGTTGTTTGAGACCAGCCTGGCCAACATGATGAAACCCCATCGCTACTAAAAATACAAAAAATTAGCCAGGCGTGGTGGTGCCTGCCTGTAATCCCAGCTACTCGGGAGGCTGAGGCAGGAGAATCACTTGAACCCAGGAGGCGGAGGTTGCAATGAGCTGAGGTCGCACCACTGCACTCCAGCCTGGGTGACACAGTGACAAAAACAAAAGTTGGAGCCAGTGACTGTCTGCAGATGTTGCCGGCTGCTTCACTGGTCAGACCCCGTCCTTCTGCACAGTCTTTAGCACCCAGGACCCTCGAGACCTGTGCCATGGCCCCAACCCATCCACGTGGGGTGTCTCACAGGCCCCCATGGTGTGAAGGTTGCGGCAGTCAAGCTGTTTGTGAGAGAGAGCCCTGGACCACAGCGTGTGAAGCTATTGGGCAAAAGAACAGAGTTTTCCAGAATGATGACTAGGATGGCCCAGTAGAGGAAGATGATGGTCTGCAGGCATTTGCCTTTGAAGGAAGTCCTGTCAGTTAACTAAAATACACAGTTAAAGTATGTAATACTCTGTGCATCCCAGTGATTCAGATGACTCTGGTTCTTATTGGTAAAAGCAGAATGAAAATTGCTGGTGGAGGATTGGGCGCGGTGACTCATGCCTGTAATCCCAGCACTTTGGGAGGCCAAGGTAGGTGGATCTCGATGTCAGGAGTTCGAGACCAGCCTGGCCAATATGGTGAAACCCTGTCTCTACTAAAAATACAAAAATTAGCCGAGCATGGTGGCACGCGCCTGTAATTCCAGCTGTTCAGGAGGCTGAGGCAAGAGAATTGCTTGAACCCAGCCAGGAGGTAGAGGTTGCAGTGAGCCGAGATCACACCACTGCACTCCAGCCTGGGCGACAGAGCGAGACTCTGTCTCAAAAAAGAAAGAAAACTGCTGGTGGGTTCAACACCAGCGAAGTAGAGAGTGGCAGGTTAAGGGGGCGCAGGTTTATGTTGTAATCATGAAGAATCTGCAAGAATAAAGCAGAAAGAGATCTTGCATTGTTTTAAATTAAAGATGCTTGTTGTATTACTAGCCTGGGAAAATTTGAATGGAAAAAAAAAACGGCCAGAAGCAGTGGCTCAAACCTGTAATCCCAGCACTTTGGGAGGCCAAGCTGGGAGGATCACTTGAGGCCAGGAGGTCAAGACCAGGCTGGGCAACATAGCGAGACACTGTCTCTACAAAAAAATTTAAAAATGAACCTGGCATGGCGGCGTGTGCCTGTAGTCCCAGCTACTTAGGAGGCTGAGGAGGGAGGATCCTTTAAGCCTGGGAAGTCCAGACTACAGTGAGCTGTGATCCTGCCACTGCACTCCAGCCTGGGCAACAGAGTGAGACTCTGTCTCAAATGTATATACATACATATATATATATTTTTTTCTACCTTTTTTCCCCTGGAGTGGAAATATCAGCCTGTGTTTGAATGGAGACATGAACAGCACAGCCTCGTGCTCATGGGTAGAGAGTATGGGACAAACCTGCCCTAGCTGGTTCCTGGCCCAGCCACTTGCCAGCTGTGGGGTCTGTCCTGTGGATAATAAATAGCAGCACCTTCCTCCTGGGAGCCTGGCGGGATGGCAGCTGTGAGACATTGAGATCGTGACTGGCACCTGGTGAGGACTCTGTAAATGGAACTCATCCTCACCTTGTCCTTCTTAGGCCTGGGGGTGAGAAGCTGAGCGGCCAGCATGGCAAGACCAACTGCATTTCCAGCTTTCTTCTTTTCTTTGTGGACATTGGCAGTTGGGTTTGAACTGTGGCCCTAGCCTGCCTTTGCGATTGGAATTGCGAGGGCAGTTTGGCGTTGGAGCGGTTTGTCTCTCTAAGAAGAGCCATCCTGGCTAAAGCAGTGCAGATCAACCCGGCACACACCGCCTTGTCCTTGGGCCTGGAAAAGAGCCCGCAGCCGCAGGGATCCTCTTCTGCACGGTGCATGCCTTCAGGCTGCACGCTGCCTCTGTTTCTCAACAGTCCCTGTTCCTTCTGGGCAATGATCAAAGCGAGGAAATAGGACAGGGTCAGTTTCCGTGGAAGGAGCATTGTTGGCAAGATGAGAACAGGTGGATTCCTGGGGTTTGCTCATTGGAATGTGCCTATTGATTCTCATGCTTTGAAAAGCCATTACTGCTACACTCCCTCCAACAGGTACTTCCGAAGATCCCAGTTTACAGCGATCAGTTTCGGTTGCAACGGGACTGAACATGATGAAGAAGCAGAAAGTGAAGACCATCTTCCCGCACACTGCGGGCTCCAACAAGACCTTACTCAGCTTTGCACAGGGAGATGTCATCACGCTGCTCATCCCCGAGGAGAAGGATGGCTGGCTCTATGGAGAACACGACGTGTCCAAGGCGTAAGTCTGGGCGTGATGGTCCCCGCAGGGCACCAGACGGCCCCTCCCTTCCAGAGCAGCCAAGCTGCAAACTGTCTTCGTGGACATGCTCACATTTTAGCCAAAGTTAAGTTTATGGTTTAGTTCTAGTTTAGTTAACTGAAGTTATTCGATCCCAGGCTATTTTCTGTATGTCTGTGCATGTAGAGATACATTTGGTGCATGCATAGTTATTAGAGCGTATGAAGTCACCTGTCTGAAAGTAGTTTAAACATTCTTTTGTTTTTAAAAAAAATTTAGCATTTGGCCAGTGCAGTGGCTCATGCTTGTAATCCCAGCACTTTGGGAGGCTAAGGCGGGCAGATCACCTGAGGTTAGGAGTTCCAGACCAGCCTGGCCAACATGGTGAAACCCCATCTCTACGAAAAATACAAAAATTAGCCAGGCGTGGTGGCAGGCGCCTGTAATCCCAGCTACTCGGGAGGCTGAGGCAGGATTGAACCTGGGAGGCGCAGGTTGCAGTGAGCCGAGATCTCGCCATTGCACTCCAGCCTTGGGTGACAGAGCAAGACTCTGTCTCAAAAAAATAAATAAAATTAGCATTTGATTTATTGAAGATAATCTGCATATCAGATATACTTTGTTAAGGTTTAGCACGTAGGTAGTTTGAATGCAATCCTCTTAATTTCAGCCATAATTATGTGCACAAGCCTTCCTGTAACTAGCTTGTCAGTTTTCTAGACAGATTGTTCAGATGTATTAAATAAAACCAATATGGAAAAAAAAAGGGGTAATCCAAATCAAATTAATGTTATACATACAACATATATTGCTTTTTAGCTAGGCATGGTGGTGCACACTTCTAGTCACAGCTACTCGGATGCTGAGGCAGGGGGATTGCTTGAGCCCATGAGTTCGAGGCTGCTGTGAGCTATGATCGCACCACTGCACTCCAGCCTGGGCAACAGAGCGAGACCCTGTCTCTATTAAAAAAAAATTGTTAACAATACACATTGTTCAGTGTATGTGAAAGTCCATATTTACCTATTAAAAGCCTTAATTTCATTTCCTCCACACATGGGCGTTTCTGGAGCAGTGGACCTGTCTGCCCTGAGCTCTCACCAGGTTGTTCAGGGAGGTTGCCGTCCACATGTCTACTGCTGATAGGGTCTTTTCTCCCTCTTTGCCGGTAGGAGGGGTTGGTTCCCGTCGTCGTACACGAAGTTGCTGGAAGAAAATGAGACAGAAGCAGTGACCGTGCCCACGCCAAGGTAGCCCTGAACGTGGCTGAGCTCTCCCGGTGACAGAAACCCCTGCCTTGTCGTTTCTGTAACACACCACCATCTAGCTGTGTCGCAGGCCCTGCCCTAAGCCTCAGCTCTCGTGGACTAGTCAGAGATGAGACCGCGGCTCACAGTGCTGTCTGCCGTGATTTCTGTTGTCCCCGAGCTTTGCTGCTGTGAGGAGACCCAGCCCAGGCCACCTACTCCTCGCAGTCCTGCAGCCCTCTGAAACTCCCTCCCTGTGCCCTGCCCCTCCTGGTCGCTAAACCCAAGCCATGTGTTTTCCGTCCTTATCTTACACTTATCTTACCGTTCTTATCTTACAGCCCTTAACGCTGTTGTATGCTTTTTCTGGAATGTTCTCTGGCCCCGGCTGCTTGACCTGTGCTCTGTTTGTCTTCTGCCTCACCAGCTCTTTGCACCCCTCTTCTGCCCATCAATTAAACATCAGTGTTCTTGGGAGTCACCCTGGGTCCATCCTTCCTGCCTGTGCTGGGCCATCTCATCCACTCCCATGGCTTGAAATACACTGATGGGCTTTGCTGAGCACCTCCATGCCGAAAACCCCCAAATCCGTATTCCAGATCAGATACTAACAGTAGTTATTGCCTAGAGACTGTCCAAAGGACTTTGCATTGATTTTTTCACTTAATTCTCACAGCAGACCCATGAGGTGGGCCCCCACTTTAAAAAATGAGGAAACTGGCCGGGCACGGTGGCTTGTGCCTGTAATCCCAGCACTTTGGGAGATGGAGGCAGGAGGATTACTTGAGGCCACAAGTTCAGGACCAGCCTGCGCAACATAGCAAGATCCCCATCTCTACAAAAAAAATAAACAATTAGCCAGGGCATAGTGGCATATGCCCATTGTCCCATCTACTCTGGAGGCTGAGGCGGGAGGATCGAAGTTCACAGAACCCCCATAACCCATCCAGCTAGCCAGGTAGAAGGCCTCCAGGTCCGACGTTGCATTCCCCAGGGTCTGATGCTGTCTGCAATCTTCATCCCTAGCAGAAGAGCTAAAATGCCATTGTGCTGGGGAACAAAAACTGAGTAACACTTTTAGGATGTTAAAATTTCAAGTGTTTACATTTTTTTTTTTTTTAACTCTTAGCTCATTGCTCACTCCAGCTTTTGCTAGTCTCCAATTTCTTTCCTTAGATTAAATCAATCAAGAGCCAGCCCCTAATTTAAAAGGTTTCCTCTCCTTTTGTCATGTCTTTTAAATAATTTTTTGGCCAGGCGCAGGGGCTCATGCCTGTAATCCCAGCACTTTGGGAGGCCGAGGCGGGCAGATCACCTGAGATCAAGAGTTCAAGACTAGCCTGGCCAACATAATGAAACCCCGTCTCTACTAAAAAAAAAAAAAAAAAAAAAAACAAAAAACAAAAAAATTAGCTGGGCGTGGTGGCAGGCGCCTGTAATCCCGGCTACTTGGGAGGCTGAGGCAGGAGAATCACTTGAACCAGGGAGGCGGATGTTGCAGTGAGCCAAGATCGCGCCACTGCACTCCACCCTGGACAATAAGAGGGAAACCCCATCTCAAAAAAAAAAAAAAAAATTTCTTGTGAGGATATGTTTAGAAACCACTAAAAACATTAGTGTTTTAGGCCGGGTGTGGTGGCTCATGCTGTAATCCCAGCTGAGGTCAGGAGTTCAAGACCAGCCTGGCCAATATGGTGAAACCCCATCTCAACTAAAAATACAAAAAATTAGCTGGGCACACTGGCGTGCACCTGTAATCCCAGCTACTCAGGAGGCTGAAGCAGAAGAATCACTTAAACCTAGAAGGCAGAGGTTGCAGTGAGCTGACATCATGTCATTGCACTCCAGCCTGGGTGACAGAGTGAGACTCTGTCGCAAAAAAATTTAAAAAATACAGTGTTTTGTATTGATATATGTACTGTGTGTGTCTGTGTGTGTGAGATCAAGATCAGGTTTTGATTGGTGATGTACTATTACTGTTGTCCTTGGTCAGGGACACAGAGGATGTTTGGGGTTTGGTGGTGAGACATTATCTAACACGTGCTGTGTCCTTTTTGGGTTTGAGCCCCACACCAGTGAGAAGCATCAGCACCGTGAACTTGTCTGAGAATAGCAGTGTTGTCATCCCCCCACCCGACTACTTGGAATGCTTGTCCATGGGGGCAGCTGCCGACAGGAGAGCAGATTCGGCCAGGACGACATCCACCTTTAAGGCCCCAGCGTCCAAGCCCGAGACCGCGGCTCCTGTGAGTAAAGCCGCAGCAGGGCGTCCTGGGTCCTGGACTCGCCATCCCCGACTGGGAGGCGCAGGTCCTGTGGTGACCGCCTTGCTCTGCTCTGTCCCCAGGGGGAGAGTGGTGTCCCCGGGGAGGAGGGAGGAGGGGACTTGCTGCCTTTGATCCTCTAGATTCCCTTCTTTGTCATGCAGCCTTTCACCTCCTTGACTTCAGCCCTTCTTTCATGTGGACTCTATCTTGTCAGTGAGAGTTTACACACAGTCGCCTCTAGTTTGCTAGATTTTATTAGGTTTCTTATCTTTCCTGCCTGGCTGCAGTCTTCTAGCCATTGAATCACCATTTTCTTTCATTTTCTTATTTTCTGAAGAGAGGCTTACATTAAAAGTGGTAACTTCATCTTTCTTCAGAAAGTCTTTACTCCCAGGCACTGTGGATGTTATCTTTAACCCTAAACCTTCTAGGCACGGCGTTTAGGGTTAACGATAACCCTGAAAGATAACCCTAACGTGCCTCTGGGGGCCCAGCATGGAGGTCCTGGGCTCCCGGAACCAGTTCATCCATTCCCGCCACCGCACAGAGGCCCTGGTGTGGGCTCTCCAGCTAGAGGAGAACAAGGCCGGACTCTGCCTGCCTCTTCAGAACTTCTGTTCTAGTGATAGGAAGCAGACAATAAAAAATAAACAAAAACACTGACACTAGAAGCCATGCAGAGAATAACACAAGGTGAGGTGATGGCGTGGTGGGGAGCAGCGCGGCTGGACATCACTCCCGGGCTGGGTTGGCTGAGGTTAGTGCGCCCTGGTGTGAGACCTGTGGGTGAAGGGGAGGAGGCTGGGTGGTGGTGTCTGCACCCCTCGCTCCAGGAGCTGTCTTGCTTTGGGGCGAAGGAGCCAGGCCCCTATACCTTGTGTCCGGGGCCTTAGTTCAGCTGTGAGTGGTGCCCAGGTGTGGAGTGTCTTGATGATATGAAACGGATGTGCTTCTAAGATGTGCCTGCCCCAGACCTACGCGTGAGCCTTGAGGAGTCTGGGAACGTAGACCTGCCTCATTGTAGACTGCATTGGCATGATTTGGTTTAGGAATGCTAGCTTTTGAAACTTCATTCAAAATGTCTTTGAAGCCAGGTGCAATGGCTCATGTCTGTGTAATTCCAACACTTTGGGAGGCCAAGGCAGGAGGATCACTTGAGCCCAGGAGTTTTAGACCAAACTGGCAACATAGCAAAACCCTATGTAGACAAAAAATATAAAAAATTAGCCAGGTACGGTGGCACATGTCTGTAGTCCCAGCTGTTCAGGAGGCTGTGGTGGGAGGATAGCCTGAACCCAGAAGTTCGAGGCTGCTGTGAACTGTGATCATACCACTGCATGCCAGCCTGGATGACAGAGACCCTGTCTCATAAAAAAAGAAAAATGGTTTACAGTGTAGTTGTTTGAATCTGGATCCAAATCAGCTCCATACATTATAATTGGTGGATAGGGCTCGTGAGGCCTTTTCTAGCTACAGGTCCCCCCTCTGCCTCTTGTCCTTAGCAGTCTCTTTGTAGAAGAACCAGTCATTTGTCCTGGAGGGTGTCCCCCATCTGGATTTTGCTGTTGGTGTCCTTTCTGCGTTCCCCCGTGTCTCCTGTATTTCTGTAAATTGGTAGTTAGACCTCAGGCCCTGCTCAGAGTCTGTTGCTGTTTTGCTTGTTTGACTGTTGTGTTTTGCTGGAGCATTTCACCAGTGAGGAGGCACGTGTGGACGTCCATCTCTTTTTGTGATGTTAGTAGCTGTTGATGTTCGCCTAGCCTGCTGCTTTATTGAGGTTGGATAATGCCTTTTAAGGTAAAAGAATCTTGCCCCCAAAAATCACAGCTCTGGCATTGTAAGTGAGAGCACTGACACTTTGGCCAACCCTGGATAGTCTTCAGTGTTAGAAAATGAAAACGTGTCATTGTCAGCGTATTTATCGTGTGGATAAAGCTTGGTGAAGAAAGTACTGTCGCCGCCATTCTTACTGCAGGGAATTGGATAAATGGAAGAAGCCTGGTTGTAAGTATCAGTGTACTCAGTAATGACAGATTCCTCCTTACTTAGCACTGGGGAGTGGAAAGGTGACCTGGCTTCATTCTTAAACCTCTTCGTTGGCTGGATCATGACATTCTGTCAGTGTCGGGAGACTGCCAGCGCACGGTGCACGCCTCTTACCGGCTTCCCACTTCCTCGGGCAGCAGAGCTTTAAGCACACCACTGTCCCCGAGGGCCCTGACCTGGAGGGTTGGGCTGAGCTGGGGCTGCCTGCAGGGGGTGACCTGGTGCCCTGCAGCCTCCACCAGCGCAGCTGGCCCATGTGGACACCACCACCACCCTTCCCACCTGAGCTGGTATTCTCAGCTCACACCCGCGAGCTTCAGGCTGTCCCCTCCACGGGAGAGATTCCCAGTCATCCAGTCCCCGGCTGCCTCCACAGGCCGCACCTGCCAAAGCTCACTTCCCCAAGACCACCCTCCCTCTAACCCCCACCACACACACAGACGCGCGTGTGCACACACACACACACCATCATCTTCAGGTTCCCCCTTTCTGTCTTGAAAGCTAGAAGGCTTGGCCGGGCACGGTGGCTCACGCCTGTAATCCCAGCACTTTGGGAGTCCGAAGTGGGCGGATCACGAGGTCAGGAGATCAAAACCATCCTGGCTAACACGGTGAAATCCCGTCTCCACTTAAAATATATATATATATATATACCAAAAAAAAAAAGCTAGAAGGCTTTCAGGCTTTCATTTTAGCAGCCTTTCATTTCTGGTTTCATCCAAGAACATTCAAAAGCCCCAGATACCTCATGAGAATGCCCTCCTTATGCGGATTCTAATCATTTCAGTTGTCATTGATTCTGCACGTGTTTGAGTGCTGACTGCTGATTAACTTCATGATCACTGAAATCGATGAGAAGGCCCATCCAGCACAGGGGTGGAGGTGACGCCCACAGGGAGGTCATGTTTATCACTGATGGCAGCTGAGATTTCCTGGGCCGCAGACCTCTGAGGCCAGCAGACTTCTGTCAACACAGTCACATGGCAGTGAGGGTATGGCTGTGGGGGAGGGGTTTTGTGGACAGAGATGAGACCGTCCCATCAGCATTCATCCAGCCGGCCTCTACTGGGCGGCCTAGAGCCAAGCCCTCAGGACACAAAGAGGAATGAGACCCACGCAGGGGTGGAGTCCAGGGAGCGCTCGATGCATGGGGTGAGGACAAGGGGAGAGGCCAGGGTTCCTGGGACGCATCAGGGGAGGCTTCTAGGAGGAAAGCGTCGGAGCCAGGCTCTGAGGCACGAGCTTCGGCAAAAACACAAGGCCTGGGCGTTGCGGTGACTTGGGGGGCTCAAGAGCTGGGGTCGGGCACCAGCCAGAGAGGCAGGATGAGCCTCCACACTGCTGCCTGGCTTCTGGCTGGCCTGCGAGGGGAGTGGTGCCGCCAGCCTGTGGTGCCCTCCTGTCTTTCGTACCTTCACACCCTTCGCACCTCACGGTGGTGCTTCCTGAGCAGTGCCTGTGCTGGGACCTCCTGGGGAGGTAGAGGGATAGCGGGGCCTCGTGAAATGGAGAAAGGGAGGCACAGAAGAATGGCAGCCGCTGTCCAAGGCCCACGGCAGGTTAGAAACCCAGTTCTGAAATCTCAGCCAGCAGCTTCTTGGCCTCCACATCAGTACGCTTTCCTGATAAGACATGGCGCGGTCATCTGCATGCTGTTATTCTAACATCCTATGCAGACTGCAAAAGCATTGCGGGGAGGGACTGCAACTGTCACCCGCATCCAGCCTCTGTAGACAGCACTCCTGTTAGACAAGTGACCACGTTTCATCCAGACCAATCCCAGTCAGGAGTTCCGGGAGCGCAGCTGTGGGAAACAGCCTACAGACGCATTGGTGCTGCTCCAAGGGCGGGAGCAGGGAGCAGGGGGAATGGCTGTGTGTTCTGGGCCTCCTGGCCTCACAGCCTCCTCACCAGCAGGGATCATGGATCAAGCATGTGTGTGTCAGAGACGAGCAGCACAGATGGAAATGTTCCCTGCCCAGTCCAGCAGCCACAGGGCACACAGGGCAGCAGAGCACTTGAAAAACGGATGGTGCAACGAAGGAACTAGACGTTTACATTTGTTTGTTTGTTTATTTATTTATTTATGAGACGGAGTCTTGCTCTGTCGCCCAGGCTGGAGTGCAGTGGCATGATCTTGGTTCACAGCAACCTCCACTTCCCGGGCTCAAGCAATTCTCCCGCCTCAGCCTCCTAAGTAGCTGGGACTACAGGTGCATGCCACCACACCCAGCTAATTTTTGTATTTTTAGTAGATACGGGGTTTCACCATGTTGGCCAGGCTGGTCTCGAACTCCTGATCTCAGGTGATCCTCCCGCCTCAGCCTCCCAAAGTGCTGGGAATATAGGCGTGAGTCACTGCGCCCGGCAAATTTTATTTTAAGTAGCCATATACAGCTAGTGGTTGCCACATTGGACAGTTAGGAATAGATCATACAAAATAGTACAGTGTTCCATTTAAAAACTTGCTCTAGCTGGGCACGGTGGCTCACACCTGTGATCCCTGCTACTTGGAAGGCCAAGGTGGTAGAATCACTTGAGCCCAGGAACTCAAGTCCAGCCTGAGCGACAGAGAAAGGACCCATCTCTCTCTATATATAAAAATAAGCTTGATCCATAACGTGGTGGTCAAGAAGCAGGTACCATGGCTGAGGCTCAAAAGATGGCAGCCTGCCGGGCACGGTGGCTCACACCTGTAATCCCAGCACTTTGGGAGGCCGAGGCGGGAGGATCATTTGAGCCTAGGAGTTCCAGATCAGCCTGGGCAATATAGTGGGACCTCGTCTATATAGAAAATTAACTAAAAAACCAGTCAGGCGTGGTGGCTCACACCTGTAATCCCAGCACCTTGGGAGGCCGAGGCAGGTGGATCACCTGATGTCAAGAGTTTGAGACCAGCCTGGCCAACATGGTGAAACCCTGTCTCTACTAAAAATACAAAAAAAATTAGCTGGGCATGGTGGCAGGCGCCTGTAATCCCAGCTACTCGGGAGGCTGAGGCAGGAGAATCAGTTGAACCCGGGAGGCAGAGGTTGCAGTGAGCCAAGATCACGCCACTGCACTCCAGCCTGGGCAACAAGAGGAAAACTCCATCTCAAAAAAAACACCAAAAAACAGAAAATTAAAAAGTCAGGCATGGTGGCATATACCTGTAGTCTACTCAGGAGCCTGAGGTGAGAGGATCGATTGAGCCCAGGAGGTCGAGGCTGCAGTGAGCTGTCATTGTGCCACTGCACTGCAGCCTGGGTGACAGAGCAAGACCTGTCTCAAAAACAATGGCAGCCTTTGCCACCTGAAAGCCCCGGGGGCCTCTGGCACCCTTGAGGGCTGGGGACACAGTCCTGGAATTATGTGTCTCAGCCTTTTTATGTCCACCTCGATTAATAACTTAGCTTTCCCTAACCAAAATGCCTAAACCAGCTGATGATGTTGGGGAAAGCTGTGTTATATCCCAGGCCAAACACTGGGATCCATGAGAGCTGGGAAAGCATCCTCATGTTTTTTTTGTTTTGTTTTGAGACAGAGTCTTGCTCTGTCACCCAGGCTGGAGTGCAGTGGCACCATCTCGGCTCACTGCAAACTCCACCTCCTGGGTTCACGCCATTCTCCTGCCTCAGCCTCCCGAGTAGCTGGGACTACAGGCGCCCGCCACTACGCCTGGCTAAGTTTTTTGTATTTTTATTAGAGATGGGGTTTCACCGTGTTAGCCAGGATGATCTCGATCTCCTGACCTTGTGATCCGTCTGCCTCGGCCTCCCAAAGTGCTGGGATTACAGGCGTGAGCCACCGCACCCAGCCCCTAATGTTTTTTAAAAGCATTTTTATACATGGTTTTATATCCAGCTCCTGTGAGTTACAGGTCGTGTGACACTGGAATGCTTAACCTTAGGTGTCCATAGAGCATCCCACTCACCTGGGAAGCCCCACAGCTGTCCTGTGACGGCGCGTCTTATTAGACGATCTGAGAGCAGGGGCTTCTCCCAAGGGGGCAGGGGAGACTTGCCAGGACTCAAGCTAGGGGTTTGCCACAGGTCACGTGATATCTCTTTAAGTTTTTATTAACAATGATAAGATCCTGTTATGTTGCCCAGGCTGGTCTTGAACTCCTGACCTCAGGCAGTCCTCCTGCCTTGGCCTCCCAAGGTGCTGGGATTACAGGCGTGAGCCACTGTGCCCGGCCTGAATTTTTTTAATTTACGTATTTTCTACTGCAGTTCCAAGTGAGGAAGTATTGGCTCCCTCCCAACATTTTAAATAAGCACACAGCTCTCCTTTGTAAAAGCAAGCCTGCATTTCACAGCGCGCCCTCACGTGGCGTGAGCCCCTCCTGAGAGCCGCCAGTGCCCCCGGTGCAGGCCTGCACGCATCTTCGTTTGCGTCACAACATGGGTGCCTCGGCTTCCAAAAAGATCCCAGTGGCTCGGAGCAGTTGGCTTTTCCCTGTTTGGGCCTCAGCGTCCCCCTTTTGAGAATAAAGGGGTTGAACTAGATCAGAAGTGAACTGGAAGACAAGTCCGGGCCACAGACGAGGACTGGAATGGGTTTTCACACTGAAGACAGGTGTCAGTGAGGGCCACTTTTGTTGCGAGTAACTGGCCTCCAGCTGGCTTGGAAATGTTCCTTAGGGCTGTTCCATTCTGCTCAGGAGCAAGGCCACCTGCACTGGCCCTGTTCACTCTGTCCTGCCCTCTGCAGTGAGGGCCACCAGCATTCTCTGCTGCAGCCCAAGGGAAAAAGTGGTGCTCGGTGCTCCGAGCTGCCCGGGACCCCTCTGAAAGCCAGGTCAACTAGTCCCCCAACCTGGGCGCATGGCTATGTGGTGGGCACCCTGGAAGCTCCGTACAGTCGGGAAGGGGGTGTGGACCAGGCATCGAGTGATGGGTGGTCAGCCAGTGTCCACACACACATTTTGGATTCTTGGATTCTTGCGGGAGATGGGGGATCACAAGATGTGTCCACCCTGGCCGCAGTCAGCCGCTTGGTGGCCTCGCTCTATAGTCTCCAGTTGCAGCCCAACCACTCTCGTAGTGGCTGCTGGTTTCGTGGCCTTAGTGGTCTCCTGTCTTGTTGGGGACACAGGACATGCAGCAGGCAGTGCCCGCGGGGCCCTGGGTGCCGGTGGCAGTGCTGCCTGTGGCTTGGAGGTGTCCCCCACTGCAAGGAAAGGGAACAGAGAGGAGGGCAGGTCTATGTTCAGTGACCACCACAGTGGGCTGAGTGTGAGGTATGCGGTTGAGACAGGGACGCAGGGAGGATGCTGTGAGACCCTTGGGGGCCACCAGATAAGAGGCACCGTATGTGCCAAGCCCCTGCCCTCGTGGGTCTCCTTTGCAGTGGAGAGGGAGGCAGAGAGGCTCCTGCCAGCCTTGTATCCAGAAGGAGTGCTGGGGTTTCAGGTCCCTGAGAAACATGCAGATGTTAAACGGGAAATCTGCCTGAACACGTCCAATATGTTTTTGTTGTTTCTGTTTTTGTTTTGTTGGTTTTTTGTTTTTTTGTTTTTTACAGATGGAGTCTCACTCTGTTGCCCAGGCTGGAGTGCAGTGGTGCAATCTCAGCTCACCACAACCTCTGCCTCCCTGTTCAAGCGATTCTCCTGCCTCAGCCTCCTGAGTAGCTGGGATTACCGGCGTGCGCCACCACACCCAGCTAATTTTGTATTTTTAGTAGAGACGGGGTTTCTCCATGTTGGTCAGGCTGGTCTCGAACTCCCGACCTCAGGTGATGCGCCCACCTCAGCCTCCCAAAGTGCTGGGATTACAGGCATGAGCCACTGTCCCTGGCCCAATACATATTTTAAAGTAAACATTGTATTACAGAATACCACAGACAGAAAAGCACACAATGAATTTTCATGATGTGACTCCGTATACCCAGCAGGACGTTCCCGGCCCCCACGATCACCCAGCATGGCCCACCTCCGTGACCATCCCTTCTCCAACACCAGACTCCCCAAGCCCTGGCACAGAGATGGCTGTCTGGGGTGGCCCCGTAGGGACAGTCGCTCAGTGCTGTGTGGTGACCTGCTGTCTGCACAGAAGCTGGTTCTGACTCTCCCATTGACGGGCGTCTGGTGTTTCTGGTCTGGGCTGTTTCTCCAGGGCTGCCCGAGTGTCTCGGTGCCCATGGGTGTGTGCCCTGCTTGTTCCTACAGGGAGCAGGATTGTTGGGCCCCAGGCATGCGTGCACGGGGTTGGCCCAACACTGAGTGGCTTCCAGCTGTCATCTTAAGCGTTCTTTTTCCTCCTCAGTCCTCCTGGCAGGAGTCGGTGCTTCTTGCTGCGTTCTTTGTGAGGATTTACTGGGACCTTTTTAAAGTCCCGTGGGGGCCCAGGAGGCTCTGAACAAGCTCCGGGGTGTGCTTGGGGTGGGTGGAGGGTGTTTCTGGTTTCTAGTTTGGGAAGCGCCTTCCCCTAGCATAAGCTGCACATGTGAGGGAGATGGTGTTGGCCCCAAGGAGTCAGATGACTCCAGTGGGAGAGGAGGGGAGGGCAGAGTGGAGTCAGGATTGGCATGAATCGTGCCTCAGGCCCAGCCATGGCCCTTCTGCAACAGAGTCCACGAATGCCAGCACCGTGAGCACATGCGACAGGCACCCTGGTGCATTTAAATCATAAATTAGCCCATCATAATCGCAGAGCATGCACCTCACACCAGCAAGGACTTCCTCTGAGGCCTGCTAGGGAAGCGTTGAGTGCCCCGCAGGAAGTCACTTTTGCGGCCATTTAAAGCCCTGTAGGATGTGCAAGGCAGGTCAGTGGCTTTGTGCTCCAGTGATGAAAAGCAGACAATGAATTGGCCCCAGATGCCCTGCCCAGGGGATCTGGGGAGGGTGGGACAGGTCTCAGGCACAGCCCTGGGGCTCCCAAACTGCCTTCCGTCTCCACAGCCTGTACACCCAACATGCAGTGGAGGCCATCCCAGAGGAGGCCTGGCCTGGGCCTCCATGTCCAGGAACGGCCTGCGCTCTAGCGCTGGCATCGGGCATGAGAGGGCCTCCCCTAAGTCAATCTTGAGAGGTCTGCGTGCTCCCTGAGACCCCCTGGGGGTGCTGGGACGCTTCCTGGGGCTGTCAGGACGGTGTGGCCGGGCCACAGGCTGGTTACACAGTGTTACACTGCCCTCTCCTGGGCGGCTGCCTGACTCCACTCCCTGTGTGCAGGCAGGAAAGAGTGTTAAACCCTCCAGGCTTTTTGGAGTGAGGGAAAGAAGGCGCGCACACACCTGGCCCTGGCTCGCCCTGGGTGGCAGGTGCTGGAAGGAGTTGCTCCCCACCCGAGCCCTGTAGGCACCTTTGCACTTTGGTTCCACCTTCTCTTTTCCTCAGTTTGAGCTTCCTACAAGATCCCTGGCTCTAGCAGCCCCAAAGCCAGTGGGGTTTTATTTTTATTTCCTGTTTCTTTGTCATGCTTCAGGAGTCAGCTCCCAAAAAGCACATCCCAGTCACTAGATTCTGCGTTCAAAAGACCGTGGCTGAGGACCTGTGGGATCTCTGTTTGCCCCGAGTCTGAGAGGTTCTGTTTGGCACAAATGTTTTCTTCTGTGATGTCGCTCTGTTGCTCAAGCTTCATTTTGTGAAACTGTTTCCGAGTTTAGCAGGCGGCTCGTTCACATGTGAGCTCCCGACATCACGGGTGACCCGCGCAGGCAGTGCCATGCTCTGTTCACGCTCTGACACCTGGGAGGGCCGCTACCGCCTTTCAGAGCGTTTTCTGTTCTTGCCTTATTCTTCCAAGTGAATTTAGACAGTCTAACAGATTGGGACAGGGCACTTTTAAACATCCCTTATGTTTTAGATGTCTTTACCTTCGGGTCTTATTAAAAATCTCCAATACAGGCCAGTCGCAGCGGCTCACACCTGTAGTCCCAGCACATTAGGAGGCCAAGGTGGAAGGATCACGTGAGCTCAGGAGTTCGAAACCAGCCTGGGCAACATAGCAAATCCCCATCTCTACCTAAAATAATTTTTAAAAGACCAATTCTAAGCCCTCCATAAACTTCTTTATCTTTCTCACAGAACGATGCCAACGGGACTGCAAAGCCGCCTTTTCTCAGGTAGGCGTGGCTTCCTACGTGAGCCTCAGTGTGTGACATTGCTCTTCCCTGTAGTGTCCCCCGGAAGGGCCTTCGGTGCCCAGCCCAGGGGGTCCAGCCTGAGAAAGGCCTCGGCCTGTGGAGCCATGGGGGAGTGCAGCCCCCTGCTCGCTTTACCAACTACTTTAGACCACGCTGGGAGCAGGGCTTCCCCACCCCAGAGTGACCCCCATGTCACACACAATGCAGGACTAAAGAGGTGTGGGTGCCCACGTCCAGAACGCTTAAAACCTGGGATCGTTCTGCAGCAGGTGGTATGGTGTAGGAATCATCACTGAACAAAACTTTCACACTCAGAAAACGCTGCTGGGACCTGTACAAGCTGGGGAGGTGGTCAGCCGCCCAGTCTCACAGGGCAAGAACGGGTTATTAGCACTGTTAAAATCCAGTTTCCCTCGTAGAGCAGAAGTTCTGAAAGATTTTTCTTATCCCCTGCAGCGGAGAAAACCCCTTTGCCACTGTGAAACTCCGCCCGACTGTGACGAATGATCGCTCGGCACCCATCATTCGATGAGAGGACAGCCAAGGACTCTCCCGGGCCTCTCCGGTTCTCCCTTGCGGAATGATGGGCGCATCCTGTCTGCCACGTGCTGACGGTCGGGAAGCTTCAGTGGAGAGGCCTAACTCTAATGTCGCCTGCTTAAGCAAATCATGCTTCTCTGTTTCACGTAGTTGGGTTGACAAGTTTCTGCCTTTAAGATAAATGAGTAATAGTCTAATGACCAGCTCAGCCATTTAAAATATTTTCTTCCTATTCTGTTCAAGAAACAGTAAACTTGGTTTCAATCTTTACTGTATTTTTTAAATGAATTTTTTCCTTAATAACAGCCAGAATAAGGGATAGTCTATGCTTTCAGGACTGGCTTTCTGCACCTGATATGAATGAGACCAGTTTTATTTTATAAAGCATGTGCTCTTAATAGCATTATGTCTAAAGAAGATATCACGTAAGTTTGCATCTTAGCATGCAAATCATAATTTTAAGCAATATAAATTATGAAAATACTATATAAATGTAATTTAACTTAAAATGTTTAAGTGTAGAGCTTCCAGAGATGGAGAAACCCCCACCCTCCCTCCAACCACGCCAGAGCTGTAGAGTGCTAAGACGCTTTGCCTGCCCTTATCACAGCCACACGTAGCACTCGACGAAATCTCCTCCGAGAGCTCCTTTTCTTGGTAGTTAGGAGTCGCCAACGGATTCGCTGCACACGGCCCATCCAGGACACAGGCCTGGGCGTCGGAGTCACGGCTCCTTGTGTTCTCACTCAGCTAGTTGGCCAAAGCTGCATCCATTACCAGTACACTCAAACTGCTCGGGGTCCTGGTTTCTCCGTGTTTGAATCAGGTACAGACTCTCAAAGGATACGTGTAAAGCCAGGATGACCTCTGGTGCCTGGAGAAGGGCGGGTTTTTCAGCCTAGCAGCCATGATGCCCTCGGAACCTGGCCCTATGGTATGGATGTGAGGACTACGCACTGGCTGCCCTGAGCCCGGGGCTGGAAATCATCTTTGGCTGCCAAGGATCTGGACCTATTTTGGAGTGGAGAGTCATGGTTAAAATTCCCAGCCCGGCCCAGGTACGGGAATCCCAGCATTTTGTGAGGCCGAGGCAGGGGGATCACCTGAGGTCAGGAGTCTCTACTAAAAATACAAAAATTAGACAGGTGTGGTGGTGGGCGCCACTCAGGAGGCTGAGGCAGGAGAATCACTTGAACCCGGGAGGCAGAGGTTGCAGTGAGCCAGATCATGCTGCTGCACTCCAGCCCGGCCGCTCACCGTGTGTGTTGCTGGGTGCTGGGGCTGTGACTTATCCCCTCTCCTTTAGCCTTGCCATAAGTGTAGTATCCTATGAGGCTGAGATTGGGAAAGGTTACATGCAGGTAAGCCAGTGGACGTGGCCGATGCTTCAGGCTCCTTCCAGCCAGGTCCAGCAGTGTTACCATCTGCTTCTCCTGGGAGGACAAACCAGGCACCCCCACCATGAAGGGGCTGCAGGCACCATGAACTATGTTAACAACCCCAGTCTGTACTACAGAAAGGGCTGCAGCCACATGAGAATTCAGTCCACACAAGCCCCATGGCCGTGTTCCCCACTTCAGCCACAGGGCTCAGGGAGCCCCATCTGGCGCTAAGGGGAACTGCTGGGGTGTGGGTGACACCTGGCCTTTGGCGTTCTGCCTTGGGGAGGTTTCTGGTTTTGTTACGGGGTGGAAGAATAGGACCTGGGGGTCTCGGATGCAACCTGCAGACCCCGTGGCTCACCCAACCCCAGGTTCTGCCTCCCAGACCAGAACGGGCATGGCCTGGTCCTTGGCACCGAGGTGCCTGCTCTGTAAATATCAAGGGATTACAACTTTAATAATAAAGCAGAACTTGAAAACATTTTCTTGAGCTGTAAGCGCCTGCTGAATACAACTGTGGTCAGGACTGGCCGGGGGAGCGATGGGGGTGTCGTTCCAGTCTTTCCTGGGTCTCTGAAAGCACCGAGTAAGCAGCACCAGGTCAACAATGGTATGAATCTCATTTATTGAAAACATTATTTCTCACCTTTCTCAAATTGAAGACTGCAAAAAATAAAAGCAGTGCTTTATTGAGTTGTCATGAGCCTCGGGCGGGAGCAGCAGCACTGCCTCTCCACGCTCCGGGAAACCGCAGCTGGCGTGTGCCACATCGGTCCCACCTCGCTTTACAAAACAGTCCTGAAGCTTAATCAAATAAAATTATTGTACACAACATTTACATTAGAAAAAGAGAGCTGGGTGTAGGAAAGCCGGGCCTGGTGTTCCCTTTAAGCGAAGGTGGCTCCACAGTTGGGGCATCGTCGCTTCCTCAAGGCAAAACAGCAAATGAACCCAAAGGGGAAGAGGATGATGGCCAGGAAGATGCCCAGGAAGGTGAAGCAGTCCTCCAGCACCCCAACCCTGCAGCAGAGACGGGCAGAGAGGGTGGCACCGTAAGGACCCGGGCAGCCAGAACCCTCACCCCTGCCACCCTTGCATTCAATAACCAACCAGTGGCCATGAGTCACATGGGGACCTCTGGCGAGTGACAGAAAACAGCCCCCCACCCCACCACCCAGCTACAGCCCACTGGCCTGGAGAGCCCCAAGAACCAGCTGCACGTACCCGTTCATGGAATGGCCATAGTTATTTAATCACTACATGTAACATTCAAAGAAAACGGGAAGAATAAAACAGTTGAAAGGACTCATCAGTTAACCTTGAAAGGCAAGGCAGGGTGTGTGGTGGCTCACGCCTGTAATCCCAGCACTGTGGGAGGCGGAGGCGGGTGGATCACCTGAGTTCAGGAGTTCAAGACCAGCCTGGCCAACACGGTGAAACCCTGTCTCTACTAACAATACAAAAATCTGCCAGGCGTGGTGGCACATGCCTGTAGTCCCGGCTACTTGGGAGGCTGAGGCAGGAGAATCGCTTGAATCCAGGAGGCAGAGGTTGCAGTGAGCCGAGATTAAGCCACTACACTCCAGGCTGGGCGACAGAGCGAGACTCCATCTCAAAAAGTAAAACCTTGAGAGATGGCCGGGCGCGGTGGCTCACGCCTGTAATCCCAGCACTTTGGGAGGCCGAGGCGGGTGGATCATGAGGTCAGGAGATCGAGACCATCCTGGCTAACAAGGTGAAACCCCGTCTCTACTAAAAATACAAAAAATTAGCCGGGCGCGGTGGCGGGCGCCTGTAGTCCCAGCTACTCAGGAGGCTGAGGCAGGAGAATGGCGTGAACCCAGGAAGCGGAGCTTGCAGTGAGCCGAGATTGTGCCACTGCAGTCCACAGTCCGGCCTGGGCGACAGAGCGAGACTCCGTCTCAAAAAAAAAAAAAAAAAAAAAAAAACAACCTTGAGAGGCATGATCATTTTGGTGCCACAAGCCACATACATCTGCTCTTAGAAAAGGAGCAACTAGCAGCTTAGTGATCCAGTCAGGTTTGGGCTTTTATTCGATTTCCGTTCCTTTGGTAGCGGGGGTGGGTTAATGGGAGACTACAGTCGGCCATGTTCACACAATGTCTGAAGGCCACTTATTTTGAGAAATGTGATCTCAAAGCCGCCTCTTCAACAAAGTTCAATGTTTGTAACAGACTAAAGACACCTGCAGGCCATCCCTCAAATCCTGCGCCAGTGAGCCTAGGTTCAGTGACCTGAAATCATCATCGAACCCAACTGTCAGTTTCAGAGGCCCTAAAAGTAGGAAGCCAGAAGCCTAGTGCTCAGCTCAGCTCCTTAGGCTATTTCTGGAAAGTTCTGGACACAGCTGAAATTAACCACACTAGCCAGCTCAGCCCAAATGAGAAAAGCTTTGCTCCCACCAGACAGGCAGACCCCAACGGGCTCCTTCTGGGCCTCCTGGGGGCCCAAACCCCCCATCCAGCCAGTGCTGGAGTGAGTGGACAGAAAAACACAACAGGGTGGGGCTGTCTGATAGATGATGGGACCTGGTGCTTAGGGGGGAAGGGGAGCCTACAGCAAGGCAGTGCAGCCGCCTGCCTGCGACAGGGAAGCATGACTACCTGTGCCTTGCTAAGGGGAGAAAACTTGGCCATCTGGGGGACCCTACTCCCATCCCAGCCCCCTGGATGTTTCCAGCTGCTTCCTGGGGGTCTGGACTCATGAGGGCCACTGCCCCCACCCCTGCTGGGCAAAGCAGGCTGGGGAGCCCAAACCCCACCCACAGAACCTGTTCCCTGCTTCTCCGGGGATTATGGAAAAATAAACCAGAATATTCTGAAGTCGGGCTTTCCACTGCTGAAAGAAAAAGTTGCAAAGTGCAGTGGCTCATGCTTGTCATCCCAGCACTTTGGGAGGCCGAGGTGGGTGGATGACCTGAGGTCAGGAGTTCGAGACCAGCCTGGTCAACATGGTGAAACCGCGTTTCTACTAAAAATACAGAAATTAGCTGGGCGTAGTGGTGGGTACCTGTAATCCCAGCTACTCGGGAAGCTGAAACAGAATTGCTTGAACCTGGGAGGCAGAGGTTGCAGTGAGCTGAGATCGTGCCACTGCACTCTAGCCTGGGCAACAAGAGCAAAACTCCGTCTCAAAAAAAAAGAAAAAAGAAAAAAACTTCATGCCCACCTGCCTCCCTCTAGCCTACTCAGGGAGGTCCCTTCAGCAATCTCCAGTGGAGTAGGACACCGTGGCTCACGCCTGCAACTGCAGCACTTTGGGAAGCTGAGGCGGATCGCTTAAAGCCAGCAGTTCAAAACCAGCCTGGGCAACAAAGACCCCTCCCTACAAAAATTTAAAATTAGCCAGACACAGTGGTATGCATTTGGAAAAGGGGGATTGTTCAGCCGATTTTGGGAAACTTTTCTCCTACAGTCCCTATGTCCATTCGTTCTCAAAAGGCTCTGAGAAGTCCTGCAGCACTCTTATACCCAGTGTTTCCCAAACTCACACAACGCCACCTGTCTGTGTGGAGGGGCTGAGCTGGGCTGCAGGGCACACCATGAAGCTCCAAGGCAAAGCCAAGCAGAAGACCAGAGTCTGCCAGGAAAGTTTCTACTTCCTGTGTGGGCTTTTACAAATGTGTCCCCTATTTAAGCCCCAGAAGGTCGTCAGGCCACCACACTTGTTCAGCCTTGCCCAGGGCTGCCCCTGCCAGTCCAGACTGGGCAGGACACCTCCGCCCAGCCCTGCCGACTGCAGCACGCCCTGCCTGGCTCCAGGACCTTCTCCCCCAGGTGCCACAGCTCCCAAGACCACACAGTCGAGGTGGGGGAGCCTCGGGAAGGCCAAGCACCAGCTGTGTCCCCACAGATGGCCATGACAGGTTCCGGGGGAGCTGGAGGGAGCCAGTGGCCTCAGGCCTCTCAGGGGAGCTTCCTCTTCCCTTTTCTTCCTGGCATCTGCGGTCAAATCCCAGGAAACACACTGGCTGTATATTCTGGTTAGAAAATGTCCCATGAAAAAGCAGACAGGGAGGGTGAACCGGCTGAGAAATCCTTCTAGGGGAGAGGCCCGCACCCCCCAGAGTGGTCCCCAGTGTCACCGGGCACCCCTCAGCCAGCCCAATCAGTGACCATCTGAGCACCTCACCTCAGGACCAAAGCTGCTGAGAGGCAGGGCTGCAGGCAGAGCTGACTGCCTGTTCAAAGGCCCAGAGATGCCTGGGAGGAGGCTGGGCAAAGGGGTGTGGGTGGGGAGCCCGGCTGGAGCCCGCCCATGGGGCGCAGCAGAGACATCCAGGTGTGATGGTGCAATGGGCAGGGGTGGGGCTTCACAGTGCTGCCTGGGGGCCCCGCCCACACCAGCCTCCCACCTGCAGCTGCTGCTCGCGCCTGGGACCCAAGTCCAAGAGCAGCAGCGCCCTCCTGCTTCCTAATTCTCCATCCAGACCCAAAACCCACCTACTCTGTCAGAGCTGAGAAGTGCAGGAAGGCTGCTCACTCTTGCTGCACTCCCACTGCCACGGGCCAGGGCGCCGGCCCACCTGAGTGCTAGGATTTCCAGCAGCGCCAGCCCAGCCCACCCAGGCCCCGGCGCCTCTCTTCCCAGCACCTTGATTCCCAGCCCCGGGGCTGCAAGCAGCACAATGGGCCAAACCTAATGTGCTGACCCCACGGCCTCCCAGGCACAGGGAAACACCCTCCTTCCAACCCACGGAATTTCTGTCCAGACCCATCCCATCCTCAGCCAGAGCACAGGGCTGGGCCGTTTGTGCCACCCTGGCCTGAGCCCCTCAGTCCAGGGACCCACTCCGGCACCTCCTAAGGCAGCCTCCCTATCCCTGGTCCATTCAACCCCCACCCTCCTGCCCACCTCCACACCGCTTAAAGAGAGGGTAGGAGGGCCAAGGCCCCCGGGTCTCTGGGGAGAGCGAGCCTGTTTCCCTGCAGTGCCGCCCGGGAGCTGGACAGATCCAGCTGTCCCAGGAGGCTCAGGCCTCTGCCAGCAACAGAAGGCTGTGATCCAGACCTGAGAACCCCGGCCCGGGAGAACGAGCACTTGGGCCTGAGAGCTCTGAACGGGCTTCGAAGGCCCGAGGGCTGGCCAGGAGAGTTCGGCCCTCACCTCTGGCTCTGGGGTCAGCCTAAGGGTGGGCAGCATTCCCTACCCCCCAGGATTCCACAGCCGTACCCACAACTTCAAACGCCAAGAGGCGCTGAAGGCAGAACTCGCTGTCACTTGACAGCAAACTCACCTGGCAGCAACATGTGACCTGAACTGGTGTGTGGCTATTTATAGTCGTAATTTATCCTACTTTATCTGAATATTCATGTCTTGCTGCAGAAATATTAAAGTTTTAACTGCAGTACTGCCCTAGACCTCAAAAGGAGTGTTGGCATCATTTACTTTTTAAAACCCCAAATCTTCTGAACTGAGAAACACAATCCAGATTCTAGGTCAAGACTCCCCAAGCTGCAGGGCAGTCCTGTCCCCAGCACTGGAGGGCAGAAGGGGAACCCCTGCCCCGGAACACCTGCGGTCCCCACAGCCTCGAGTTCTCCTCCCTTCCAAACCCGGAAGAGCCCACCTGAGTTGGTGAGGTGGGTTTCAACCTTCTCAACCGCTCTGGTCCTGACCGGCTCTCTCTAGCCGCCCCTCCCCCATTCTTGTGCAATAAGCCACGCGGCCAGGGAGGGACCATGGCCACTGGCGAAATTAGGGAACTGACTAATTCCAAGAGCACTCCCTTAAGGCGACTCCAGTCCTGCAGTGAAAGTGGCCAGTCATGCCACTGTCATCCACTCAGAGCTGGGCCCTGGGACAGTAGAGGCCGCGGGGCTCCCGCCTCACCAAGGACAGAGGGGGCTGGCAGCAGGGCTCTGAGCTGCCCAGGGAGAAGGCCATCCTCGCCCTCCCTGTGTCCCCACAGGCACTTTACAGGAGGCTGAAGCTGAGGGTGTGTCCAGGGACTCCCAGCCGGGAAAGGCGTGGCTGGGATCTGAACCCAGATGGGCTCCCCAGTCACGAGCACCCATCCTGCAGGTCCCAGTTCTCCCTCCCAGGTAGCCCCCAAAGGCAGTGTCACAGGGGGCTGGCCCTAGGGCACCAAGCTGCCCTCTGCGCACATGGTGGCCTCAAGGCACCATCCACGCCCAGGAACAACCCCAGACCACCACCCCGCTGGAAGGCCAGGCCTCGCCAGGAAAAGGGGAGACGCAGGGCTTCCTCAGAGGGCTGAGGGCCTGAAGCCATGCTCAGCGCAGGGCGAGGTGGCCCCAAAGCAGCTCCAGCCAGGCTCTGGCTGTCCCAGGGTGTCCACTCCCCACAGGGGAGCTGCCTGGCTTAGGGACAGTTCACCAGGACCTCCCAGGGCCATTCCCAGCAAACCCAATGGCCAGGGCCAGCCCTCGCCTCCCCTGTGGAAGAAAGGCCTGAGAAGGTGCCCGGAGACTCTGCCTGCCACCACACCCACCCCAGCAGTGCCACTTGGCCCACAGCTGGGGGCTGAGCCCAAGGTCAGAGACTCAGGAGGCCACTGAGGGAGCACTTGGGCACCGAGGTCTGCAGCCCTGCCCAGCAAGCAGCCCAGGCCCAAGCTCCGGCCCATCCGCTGCCCCCACACCTCAGGCCAAGACTGTC
Source organism: Homo sapiens (assembly GCF_000001405.40). NCBI lineage: Eukaryota > Metazoa > Chordata > Mammalia > Primates > Hominidae > Homo > Homo sapiens. The sequence continues at coordinate 98,285,488 of NC_000007.14, read as the reverse complement.
AGGACGGGGACAGCCCACAGGCCATACATATGGGCAGAGCCATCCCAGCTAACTCAGCCACTTCCTCAACCAGGGGAGCTCTGGCTTCCAGGTCACAGGTGGTAGGAGGGAGCAGCCCCTCCACCTCCATCGTCTGGAAGCCCAAGGCTGTCACAGGCTCCTTCCCCTCCAGCCCCTCCCGGGCTCCACAGTCACCACCCCGTGCCCTCCACAGCCCACCTCTGCCCCCCAAGGGCCGTGGCAGCCTCCACGCTGGCCACTGAGCCGCACCCTGGACCTCTGAGCGACATCCGCCCTCCACAGCTGTTCTTTTCACCTTCCCTAGGAAAAGTGAAATCCTTTCCAGGATTTCCTCTCTCTCTGGTCACCCCCAAAACTAAATACCCAGTGACAGCCCAGCCAGTACTCATGGGGGCCTGGTGCAGGCCAGGGGCCTTCCCCACTCCTGCCTTCCCCGCTTGCAGGACGCAGGCTCTGCTCCAGCCCAGGAGAGCCTCCCAGCGCAGCTACCTCATCCTGCACCTAGGTACAACCACACCCCCAGCAAAGAATGACTGGCCTCCCTGGGCAAGGGAGAACCTGGCTTCAGGGAGGCCCAGGCCTTGGGCAGGGCAAGGCAGGGCAGGGCAGGGCAGGGCAGGGGTGAAGCAGGAGGGTGGGAGGAGCAGGGACATATCCGCCGCCAGGCTGCGGAAATGCTTCCTCATAAACGGCTAGAAAGGGAAGATGGAGTCAGGCAGCTTCAGCGAAGGCCTGGCCAGGGCAGCAGAGCCACAAGGGACACGGGCTTCTCTGGCCAAGCCTCACTCAGAAGGACTAACAGATGTGTGACTTGGGCAAATTCCTGCCATGCCACCAGGCAGGGAGGGGGACAGAGCCCGGCGGGCTGGACCTGGGGCAGGAGGAAGTGTGGTCATGTGAGTGGTATCCTGTCTCCCGGGCCAAGACGCCAGGCAGCGGCCAGACGTGTGTGTTGTGTGTTCAGGGAACCGTCTCCACTCTCCTCGCAGAGAGGAGTGGCCCAGGGACCACACACCCCACCCACGCCAGCAGCAGAGCACCCAGCCCCCTGCTCGCCCTCTGGCTGCCACAGGGCACAGGGGCCCATCCCATGCCCAATGCAGCTGCAGAGGCAAAGCCTCGGGGAGCCAGAGCCACTCTCCAGCATCCAAGGCACCACGGGCAGAGCGCAGGGACGTGTGTGCTGGGAGGGCCTGGCTGCAACCCAAGGGGTCGCCGCAGGATCCAAGAGTGCTCTGGTCCCAACTTAAAGGACTAAGGACCCCCCAACCTTGTCCAGAGAGGACCCAGCCTCCACCCTGCCTGGTGCAGCTGCCCAGAGGCAGAGAGCAGTGATTAAGTAACCAAGGACCCCACACCCCTACAGCCTCTGAGGGCCGAGCCCAAGATCCTTCCCAGCAGAGCACAGTCTGACCCCGCTCCAGGTTCTGCATAACTGGAGAGCACCTCCAGGTTAGCGGAAGCCATGGGCCTCCGCAGGGACACAGTTCCCACCTAGGGAAGGGGAAGTGGCAGGGCCAGTGCCCCCATACCGACAGCAACTGCGCCACCACCTCGGCGCCCCCCAGCCCTGGGATATCTGGCCCATCCCTCGCTGCCGCTGGTCTCTCACCTCTCCAAGTTCAGGGGTTTGGGCAGAGAAGAGCTAAGAGCTTCAGAGACACCTCACCAGACACCCCCACGTCCCAGGTGGGGAAACAAGCCCCGCTGTTCCTGGCAGGACCAGGACCGGAACCCGGCTCCTCCGGCAGGCTGGACACCGGGATGGCAGGGCATGGACAATGACACGCAGGCAGACCCTCTGCTCCTCCATGTTCTGAGTCCCCTCCATGTGCCTTCACACTCACACAGCTCTGCCAGCCCCCCAACCCGGTGCAGCTCCGGGAGAGAACTATGTCCCGAAGGCAGCCAGCGCCCCACCCTGCCCTCCCTCCACCTTCACTCCAAAGGCTAATGTTTCTGCTGGGTGGTGACCAACTGTGTCAAACTGACGTCCCAGTTAGGGTTTGTCACGGGGTCCCTGTGCAGGCAAGCAGCCACAACCTGCCCCCGAGGTCCCAGCCTCTTGTCCCCACCTCTAGGTTGCCCTTCCTTCCCAGGAAGTTGCCTGCTAAGGCTCTGAAATCACTCACTTCCCCGTGACTCCACTCTAGGCCTTACACACACACTTTTGAAATCAAGTCTAAGTCCAAACCAGGGTTTCTTAATTCCATCTCAGTGGCTTCAACTTCCTCCTCCGAGACACAGCTGAAAACCCTGTCCCGGCCAACTCTGCCCCTACTTTCTAAGCAATCTGAACACCCCCAGCTGCCAAGGGTTTATATTTAATTAATCCTTATTTAAATGTGAATCCTCAAAACCTCCACAAAACAAGCCTCTAGCTGCACCTCGGGGCCCTATAAAAACCAAAAAGCGTGTGCAGGTCCAATGCGAGGATATGAAAAAAATAACTCCTGCCTCAAAGAAACACGGGGTTTCCATCCTGGTCCAGCTCGTGGAAGAGCGTTTCAAGCCAACTTTGGATAAAGCAGCTCTTACGGCCGTCGCTTCTCCCACTGAGGTCTGTCCTGCTGGTGCACTTACTTCCAAATGCCCCTTCCGGGAAAATGAAACCTTCCACCACCTTCGACGATCAACTGCAGAGTAAACTTGCGGAAAGTGAAGGAAAAAGCAGACACCTGATTCCTTGCAAGTCCCAGAACAAAGACGAAAGGACCACGAGTCCCGTTGTTACCATTTCTACATCCCAATCACTTGGGGTGCAATGCCCCAAGATCTAGGAAAAGGAATCCACCCTTTTGCCCCCACAAAATGTGTTCAGAGCCAAGGGTGAGCGGACCCGCACTCTCCCACACCGCATTCGGGCAGCCTGTCTGTCCCTCCCATAAAGGGCTCTGGTCAAGATCCAAGTCAAGCCGGACCCACTCCCACAAGCAGAGCTGTGAGGTCCTGGGGGTTAGGGCGGGGGTCCTCAGAGCTTCCAGGGCCAGTCCCCAGGCTGCAGACCCACTCACCTGCAGACAGGACAGCCTCCTACGACCACGATAGAGTTGGCAGGATAGCGGGTGACGGTCCGGCTGTGGATGTTGTAGACCCTGGGATGGTGGGTGGGTATCCCTGTGGGCGGGAAAGCAGGTCATTAGGGTGCAGGGAGGAGAAATCGGACCGCCACGGGGACTACTCATCCTGTCCCCTCAACCTCCACCCCGCTAAAAAAGCCCCCGGTCTTTTCCACCCTCGGGACGGCCACCGCGGGCCTGATTCGGCGCTAATCTGCCAACAGCGAGCGCCTCGTGACACAAAGTTCATCTGGGGCAGGGATCCGGCCCCGCCGGGTTACGACGGGCCCGAGGACTAGAGCCCCGGGGGGGAGGCTGGCCCTCGGCGGCGCCGGGTCCCGAAGCCAGCCCGGGGACCTCCAGCTCCAGGAAGGACCCCCGGGCGGGCCCCACCCGCCTCCGGACCCACGTCCCCCGACCGGGCTTGCCACCTCGGAAGCCGCCGGCGGGGAAAGTTGGTTACGGGCCCACCTGTGACGAGGTAGGGGTAGGGCGGCGGCGGGGGCGCGGCGGGGATGGCGCCGTAGCCGTGCGGGCCGCACGCGTAGTCGCCCTGGCCGGCCTCCAGGTTGTAGGCGGGCGGCCGCTCCTGCAGCAGCGGCTTGTGGTCCATGGCGGCCCGGCCGCGCCCGCCGCTCCGGCCCGGCTCGGCTCGGTCGGCCCCGGCGGGGGACGCGGCGGCGGCGGCGGGGACGCGGCGGACCGGGTGGCTCGGGCCCCTCTGAGGCAGACGCGGGGCGGGGCGGGGCGGGCGCGAGCCGCGGGCTTCCCCCGCCCTCCCGGGCCCAGTCACAAGACCGGGGTCACGTGGGCGGCGGGAGGCGGGGCTCGGGGGCGGGGCCGGCGGGGCGTCTTAAAGGGGCCGCGCCCTCCCGAAGCCGCCCCGCCGGCGGCGCCTCTGCACTCCGCCCCGCCCCGCCGCCGCTGCTCTCTAGACCTCCCGTGGCGGGGAGACCCCCCCCCCCGCCCATCCCCCACGACGACCCAGAGACGCCCCATAGGGTCATGACCTTTAGGGCTCGCGGATGCACCCCCACCTCCCCCTACGCCCCGATCTCCCAGGCCGGCCGAGGTCCCCCTACCGGTGGAGGAGGGGGAGGGCGGGGCCTGAGAGGGGGCGGGGCCGGGTGGGTCCCAGGCCGCCCCAACGCCAGCCCTCTGCCCCTATGATCGCCAGCGCTTCCAGCAATACAAAGGGCACACCCGGGTGTGCACCTCAGCTGCGGCCTGCGCGGTGCTCAGCTGCGGCGCATTCCCTCCGTTTGCCTTTTTTTGGACAATTAGGTGATTGACGGGGGTAGTAGCCAGTGCTTACAAATAACTCCCCCGTTTGGGGACAAAACTATAAATACTGGGCACCTGCCGCGTCTCCTCAGTTTCCCTAATCTTCAGGCAGCCCTGCCAGGTGTTTTGCTTACCCCTGGAGGACAACACGGGATCGGGCTCAGAAGGGGGAGGGATTTGGCTGTGGCAGGTGCGGGTCAGAGCCCGTATCTAAACCTGGGTGTTTTCTGGCCTCGGGGACTGCGTCAGGCGCCCTCGTTGAAACATTTCCTCATACAAGGCTTCACGGGTTGGCCAGGACAACTTTAAAACGAACGATTGGAACGTTCAGGATTGCTTGCGTCCTTAGCGCCTCTGCACCTTTTCAGGGGCACCTGTATCCGTTACTGTATTCTGTCTCCAGTTTTCTCACCTGCATTTTGATATCACCTGCACTGTAGCTCTGGGACGACTACAGCTCTTCTCGAACCGCGCCTTTTTAATTTTTAAAAAAAAAATTTGTAGGGGGTGCTGGGGGGGCTCTCTTGCTCTGTCACCCAGGCTGCAGTAGAGTGACACAGTCATTGCTCAATGCAGTCTCGACCTCCTGGGCCCAAGCCATCCTCCCACCTCAGCCTCCTCAGTAGCTGGGGACCACAGGCACACGCCACCATGCCCAGCTAATTTTTAAAAATTTTTGTATGGGATCTTGCTATGTGCCCAGGCCAGTCTCAAACTGCTGGCCTCAACCAATCCTTTTGCATCAGCCTCCCAAAGTGCTGGAATTACAGATGTCAGCCCCTGCACCCGGCCTTATTTTTATTTTTTAATAAGGGATCATCATTCACATGTATATATACACACACATACATATATATATATATATATATATATATATCTTTTTTTTTTTTTTTTTTAACAGAGTCTCACTCTGTGGCCCAGGCTGGAGTGCAGTGATGCAACCCTGGCTCACTGCAACGTCGACCTCCGGGGCTCAAGTGATCCTCCCATCTCAGCTTCCTAAGTAGCTGGGGACTACAGGTGCACGCCACAGTGCCCAGCTAATTTTTTTTTATATTTTGTAGAGATGGGGTGTTGCTATGTTTCCCAGGCTGGTCTCAAACTCCTGGGCTCAAGTGATCCTCCTCACTCAGCCTCACAAGGTGCTGGGATTATAGGCATGAGCCACCAAGCCCACCTGACCATCATATTTCTTTATCACAAGACCAGCTCTTCGAAGCCCATTCCCATCGATCTTGTACCTGCTGTCCTAGTCATCGTACCCACAGTCCTCGAAAAAGGAACTGAGGGGTGGTCCAGGTACACTAGGGAACTGAGGGGTGGCCCCTGGCACTGATGAACAGCCAGATCAAGAGTGAAGACTGGGCCGGGCGTGGTGGCTCATGCCTGTAATCCCAGCACTTTGGGAGGGTGAGGTGGGTGGATCACTTGAGGTCAGGAGTTCGAGACCAGCTGGCCAACATGGTGAAACCCCGTCTCTACTAAAAATACAAAAATTGGCTGGCCATGGTGGGGGGTACCTGTAATCCCAGCTACTCTGGAGGCTGAGGCACGAGGATCACATGAACCTGGGAGGCGGAGGTTACAGTGAGCCAAGATCGTGCCATTGCACTCCAGCCTGGATGACAGAGTGAGATTCCATCTCAAAAAAAAAAAAAAAAAAAAGAGTGGAGACTGGCCAGGAGTGGCCAAGGGCTTTGGAGCCAGTAGAGGCTCTGGTAGGCAGTGAGGAGGCCATTGTTCCTGGGGGCAGCTGTCCGGGCACCACAGGGTGACAGCCCCTGGCCAGAGAATACTGGGGTGCAGCCTCGTGCCTCATCAACCATGAAGAGATGTGGCTCACGTCAACCCTCCTAACACTTGGTCAACAGGGGCCACCTGGATTCTCCTCCCAGCCTTGCAAACTGCTGAGGAGTAGCAGCTGCAGGCCCGGTGATCTCCTTTCCTATCAGATCAACAAAAGCTGGCACATTTCCCTTCCATTTCATGGCTAATTGTCCCTTCACTGCTTGCCTGCATTTCCTGATAAACCCTACAAAATCCACAGCTCCTGGTCCCCTTCTCTTCCAACAATTGTTTTTGCCCCAGCAATGCCCCTGGGTTTGGAACTCCAAGTCTGTGAATGCTGGGGTGTGACTTTGGGATGTCCCGGCATGGCTTTGACCAGTGCTGCCCTCAGACACAAAGCAGTTCCTGCCCCTCCAAACGTGCAGTGTGCGGAAGATGGAACTGCTATCCCGGGCTCTGTGTGCAAGCCCTGGGGGGCCAAAGAGGACGATGACAGGGACACAAGTAGCAGACAGGGAGCCAGATAGTAACTGTGGTGGAGGGAGCTTTGTATGGCAAGAGGGTTGGAGTTGCCACACACAGGGTGGTGATGAGCCTGGGTGCCTGGAGAGTTCCAGGGCCACAGCCTGGCTTGGAAGGCCAGTGGCGAGTCAGCCCCAGGGACCAGTGGCAGAGCATTCCAGGCAGAGTGAACTGCAATCCCAAAGAGTATACAGTGGCCCATTATATGCCAGGACTTGTCACTTGGTGTGGCCAGAGCCCTGGAAGAGTCTCTAGAAGGCAGAGGTGGGGCTGGCCAGGGGAGGCGGTGCCGGGCATTGGAGTTGGGATAGCATCCTGTAAGAGCCTATTGGGGAACTGCGTAGAGTTTGAACAGGGGAGTGTGAGCATCGGATTTCAGTATTAGAAAAATGTCTTTGAAGGGAGGGGCACAGTAGCTCACACCTGTCATCCCAGCACTTTTGGAGGCCAAGGTGGGAGGATCACTACAGGCCAGGAGTTCGAGACCAGCATGAGCATCATAGCGAGACCCCCCCCAGCCCCCCGCCCATCTCTACAGAAAATTTAAAAATTAACCGAATGTGGTGGCACGTGCCTGTAGTCCCAGCTACTCGGGAGGCTGAGGCACGAGAATCACTTAAACCCAGGAGACAGGTTGCAGTGAGCCAAGATTGTGCCATTGCACTCCAGCCTGGCGACAGAGCGAGACCCTGCCTCAAAAAAAAAAAAAGGAAACTGAAGCACAGAGGGCCTCCATACGTTTCCAAAGCCTCCCAACCAGTAGAGGTGGGTCTTCAAACAACAGATGTACCACACTTAATCCTAGGATCACCCCACACTGCCTCCATGCCAAGTATACAAGAGAAGTATGCCGCCTCTTGCTGGATTTTTTGTTTGGTTTGGTTTTGGTTTGTTTTTTTGTTTGTTTGTTTTTTGAGATGGAGTTTTGCTGTCATTGCCCCGGCTGGAGTGCAGTTGCACGATCTCGGCTCACCAGGCTCACCTCCTGGGTTCAAGCGATTCTCCTGCCTCAGCCTCCCGAGTAGCTGGGATTACAGGCATGTGCCACCACACCCAGCTAATTTTTTCATATCTTTAGTAGAGATGGGGTTTCTCCATGTTGGTTAAGCTGGTCTCGAGCCCCCAACCACAGGTGATCCGCCTGCCTCGGCCTCCCAAAGTGCTGGGATTATAGGTGTGAGCCACCATGCCCGGCCTCTTGTTGGTTTTAAGAGAAATGCATTCCTATTGAAGAAGACTTGGAATACATAAATATGCATATGTTTCGGATTTCCGAAATTCTGCTACAGAGCAGAATACAAAATACAAAATACAGAATACAGAATACAAATACAAAAGTGGATACAGTCCACTTTTGGATTTCTTTCTTGTTTTTTTTTAGAGACAGGGTCTTGCTCTGCTTGCCTGGCTGGAGTGCAGTGGTGCATTCATAGCTCACTGCAGCCTCAACCTCCCGGGCTCAGTGACCTCCCACCTCAGCCTCCCCAAGTAGCTGGGGCTACAGGTGTGCCATCACCACACCTGGCTAATTTTTTTAATTTTTTTTGAGATGGGGTCTCCCTCTGTTGCCCAGGCTGGTCTTGAATTCCTAGCCTCAAGCGATCCTCCTACCTTGGCCTCCCAGAGTGCTGGGATTACTGGAGTGAGCCATTGCGCCCGGCCTTTTATCCACTTTTGTATTATGCAGACATTTATTTTTATTTTTATTTTTTTGAGACAGAGTCTTACTCTGTCACCCAGGCTGGAATGCAGCAGCATGATCTTCGCTCACTGCAATCTCCACCTCCCAGGTTCAAGTGATTCTCCTGCTGCCTCAGCCTCCCCAGTAGCTGGGATTACAGGCGTGCGCCACCACACCCAGCTAATTTTTGTATTTTTCGTAGAGATGGGGTTTCACCATGTTGGCCAGGCTGGTCTCGAACTCTTGACCTCGGCCTTCCCAAAGTGCCGGGATTACAGGTGTGACCCACCGCACCAGGCCTCATGCAGACATTTAAAAAATTATTTTTAGTACTGCCATTCCCATACAAATGAATATATGTGATTTTTGTTGCTCTGTGTGAATGTTTTCACTGGGGGCACTCAGCAAGGAGACCTGGCTGGACAGTGGAGGTCCTGGCCCCCGCCTGGGGGATGAGGGAGATGTCTTGTTCCGGAAACCTTGACAGTCACCATTGACTCTCCTCCAGTGTACCAGAGGAAACCTAAACCAGGATCATGCCCTTTCTTGAATGCTCTTGAGAAAGGCTGATAATCCACCACGTGAGCTTCTGGGAACACACAAGCAGCAAGTATCTCACATGGTAGGAACTAAGACCAAAAAGAAAAAGAAGAAAAAAAAAAAGGAAGCAAATATAATTTCAAAATCCAAGGCTGTAACCAATTACAAGCGCCTGGCTCAGGGAAGGCCCTTGCCAAATATTTGCTGAATATTTGCTAAATGTTTATCTTAGATAAACACTTTAAGTTCCGAGTTTTATGGTTAGCCTGAGGTAAGCCTTATGGTTCTACTAGGCAAATATTTCTAAATATTTTATAACTTAAGCACATAAGTTTTTACATGACACAGACAAAAATTTCTCTTGCTGAGTGACAAGACAAATTATATCACAAGTCATGTGTGTATATACATATATATATCCTCTATGTATATATTTACATATTTAAATCTATATTACACTCTTCATTCTCTAATGGGGTAGTCCTCACTACATAAATCTGCCTGGTAGAACATACTTAACTCACACAATGAAACATAGAAAGCATTTCTTTTGTAATCCACATTTTCAAGCACTTGCCACAAGAACAATGAACAAATTCTGGGCCAGATATGGTGGCTCATGCCTGTAATCCCAATACTTTGGGAGGCCAAGGCAGGAGGATTGCTTGAGGCCAGGAGTTCGAGACCAGCCTGAGCAACATAGTGAGACTCTGCCCGCTACAAAAAATTTAAAAAGAAAGCACGGTGGTTCACACCTTTAATCCCAGCACTTTCGGAGGCCAAGGTGGGCGGATCACTTGAGGTCACGAGTTCGAGACCAGCCTGGCCAACATGGTGAAACCCTGTCTCTATTAAAAATACAAAAATTAGGGCTGGGCACAGTGGCTCACACCTGTAATCCCAGCACTTTGGGAGGCCGAGGCAGGCGGATCACGAGGTCAGGAGTTTGAGACCAGCCTGGCCAGCATGGTGAAACCCTGTCTCTAATAAAAATACAAAAAAAAAAATTAGCCAGGCGTGGTGGCACACACCTGTAGTCCCAGCTACCCCAGGAGGCTGAGGCAGGAGAATTGTTTGAACCTGGCAGGCAGAGTTTACAGTGAGCCGAGATTGCGCCACTGCACTCCAGCCTGGGCGACAGAATGAGACTCCATCTCAAAAAAAATAAAATAAAATAAAAAATACAAAAATACAAAAATTAGCTGGGAGTGGTGGCGCATGCCTGTAATCCCAGCTTCTCGGGAGGCTGAGGCAGGAGAATGGCTTGATCCTGGGAGATGGAGGTTGAAAAAAAAAATTAACAAAAGCACAAATTCGGAATGGCAAGTTTCTGGCTAAGTAAGTTTCCAACCTGCTGTACTCAAAACCCCTGAGAAGCAGCTGCAGGATTAACAGATGCACCGATACCTCCAGGCTAAAACGTGGATGTGAACACATTTCTGGCAACACACGCAGAATTCAGTGGACACCTTTTATCTCTGCTATATTCAGAGTAACAGAACAGGGTGCTTTTCCAAGACTTCTTGATCGGTGGCAGGGGGGAATCCAATAAAACATCAGCCAAATTGGGATGTCGAGGGCAGTGAGTTGTGATTGAAAGAACAAGTGGTTCTCATTCAGACTGTTCTATCTCCTCCCTGGGGGACAGGCGCAAGTCAGTTAACCTCAGGGAGCCAGGCTTTCTAAAACCAGAGATCTCAAGCATCCTTTCCGAATTATAATCATATCTATTCTTTGGGGGCATTTTTATCTCATCACCTTCCAGAATGACAGAGTCATCATTTCTAAATGCAACTTCAAGGCCAGGTACAGTGGCTCATGCCTGTAATCCCAGCACTCTGGGAGGCCAAGGAGGGAGGAAAGCTTGAGCCCAGGAGTTCAAGACCAGCCTGGGCAACAAGATCTGTACAAAAAATAAAAACCAGGCTAGGCGTGGTGGCTCACACCTGTAATCCCAGCACTTTGGGAAGCCGAGCAGGTTAGGAGTTCAAGACCAGCCTGGCCAACATGGTGAAACCCCATCTCTACTAAAAATACAAAAATTAACCAGGTATGGTGGTGGACACCTGTAATCCCACCTACTTGGGAGGTTGAAACAGGAGAATTGCGTGAACCCACGGGGCAGAGGTTGCAGTGAGCCAAGATCACGCCACTGCACTCCAGCCTGGGTGACAGAGCAAGACTCTGTCTCAAAAATAAGAAATAAAAATAAAAACTTAGCCGGGCATGGTGGCATGCACCTGTAGTCCCAGCTACTCAGGAAGCTGAGGCGGGAGGATCACCTGAGCCCAGGAGGTGGAGGCCGAAGTGAGCTATGATTGCACCAGCGCACTCCAGCCTGGGTGACAGAGCAAGACCCTGTTTCTAAATAAATAAATAAATGGAACTTCAAGGGAGAAAGCAGCAGCATGTCCCACTGCTCTCTTTTGTGTTGAGTACTGTGTTGTGATTCATACTTCCATATTCTGTCGTCACGATTAACCCCAGAGCCATGATGGACAGATATTATCAGCCCCGATTTAGAAATGAGGAAGGAGCTGGGCTGTTCATTGAGCAGGTCCCCTGAGCCCTTTGTGGGCCAGGACACTGCCTTATCTCTGTATCCACAATGCCTCAGACGTAGTAGGAGCTCACTAAATGTTTAATTGAACTCAAGGTCATGTGCCCACAATCATTTGACTGCTAAGCGGGGATTCAAACCTAGGTTCTCCCACCTCCAGACTCAAGCTCTGGTTCCTAGACCATAAAGGGCATCCTCTCTTCAGGCTAGAAATATGTCTGGATCATGACATAAGGCCATTCCTCATTTTAAAAAATCAAGAGCAGCCAGGTGCGGTGGCTCACTCCTGTAATCCCAGAACTTTGGGAAGCTGAGGCGGGAGGATCGCTTGAGCTCAGGAGTTCGAGACCAGCCTGGGCAACATAGCAAGACCCCATCTCTTTTTTTTTTTTTTTTTTGGAGATGGAGTCTCACTCTGTCGCCCAGGCTGGAGTGCAATGGTGCAACCTCGGCTCACTACACCTTGAACTCCGTCTCCTGGGTTCAAGCGATTCTCCTGCCTCAGCCTCCTGAGTAGCTGGGATTACAGGCACCCACCACCACGCTTGGCTAATTTCTGTATTTTTAGTAGAGATGGGGTTTCACCATGTTGGCCAGGCTGGTCTTGAACTCCTGACCTCAGGTAATCCAACTGCGTTGACCTACCAAAGTGCTGGGATTACAGGCGTGAGCCACCGAGCCTGGCCCCCATCTCTACTTTTAAAAATAAAGAAAAAAGAAAAATAAACTGAAGCCAGGCACGGTGGCTCATGCTTGTAATCCCAGCAATTTGGGATGCCGAGGTGGGCAGATCATGAGGTCAGGAGTTCCAGACCAGCCTGGCCAACACAGTGAAACCCCGTCTCTACTAAAAATACAAAAATTAGCTGGGCATGGTGGCAGACACCTGTAATCCCAGCTACTTGGGAGGCTGAGGCAGGAGAATCACTTGAACCCGGGAGGCGGAGGTTGCAGTGGGCTGAGATCACACCACTGCACTCCAGCCTGGACGATAGAGCTAGACTCTGTCTCCACAAATTAAAAAATTTTAAAAAATAAAATAGGCCGGGCACGGTGGCTCACGCCTGTAATCCCAGCACTTTGGGAGGCCGAGGCGGGCGAATCACAAGGTCAGGAGATCGAAACCATCCTGGCTAACATGGTGAAACCCCGTCTCTACTAAAAATACAAAAAATTAGCTGGGTTCGGTCGTGGGCGCCTGTAGTCCCAGCTACTCGAGAGGCTGAGGCAGGAGAATGGCGTGAACCTGGGAGGCAGAGCTTGCAGTGAGCAGAGACTGCGCCACTGCACTCCAGACTGGGCGACAGAGCAAGACTCCGTCTCATAAGTAAAATAAAATAAAATGAATAAAATAAAATAAAATATAAAATAAAATAAATAAAAAATAAATAAATAAAATAAAATAAATTGAGAGTGCCTAGATGGCAGGGAAGATGCCAGTGGAGATGACTGATGCTCTTTGGGATCTCACTCGATAGTTTTGGAGATTACAAGTGTCATTCAGGGAAAATGAGGCACCTCTGTGACTTTTCTATTCTCTATCAGATGACAATGAAAGTTATCCTGATTGTTGGCCAGGCGAGGTGGTTCACGCCTGTAATTCCATCACTTTGGGAGGCCGAGGCGGGTGGATCACCTGAGGTCAGGAGTTCAAGACCATCCTCGCCAACATGGTGAAACCCCGTCTCTACTAAAAATACAAATCTTAACTGGGTGTGGTGGTGCACACCTGCAATCCCAGCTGCTCAGGAGGCTGAGGCAGGAGAATTGCTTAAACCTGGGAGGTGGAGGTTGCAGTGAGCCAAGGTTGCGCAACTGTACTCCAGCCTGGATGACAGAATAAGACTCCATCTCAGAAAAAAAAAAAAAAAAAAGTTATCCAGACTGACAGAAGGTCTTTCCCTATGGGATCTGTTAGCTGTGGTTTAATTTATGATGGCATGTTCTCACTTATATGTGGGAGCTAAACGATGGGTACCCACAGACATACTGAGTGGCAGAATAGACATTGGAGACTGAAACAGGTGGGAGGGCAAGAGGGGGGTGAGGTCTGAAAATCACCTGTTGGGTACAATGTTCACGATTCTGGTGACAGGTGCACTGAAGGCACAGACTTCAGCACTATGCAATACCTGCATGTAAGGCATCTGTCCTTGTGGCTGGCTGGCTGCAGTGTCTCACGCCTGTAATCCCAGCATTTTGGGAGGCCAAGACAGGAGGATTGCTTGAGCCCAGGAGTTTGAGACCAGCCTGGGCAACACAGCAAGACCCCGTCTCTACAAAAAAAAATTTAAAAATTAGCCAGTCATGATGATGTGCACCTGTGTTCCCAGCTACGCAGGGTGCTGAGGTGTTTTAAGGCTGGGAGGTTGAGGCTGCCGTGATTTGTGATCGCGCCACTGCACTCCAGCCTGGGCAGCAGAGCGAGACTCCATCTCAAAAAAAAAAAAAGCCGGGCACGGTGGCTCATGCCTGTAATTCCCTCACTTTGGGAGCCAAGGTGGGCAGATCATTTGAGGTCAGGAGTTCAAGACCAGCCTGGCCAACATGGTAAACCCCATCTATACTAAAAATACAAAAACTAGCTGGGTGTGGTGGTACACACCTGTAATCCCAGCTACTTGTTAGACTGAAACAGGAGAATTGCTTGAACCCAGGAGGCGGAGATTGCAGTGAGCCGAGATCGCGCCACTGCACTCTAGCCTTGGGCAACAGAGCGAGACTCCGTTTCAAAAAAAAAAAAGAAAAAGAAAAAAGAAATCTGTACTTGAACCCCCTGAATACATAAACATTATAAAATTGAAATAATCTATGATGGTAGAGAGAATTGAAGTGGAATTTGAGGCAAACTTGTCCCCAGTCACCAGAGCTCTGAGTTTGGTGACAGGAGGCATCATCTTTGGTTAGGATGAAGCAGAAAAATGACCACTCCCAGGTTGAGATGGAGAGGTCACTTCCTTTGGTCAGTAAGGGAGCGGCTTTCAGGACTCACCCCCAAGCAATGATGTTTGGGGGGACCCTCTCAGGGCCTATAAGGATCTGGGTCTCCTCCTCTCCGTCATTATTCTATTTTGCCAGCAGTGCCCAGAACTCGGTTCTGCTTCAAGCCGCAGAGTGGAGGAGAAGGCACCGAGGCTTGGAGATGCTGTTTCATAGAGTCTTGGCTTTGCAGCACATGTGAGCTTGGGGGGCAGCAGTGGGGAGGGGTTCTCCAAAGAAGAGAGGCTGCCATGGGCGAAGAGACAGAGGGAAGGAGCCCCCAGGGCCTCCCGATGCCACTGTGGCAGGAGGGTCCCCTCTCCACTCCCCCATCCCTTCTCCCCAGCAGGTAGCCCCCATCCTCTCTCTGGCCCAGCCCACCCTCCACTGCCTCCCTGGTCTGTTCCGGGGGCTCCTACCTTCAGCTTGCACTGTGGAGGCCATGGCTGTTCTTGGGGACACGCCCAGGAATGATGCGGGGATGCCTCAGTACGGGGCAGCGGAAAGCCCCCTTAAACTCCAGCAGAAGCCAAGCAGTCACCGGTGGGCCAGCGACCGACATGAAGGAGGGACCGGACAGATGGCCAGGGGGAAGGAGCCATCGGGGGCGTTGGGAGGCCCGGGAGGAACTGGACAGAGCCAGGTCTCACCGGGGACAGAATGCGGCCTCACAATCCTGCCCCACCGCCAAGATTCTCAGGTTCTGAGCCTGGAGTCCGACTGCTAGCCAGCGACTCATGGCGCCCACAGCCAGGTACCACCCCTCAGAGCCAGGATGGTTTGGGGAGAAGCTGGATTAATACCAATGCCAAGGGAATCCTTGATAAAAACCCTGACTTATGAGAATTGGCAACGGAGAACCAGCCACATGAACACAATGTGACAAGACAATGCCCAAGTTGCCAAGTGACAAATGCCCAAGCCAGCAGCCCAGTTTCAGGCTTTCCCTGAGGCCCTAG
The DNA here is from genome assembly GCF_000001405.40 of Homo sapiens. Classification (NCBI taxonomy): domain Eukaryota; kingdom Metazoa; phylum Chordata; class Mammalia; order Primates; family Hominidae; genus Homo; species Homo sapiens. The sequence goes on along the minus strand of NC_000007.14, from coordinate 98,270,095 downwards.
AAAGTGTCTTCAGGGGCCAGGCGTGGTGGCTCACGCCTGTAATCCCAGCACTTTAGGAGGCTGAGGCCAGCGGATCACCTGAGGTCAGGAATTCGAGACCATCCTGGCCAACATGGTGAAACCCTGTCTCTACTTAAAATACAAATAATTAGCTGGGCGTGATGGTATGCACCTGTAATCCCAGCTACTAGGGAGGCTGAGACAGGAGAATCACTTGAACCCGGGAGGCAGAGGTTGCAGTGAGCCGAGATCGCGCCATTGCACTCCAGACTGGGGGATAAGAGCGAGGCTTCATCTCAAAAAAAAAAAAAAAAAAAAAAAGAAAGTGTCTTTAGGGTCAGTTGAGGTGAGCAGAAAGCCTGATCCGTGAGTAGGCAGGAATGACCCCTCAGTTGCATGAACCAAGCCCCCCTCAGAGACCCCCACCTCAGGCTGGGCTCATGCCTGTAATGCCCATGCCTGGTGGCTCATGCCTATAATCTCAGCACTTTGGGAGGCTGAGGCGGGAGGATGGCTTGAGCCCAGGAGTTTGAGACCAGCCTGGGCAACACAGTGAAACCCCATCTCTACAAAAAATAAAAATTTAAAAAAAAAAAAGATCATCATTCATTCATTCTTTTTAGTGGATCATTTTCCTTACTTTCCTGGGACAATTCCTTTTTGCATTTATAATATAGCATTAGAAAAAGGGATATGGGCCGGGAACGGTGGCTCATGCCTGTAACCCCAGCACTTTGGGAGCCAAGGCAGATGGATCACCTGAGGTCAGGAGTTCGAGACCAGCCTGGCCAACATGGTGAAACCCCATGTCTACTAAAAATACAAAAACTAACCAGGTGTGGTGGTGCGCACCTGTAGTCCCAACTACTCAGGAGGCTGAGGTGGAAGGATCGCTTGAGGCCACAAGGTCAAGACACGCCTCCCAAAGTGCTGGGATTACAGGTGTGAGCCACCATGCCTGGCCCCTCTTTAGTTTTTGAGAAACCCTTTTCCATGGAAACATACAATGCTCCTGTATTCCTGTATCCAGGAACTACGACTTGTAGTCTGTCGTGTGTGTGTGTGTGTGTGTGTGTGTGTGTGTGTGTGTGTGTGTGTGTACAGCCTTATTGAGGTGTAATAATGGTGTCTTGCTTTTTTTTTTTTTAAGAGACAGGGTCTTGCTGTGTTGCCCAGGCTGGTCTCAAACTCCTAAGCTCAAGTGATCCTCCTGCCTTGGCCTGCCAAAGTGGTGGGATTCAGGTGTGAGCCACTGCTCCTAGCCCTTGTGTCTTGCTTTTAAAGCCTACACAGCCTTCTTATCCATCTCATGACCTAGACTAGTCCCAGCCCCTGTCACCTGCAAGCTTCCCATCTCTGCGTACCCCTTCCACCATCAGAGTAATCTTCCTTGAGTGACTGTGCTCAGCTGAGCCACCAGCTCTCCCTGCTTAAAAACCTTCAGTGGCTCTCAGCAGCCCATGGTGTGAGATCCTGGCCCTTCAGCGTGCCATTCAGGACCACCCTGCCCTGCATCCGTTGACCCTGAGTGCCCAACAGAAGCACCTTCCACATAAGCTGGTCTTTTTTTTTTTTTTTTTAGAAGGAGTTTCGCTCTTGCTGCCCAGGCTGGAGTGCAGTGGCACAATCTCACATCACCACAACCTCCGCCTCCGGGGTTCAAGCAATTCTCCTGCCTCAGCCTCCCGAGTAGCTGGGATTACAGGTATGTGCCACCATTCCCAGCTAATTTTGCATTTTTTACTATGGACGGGGTTTCTCCATGTTGGTCAGGCCAGTCTCGAACTCCCAACCTCAGGTGAGGAGGTCAGGTGATCCACCCACCTCGGCCTCCCAAAGTGCTGGGATTATACGTGTGTGCCAGCGTGCCCACCAGTTCTTTTTCTTTTTGAGACAGAGTCTTGCTCTGTCGCCCAGGCTGGAATGCAGCGGTGTGATCTCAGCTCACTGCAACCTCTGCCTCCCGGGTTCAAGCAATTCTCTTGACTCAGCCTCCCGAGTGGCTGGGATTACAGGCATGTGCCACCATGCCAGGCTAATTTTTGTATTTTTAGTAGAGATGTGGTTTTACCCTGTTGGCCAGGCTGCTCTCGAACTCCTGATCTCAGGTTATCAGCCCACCTTGGCCTCCCAAAGTGTTGGGATTACAGGCGTGAGCCAGTGCACCTGGCCTCCTTTATGTTTGTCTTAATTTGACTTCCTTGAGATCAGTAGGCATATTTATCTATGGCTCCCTCTCCATACCAAAATCAAATTATCTTTCTCCCAGTCATTTCACTGCGGCTGACAGACCCTTGGGTGGCTCCCAGCCTCTCTGCCTCCTATGTAACCCCCTTTCCTTGAATTGAACTCTATCTTCCTTCTAGCTAATAGAATATGGAAAAGATGAAAGGGTTTGGCAGATGTACTTAACTGAATTGAGTTGCTTTTGAGTTCATCAAAAGGGAGAATATCTTGGGTGAGCTTGGTTTAATTAATAGAAGCCCTTGGAAGAGGGATTTGGCCCTTTTGGAGGCTAGAGCCTCTGTCCTGCTGGCCTTGCAGAAGCAAGCAACTATGTTGTGATCAGCCCCTGGAGAGGGTCATGTGGCAGGAAATGGTAGGTGGCTCCAGGACCTGAGGGAAGACAGCAGTCAGCAAGACACAGGGTGCCTTCCATCATCGGTTGCAAGGAAATGAATTCTGCCAAGTTGGACGAGCTTGACAGCAGATTATTCCCCACTCGCACCTCCAGATGAGAATGCAGCCTCTCCCTCCAACACCTTGAATGTAACCCCAAGAGACCCTGAGCAGAAGACACAGCCAAGCAGTGCCCAGACTTCGCCAATGGAAACTGTGGAAGAATAAATGTGTGCTGTTGGGAGCTGATAAATTTGTGACCATTTGTTGTGCAGTGTCTTAGTTTCTTTGGGATGTTATAACAAAATATCTTAGACTGGGTAATTTATAAATGACAGAAATTTATTTCTCATGGTTCTAGAGACTGGGGAGTCCAATATAAAGTCCCCAGCAGATTCAGTGCTTGGTCAGGGCTCACTCTTGCTTCATAGTTGCCCACTTGCTGTGCCACCATGTGGCAGATGGAGTGAACAGCTGCCTCAAACCTTTTTTTTTAAAGTTATTATTATTATTATTATTTTTTATTTTTTATTTTTTGAGACAGTCTTGCTGTGTCGCCCAGACTGGAGTGCAATGGTGTGATTTTGGCTCACTGCAACCTCCTGCAGCCTCCGTCTCCAGGGTTCAAGCAATCCTCCTGCCTCAGCCTCCCGAGTAGCTGGGATTACAGGCATGTGCCATCATGTCTGGCTGATTTTTCTATTTTTAGTAGAGACGGGGTTTCACCATGTTGGCCAGGCTGGTCTCGAACTCCTCACCTTACGTGATCTGCCCGCCTCAGCCTCCCAAAGTGCTGGGATTACAGGCATGAGCCACTGTGCCCGGCCTATGTTTTTCTTTTTTTTTTTTTGAGACAGAGTCTCACTCTGTTGCCCAGGATGGAGTGCAGTGGTGTGATCTTGGCTCACTGCAAGCTCCGCCTCCCAGGTTCACGCCATTCTCCTGCCTCAGCCTCCCGAGTAGCTGGGACTATAGGCGCCCGCCACCACGCCTGGCTAATTTTTTGTATTTTTAGTAGAGATGGGGTTTCACCGTGTTAGCCAGGACAGTCTCGATCTCCTGACCTTGTGATCCGCCCATCTCAGCCTCCCATAGTGCTGGGATTACAGGCGTGAGCCACCACACCTGGCCGTTTTTCTTAATTTGACATCCTGTAGATCAATAGGCATATTTTATCTTTGGCTGCTTGTGGAAGCCTTTTCATACCACAATCAAATTCTCCTTCTTGTTTCTCTGAATCACTTCCACCGTCTGCCCCCATCTCTGACCTTTCACGGGTGCTTACTGAACACTTACAGTACCTAAAGATCTATGCCTGGCAGTGAAGGAGCTGGTCAAACTGTGCATTAAGAAATCCACATTCCTGGCCAGAGAGAGCCTTGAGCGGGAGGCCTGTAGGGACACAACACCATTTACCCACCATGGGACATGGATATGGCCCCTGGTGACTTGTTTAAAGAAAGACAGAAGGAACAGGAGGAATTCATGTCATCCCAGGCATCCATCCCAGCCCTGCTGCTGAGCTGATGAGCTCGAAGGGACAATGACTGGGTTTTTGACAGTTCAGTACGTGAAAGAATTCAAATTTACAGCTGTTGGAATTTTAAATTATTCTGACCCTTGAGAGGAATGTGGCTAGGTGGCTTGACTCACACATGGCATACAGCTTTTTTTTTTTTTTTGAGACAGAGTCTTGCTCTGTTGCCCAGGCTAGAGTGCAGTGGCACAATCTCGGCTCACTGCAACCTCCGCCCCCCGGGTTCAAGTGATTCTCCTGCCTCAGCCTCCCAAGTAGCTGGGATTACAGGCGCCCACCACCATGCCCAGCTAATTTTTGTATTTTTAGTAAAGACGGGGTTTCACCATGTTGGCCAGGCTGGTCTCGCACTCCCGACCTTGTGATCCACCCGCCTCGGACTCCCAAAGTGTTGGAATTATAGGCATGAGCCACCGTGCCTGGCAACTTCTGCCTTTTTTTTTTTCTGTAAATAATTAGGACGACTAGGCTGGGTGTGGTGGCTCATGCCTATACCCACTGCTTTGGGAGGCTGAGGCAGGACAATGGCTAGAGCCCAGGAGTTCCAGACCAGCCAGGGCAACATAGTGAGACCCTGTCTCTATAAAATTGTTTTTAATAAATAAATAATTAGGAAGACTAAACAGAGCCAGAGATAAGACCCTCACAGATTACGATCCCTACAGAGGGAGTAATAAATTATCTTCCCTGAAACTACACCAATAAAATTGCTGTAATGTATACACTGGGCTCGTATGGAAAATGTAATCCTGGCCGGGCGTGGTGGCTCATGGCTGTAATCCCAGCACTTTGGGAGGCCAAAGCAAGCAGATAGCTTCAGTTCAGGAGTTCGAGACCAGCCTGGGGAACATGGTAAAACCCCATCTTTACTAAAAATAGAGAAAAAATAGCTGGGTGTGGTGGTGTATGCCTGTAGTCCCAGCTACTCGGGAGGCTGAGGTATGAGAAACACTTGAACTTGAGAGGCGGAGGCTGCAGTGAGCTGAGATAGCGCCACTGCACTCCAGCCTGAGTGACAGGGCGAGACTCTGTCTCAAAAGAAAAAAAAAAAAAAAAGGCGGATGCAGTGGCTTACGACTGTGATTCCAACACTTTGGGAGGCCAAGGTGGGCGGATCAACTGAGGTCAGGGGTTCAAGACTAGCCTCGCCAACATGGTGAAACCCCATCTCTACTAAAAATACAAAAATTACCCGGGCATGGTGGCGGGTGCTGTAATCCCAGGTATGTGGGAGACTGAGGCAGGAGCATCACTTGAACTCAAGAGGCAGAGGTTGCAGTGAGCCGAGATTCTGCCACTGCATTCCAGCCTGGGTGACGGAGTGAGACTCTGTCTCAAAAAAATAAATAGCCAGGCATGGTGGCTCACGCCTGTAATCCCAGCACTTCAGGAGGCTGAGGCAGACAGAACACCTGAGGTCAGGAGTTCAAGACCAGGCTGACCAACATGGTGGAACCCCGCCTCTACTAAAAATACAAAATTAGCCAGGCATGGTGGTGGGCGCCTGTAATCCCAGCTACTCGGGAGGCTGAGGCAGGAGAATCACTTGAATCCGGGAGGCGGGGTTTGCGGTGAGCCGAGATCG